>NC_000007.14:44785696-45088726 GCF_000001405.40 Homo sapiens | reverse complement strand
GCCCCCCTCGAGTCCCCTCCCCTTTCCGCGCCCTGTCCTTCCCTCCATCTGAACCCTGCTACCGCCTCTCTCAGAACTGCGGGGAAGGTGGGGCGCACGAAGTGCCCGCCGCGAGCCAGAAAGAACGTGGGGGCTTAAGCCCTTGGCTTCCGACCCAGGGATCGTGGGGCTCGCATCCCGCCCGCTGCATCCCGTTGTTTGCACCGAGCTGCCAGCCTGCTGGGGCTGGGCCGCTCTGGACAGAGGCAGCGGGTTCTGGAGGCGGGGTGTCCGGCTGATACCCCCAGTACGATCAGGTGACCACCGGGAGGGTCCTCAGTTGCACCCGGTCTGTCCTGGGCCGGCGACTGGTCATGGCTCTGGAGGGAGGAGCAGGACTGGCCAGAGCCTAGGAAGCCCGGATGGAGGGCCAGGTGGTGGAATAAAGCCTAAGTTGGGTCTGGAAGGTGGAAGGCCTTGGGGGAGGTGGCCTGATTAGCAATGGCCCTGGGTGTGCAGACCACCTGTCCTTAGGCTGGGTCAACAAATGCTGGTGGAGGCTGATGGGGTCTACGGGGCCTAGAAAGAGCCGAGCCTGGACAGTCCTGGCGTGGAGGTCAGCCATGTGTGGGTAGGGCCAAGGGCACCTTGCTGTGGGCAAGAAGTCACCCAGAGATGGGACCACTGCTGGGGCCTGGGGCCTGGTTTGGGGTGACACAGGCTGCTGCCTCTGCTCTAGGTGGGAGGCAGGGAGTGCAGGCCCAGACTTCCCAGCCCCAGGGTCTTGTGCTGGCTCTGTTCTGGCTTGCTTGGTGACCTTGAATGAGTTATAAAAACCTTTGGCCTTTGGTTTCTGCTCCATCCCAACAGCTCAGCCGTTCCCCTGCCCTGGGGGCCACACCAGGGGCCAGAACCAAGAGCCCAGCTTCAGGGCACCCAGTGATGCCCCACCAGCCACGCCCACTCCTGATGTTGGGTGTCAGGCATGCAAGAACCCAAAGGACCCCCTTGTCTCAGGACCCCCTGGATGTCCCATCACCCCAGCAGCAAAGCCCTTGGGTGACAAGTTTTGGCTGGTGGTTCAGGGCTCAGGGCTCTGATGCTGCTGAGGGGAGCTGGAGCAGCCTGGCAACAGGGTCCCCCTTCTTTCAGCTTCAACTCTAATCCTGGCTCTGCTTTGTAGATGAGAAAGCTGAGGTGCAAGAGATGTTGTCCTGGTCACCAGTGAGTGCGGGAGAGCAGGAGCCACCAGGCAGGCATCTGCAGCCTGGAGAGCTGGCCCCTGTGTGCCGCCGCTCCCCCACCTTGGGCAAGACCTGGCCTGGGCTCTGAAGGGCCTTCATTGGATGCTTCAAACAGAGGTGCCTTTGGCCTAGGTCCAAGTGAGGGAGTGGACATAATGGAGACATTTAAAATGAAGCTTATGAGCATTTAGAGCACACAGGAAAATGCTTATGAGATTAGGTTGGGTGAAAATAGCTAGATTCAAAACTGAATGTGCAATGTGATCTCGCCTGTGATAAAATACAGGCCAGTAAGAGTCCAGGAGGCAGAAAACCATAGCGGTCTGGTGTGCCGCAACCTCGGAGGGGTTTTCTTCCATCTTCCTGAGTCCCCTAAGTCCTTTCTGACCCATGAGGGCTACTTCCTATGGACTCCTTTCTCAGCTGGAGGTGTGTTAGCTCACAGACGTTTACTGAGTACCAGAGCCTCCTCATACTGAAGCCTGCCCAGCGGGTTGGGGGAGTGCATCATGGGACCCAGAGAAGGCCCACAGGGCAGGGTGGGAACTCCCAGCACCCGGGAAGGAACTGGTGGTCACCCATGGGGTGGCTGCCACCAAGGAGAGGACTCAGCCAGAGGCTGCTGTTGGCCCTCTGAAGCTGTCCTGTGCTCTTGCTGGGCTCCATGGTCTCCGTTCCTGCCCACCACTGCCCTTGTGGCCAGATGCTCCAGCAAAGCCTCCACGGGACACTTCATCTCTGTTCTCCAGAAACTTGGCTGCGTGTGGTGGCCCCTGGCTTCCCCATCTCCCTGGGTGCAGGAGGGGAGCAGGGTCAGAGGGGCCTGGTGAAACCCTGACATGTTGGCCTCAAGTGTAGGTAGCAAGGACAGCAGAGAGAGGAGGCAGAGCGAGGCATGAAGCCCAGAGTGTTCGAGCTGCGCGCGTCGTGCTGGTGCCACCTGCCTCATGTGGCGCATCTATTGGGAGGTCATGGGATGGGACTGGCACTGCCTGGCAGATTCCCACCACCAGCCCCTCCCACCGAGCCCAGCTGAACCACACTGATTCTGTGGAATGGAAACTGCAATCCAGTCTCCCCAGAGAGGCTGAAATGCTAGTTCTTTGCTGAGGTGTCCTTGAGAAAAGCCGCCAGACAGGTCTGTTCATGACTCCCAGCAACACTTCCCTCAAAACCCCTCTCTAGGAAACCACTAGCATCTGCTCTCTGCTGTCAAAACTCCTGGAAGTTCTCCCTCAAACGCAGCGTGCAGAGGGTCTTCTCTTTTCTCTCCTGCCTTCCTGGATCCACCTTCCTCTGGGCCCTATGCAGCCGGAATTCATCTCCCCGGGCCTGGCCCTTGCCTGGGAGATGCATCCAGGGGCACCTCATGATCTTCTCTATCTCCACAGATCTGTCCTGCGATGCGGCCGCTGCCACCACCATCCTGGGAGGGGACCGGCGGGAGCCCTGTGCTCTGACCCCAGGGCCCAGCCACCTGGCCCTCACGTTCCTGCCCAGCAAGCCGGGTGCCCGGCCCCAGCCCGAGGGAGCCAGCTGGGATGCAGGGCCTGGTGGGGCACCCTCGGCCTGGGCGGACCCAGGGGAGGGCGGCCCAAGCCCCATGCTCCTCCCTGAGGGCCTGTCTTCCCAGGCTCTGTCCACGGAGGCTCCTCTCCCGGCCACCCTGGAGCCCCGGATTGTGATGGGAGAGGAGACGTGCCAGGCCCTCCTGTCACCCAGAGCTGCCCGGACAGCGCTCAGGGACCAGGAGGGTGGGCACGCAAGCCCAGACCCACCCCCCGAGCTGTGTTCTCAGGGTGATCTTTCTGTGCCTTCCCCTCCCCCAGACCCTGATTCCTTCTTCACGCCTCCCTCCACCCCCACCAAGACCACCTATGCCCTGCTTCCTGCCTGTGGGCCCCACGGGGACGCCAGGGACTCAGAGGCTGAGCTGCGGGATGAGCTGCTGGACTCGCCCCCCGCCTCACCCTCGGGCTCCTACATTACGGCCGATGGGGACAGCTGGGCCTCTTCACCCTCCTGTTCCCTCAGCCTGCTGGCTCCGGCTGAAGGGCTGGACTTCCCCTCAGGCTGGGGCCTGTCCCCGCAGGGGTCCATGGTGGATGAACGAGAGCTGCACCCAGCAGGGACCCCAGAGCCCCCGTCCTCTGAGTCCAGCCTCTCTGCAGACAGCAGCTCCTCCTGGGGCCAGGAGGGCCACTTCTTCGACCTGGACTTCCTGGCCAATGACCCAATGATCCCCGCAGCCCTCCTACCCTTCCAGGGCAGCCTCATCTTTCAGGTGGAGGCAGTGGAGGTGACACCGCTATCCCCAGAGGAAGAAGAAGAGGAGGCTGTGGCGGATCCCGACCCAGGTGGGGACCTGGCTGGGGAGGGTGAGGAGGACAGCACGTCTGCCTCCTTCCTGCAGTCACTGTCTGACCTGTCCATCACGGAGGGCATGGACGAGGCTTTTGCCTTCCGGGACGACACCTCTGCAGCCTCCTCTGATTCAGACTCAGCCTCCTACGCAGAGGCAGATGATGAGAGGCTGTACAGCGGGGAGCCCCATGCCCAGGCCACTTTGCTCCAGGACAGTGTCCAGAAGACAGAGGAGGAGAGCGGAGGTGGGGCCAAGGGGCTGCAGGCTCAGGATGGGACTGTGTCCTGGGCCGTGGAGGCTGCTCCTCAGACCTCAGACAGAGGGGCCTATCTGTCCCAGAGACAGGAATTGATCTCAGAAGTAACAGAAGAGGGCCTTGCTTTAGGCCAGGAGTCCACTGCCACTGTGACCCCTCACACTCTGCAGGTAGCCCCAGGCCTCCAGGTGGAGGTGGCTACCAGAGTGACCCCACAGGCTGGGGAGGAAGAAACAGACTCCACCGCTGGACAAGAATCTGCTGCCATGGCAATGCCTCAGCCCTCCCAGGAGGGCATCAGCGAGATCTTAGGCCAAGAGTCTGTCACTGCAGAAAAACTTCCAACTCCACAGGAAGAAACAAGCCTCACATTGTGTCCAGACTCTCCTCAGAACTTGAAGGAAGAAGGAGGGCTGGACCTCCCCTCTGGCAGAAAGCCTGTAGCTGCAGCCACGATTGTCCCCAGGCAGGCTAAAGAGGACCTCACCTTACCCCAGGACTCCGCTATGACACCGCCTCTGCCCCTACAAGACACAGATCTCTCATCAGCCCCAAAGCCTGTGGCTGCAGCCACGATTGTGTCCCAGCAGGCTGAAGAGGGCCTCACCTTACCCCAGGACTCCGTTATGACACCGCCTCTGCCCCTACAAGACACAGAACTCTCGTCAGCCCCAAAGCCTGTGGCTGCAGCCACGCTTGTGTCCCAGCAGGCTGAAGAGGGCCTCACCTTACCCCAGGACTCCGCTATGACACCGCCTCTGCCCCTACAAGACACAGATCTCTCGTCAGCCCCAAAGCCTGTGGCTGCAGCCACGCTTGTGTCCCAGCAGGCTGAAGAGGGCCTCACCTTACCCCAGGACTCCGCTATGACACCGCCTCTGCCCCTACAAGACACAGATCTCTCGTCAGCCCCAAAGCCTGTGGCTGCAGCCACGCTTGTGTCCCAGCAGGCTGAAGAGGGCCTCACCTTACCCCAGGACTCCGCTATGACACCGCCTCTGCCCCTACAAGACACAGATCTCTCGTCAGCCCCAAAGCCTGTGGCTGCAGCCACGATTGTGTCCCAGCAGGCTGAAGAGGGCCTCACCTTACCCCAGGACTCCGCTATGACACCGCCTCTGCCCCTACAAGACACAGATCTCTCGTCAGCCCCAAAGCCTGTGGCTGCAGCCACGATTGTGTCCCAGCAGGCTGAAGAGGGCCTCACCTTACCCCAGGACTCCGCTATGACACCGCCTCTGCCCCTACAAGACACAGATCTCTCGTCAGCCCCAAAGCCTGTGGCTGCAGCCACGCCTGTGTCCCAGCAGGCTGAAGAGGGCCTCACCTTACCCCAGGACTCCGCTATGACACCGCCTCTGCCCCTACAAGACACAGATCTCTCGTCAGCCCCAAAGCCTGTGGCTGCAGCCACGCCTGTGTCCCAGCAGGCTGAAGAGGGCCTCACCTTACCCCAGGACTCCGCTATGACAGCACCTCTGCCTCTGCAAGACACAGGCCCCACCTCAGGTCCAGAGCCTCTGGCTGTGGCCACCCCTCAAACCTTGCAGGCAGAAGCAGGCTGTGCCCCAGGGACAGAGCCTGTGGCCACCATGGCTCAGCAGGAAGTAGGTGAGGCCTTAGGCCCCAGGCCAGCACCTGAGGAGAAGAATGCAGCCCTCCCTACAGTCCCGGAGCCTGCAGCCTTGGACCAGGTCCAACAGGATGACCCACAGCCAGCTGCAGAAGCTGGGACACCTTGGGCCGCACAGGAAGATGCGGATTCCACTTTGGGCATGGAGGCCCTCAGTCTCCCTGAGCCGGCCTCTGGTGCTGGGGAGGAAATAGCAGAAGCCCTTTCTAGGCCTGGACGGGAAGCATGTCTGGAAGCGCGAGCGCACACAGGTGATGGGGCTAAGCCTGACTCACCCCAAAAGGAGACCCTGGAGGTTGAGAACCAGCAGGAAGGAGGCCTGAAGCCACTGGCACAGGAACATGGACCCAGGTCAGCACTTGGAGGTGCAAGGGAGGTCCCCGATGCGCCTCCTGCTGCCTGCCCTGAGGTCAGCCAGGCCCGGCTCCTGAGCCCAGCCAGGGAGGAAAGAGGCCTGAGTGGCAAGTCCACCCCGGAGCCCACGCTTCCCTCAGCTGTGGCCACAGAGGCCAGTCTGGACTCCTGCCCAGAGTCTTCAGTAGGGGCTGTGTCCAGTCTGGACAGAGGCTGCCCTGACGCGCCTGCCCCCACGTCTGCACCAACCTCCCAGCAGCCGGAGCCTGTACTGGGTCTGGGCAGTGTTGAGCAACCCCACGAAGTACCCAGTGTCCTTGGCACCCCCTTGCTGCAGCCCCCAGAAAACCTTGCCAAGGGTCAGCCCAGCACGCCCGTGGACAGGCCCCTGGGCCCTGACCCTTCTGCTCCTGGTACCCTTGCTGGGGCAGCCCTACCCCCACTGGAGCCCCCAGCCCCCTGCCTGTGCCAGGACCCCCAGGAAGACTCTGTGGAAGACGAGGAGCCCCCAGGCTCTCTGGGCCTCCCACCGCCCCAGGCAGGAGTCCAGCCTGCCGCTGCTGCTGTCTCAGGAACCACACAGCCTCTGGGGACTGGGCCGCGAGTCAGCCTCTCGCCTCACTCCCCACTCCTCAGCCCCAAGGTGGCCTCCATGGATGCCAAAGACCTGGCCTTGCAGATCTTGCCGCCTTGCCAAGTGCCTCCTCCCTCTGGGCCCCAGAGCCCAGCTGGCCCTCAAGGGCTCTCAGCCCCCGAGCAGCAAGAGGATGAGGACAGCCTGGAGGAAGGTAAGGCAGAGGGTGGGAGTGAAGTGCCCTGGGGCTTGGGTCAACTGGACTCCTCCTTAGAGCTGTCCTGAGCTGGAGGGCCTCTGAGGTGGCGAGGTGGGGGGCCCAGACCCCACAGCCACCATGGAGAGCTGGCACTGCTTCCTCTGGCCCTGATGTGGCAGCAGGGCCAGGGTCCTGAACCCCCTTCCCCGCCACCTAGAAGCAAAAGGCCATCCTCACACCTCTCCCCTTCCCCAGACTCGCCTCGGGCCCTGGGCTCGGGCCAGCATTCGGATAGCCACGGGGAGTCATCAGCCGAGCTGGACGAGCAGGACATCTTGGCTCCTCAGACCGTGCAGTGTCCAGCCCAGGTGCCCAGTCCAGGGAAGAGGGTGGGCCTCTGGGAGGGCCCCACACCCCACCCATGGATGCTCAGCCCTCACCTTTTCTCAGGCCCCAGCAGGCGGCAGTGAGGAGACCATCGCCAAAGCCAAGCAGAGTCGCAGTGAGAAGAAGGCCCGAAAGGTGGGCTGGTGGCTCCCTCTGGGACCTCAGGCCTGGGACCATCTGTGTGGGGAACGTCCTTACCAAGACCCTCACACTCCATGGCTAATGAAATCCCATCCATCAGGGGACCTTTGGGTCCATGCCAGTAACCCACACACCTTCCCCTAAACAGCTGAGGCTGGAATGTCATGAGAAGGCCCTTATAGACTGAGGCTCATGGGGAAGGACCAACCACCAGCCCAAGGTCTTGGGGAAGTTGGCGGTGGAGACTTTGCCTTCCTGGGCACTGTGCTGCTCTCCTCCCCCGACGTGGGTCAACACCAGGTCTGAGCCCCCCTCTGCCCTCTACTCCCAGGCAATGTCAAAGCTGGGCTTGCGGCAGATTCAGGGAGTCACCAGGATCACCATCCAGAAGTCCAAGAACATCCTCTTTGTCATCGCCAAGCCTGATGTCTTCAAGAGCCCAGCCTCAGACACTTATGTGGTCTTTGGCGAGGCCAAGGTCTGGGTGGCGGCTGTGGTGGAATGGGGGATCCGAGGGATAGGGGACAAGGGGGGGACAGGCTCTACTGACACAGCTGTCTTCCATTTTGCAGATTGAGGACCTGTCCCAGCAAGTGCACAAAGCCGCAGCTGAGAAGTTTAAGGTGCCCTCAGAGCCCTCAGCCTTGGTCCCTGAGTCAGCACCCAGGCCCCGGGTGAGGCTGGAGTGCAAGGAAGAGGAAGAGGAGGAGGAGGAAGAGGTGAAGTGCAGGGGCTCCAGGGCCTCGCAGGGGGTGGTGGGAGGCGCTACATGGGGGCTCTGCCCCAGGGACCTCAAGCAGCTCCAGCCACTTCCCTGCTCCCCCAACTCCAGGTGGACGAGGCGGGGCTGGAACTGCGTGACATTGAGCTGGTGATGGCGCAGGCCAATGTGTCCAGGGCCAAGGCCGTGCGGGCTCTGAGAGACAACCACAGTGACATCGTCAACGCCATCATGGTGAGTGAGCACTGGCCCCTTTCCCTACCCCTGAGCTGTCCCCAAGGGCCTCGAGAGGTCCTGATGTTGGCTCCACTGCGGGGTGCTTCCCCCAACATGACCATCTCTTTCTGCAGGAACTGACCATGTAGCCACTGACCGGAAGCTGGAGCCATCCTACGCCTTCCCTCAGCTCTGCTACTCAATAAATCGGTGTCCCTTCATTGCCCTCTGGTGTCTCCTCCTCGCCCTCTGGAGTCCCATCATCACCATCTGGCATCCCTTCACTTCCCTCTGGTGTCCCTTCACCACCATCTGGTGTCCCCTTACTGCCCTGTGGTGTCCACTCATTACTCTGTGGTGTCCCCTCACTGCCCTCTGGTGCCCCCTCATCACCCTCTGGTGTCCCTTCATCACCCTCTTGTGTCCCCTCACTTCCCTCTGGTGTCCCCTCATCACCCTCTTGTGTCCCTTCATCACCCTGTGTCCCCTCACTTCCCTCTGGTGTCCCCTCACCACCCTCTGATGTCCCCTCATTACTCTCTGGTGTCACCTCAATACTCACCAGTGTCCCCTCACTGCCCTTTGGTGTCCCCTCATTACTCTCTGGTGTCCCCTCACCGCCCTCTGGTGTCCCCTCAATACTCCCCGGTGTACCTTCACCACCCTCTGGTGTCCCCTGCTCTCTGGTGTCCCAATACTCTCTGATGTCCCAATACTCTCTGGTGTCCCCTCATTACTCTCTGGTGTCCCCTCACTGCCCTCTGGTGTCCCCGCAATACTCTCTGGTGTCCCCTCACCACCCTCTGGTGTCTCAATACTCTCTGGTGTCCCCTCACCGCCTTCTGATGTCCCCTCACCTTCTGATGTCACCTCATTACTGATGTCCCCTCACCGCCTTCTGATGTCCCCTCATTACTCTCTGGTGTCCCCTCACCACCTTCTGATGTCCCCTCACCGCCTTCTGATGTCCCCTCATTACTCTCTGGTGTCCCCTCACCGCCTTCTGATGTCCCCTCATTACTCTCCGATGTCCCCTCACCGCCTTCTGATGTCTCCTCATTACTCTCTGGTGTCCCCTCACCGCCTTCTGATGTCCCCATTACTCTCTGGTGTCCCCTCACCACCTTCTGATGTCCCCTCATTACTCTCTGGTGTCCCCTCACTGCCTTCTGATGTCTCCTCACCGCCTTCTGATGTCCCCTCATTACTCTCTGATGTCCCCTCATTACTCTCTGGTGTCCCCTCACCGCCTTCTGATGTCCCCTCACCGCCTTCTGATGTCCCCTCACCACCTTCTGATGTCCCCTCATTACTCTCTGGTGTCCCCTCACCGCCTTCTGATGTCCCCTCACCACCTTCTGATGTCCCCTCACCACCTTCTGATGTCCCATTACTCTCTGATGTCCCCTCACCGCCTTCTGATGTCCCATTACTCTCTGATGTCCCCTCACCGCCTTCTGATGTCCCCTCACTGCCTTCTGATGTCCCCTCACTCTCTGGTGTCCCCTCACCGCCTTCTGATGTCCCCTCATTACTCTCTGGTGTCCCCTCACCGCCTTCTGATATCTCACCACCTTCTGATGTGCCCTCATTACTCTCTGATGTCCCCTCACTGCCTTCTGATGTCCCCTCATTACTCTCTGGTGTCCCCTCACCGCCTTCTGATGTCCCCTCATTACTCTCTGATGTCCCCTCACCGCCTTCTGATGTCCCCTCACCGCCTTCTGATATCCCATTACTCTCTGGTGTCCCCTCACCGCCTTCTGATGTCCCCTCACCGCCTTCTGATGTCCCCTCACCACCTTCTGATGTCCCATTACTCTCTGGTGTCCCCTCACCGCTTTCTGATGTCCCATTACTCTCTGGTGTCCCCTCACCGCCTTCTGACGTCCCCTCATTACTGATGTCCCCTCACCGCCTTCTGATGTCCCATTACTCTCTGGTGTCCCCTCACCGCCTTGATGTCCCCTCATTACTCTCTGATGTCCCCTCATTACTCTCTGGTGTCCCCTCATCGCCCTCTGGTGTCCCCTCACTGCCCTCTGGTGTCCCAATACTCTCCGGTGTCCCTTCACTGCCCTCTGGCGTCCCCTCACCTTCTGGTGTCCCCATTACTCTCTGGTGTCCCCTCACCACCCTCTGGTGTCCCCTCAGTACTCTCTGGCGTCCCTTCACTGCCCTCTGGTGTCCCCTCAATACTCTCCGGTGTCCCCTCATCGCCCTCTGGTGTCCCATCACCCTCTGATGTCCCCTCACCACCCTCTCGTGCCCCTCATTACTCTCTGGTGTCCCTTCACCGCCCTCTGGTGTCCCCTCACCTTCTAGTGTCCCCTCATTACTCTCTGGTGTCCCCTCACTACTCTCTGGTGTCCCCTCACCACCCTCTGGTGTCCCCTCATCACCTTCTGATGTCCCATCACTCCCTGATGTCCCATTACTCCCTGGTGTCCCCTCACTGCCCTCTGGTGTCCTGTCACCACCCTCTGATGTCCCTTCATTACTCTCTGGTGTCCCCTCATTACCCTCTGGTGTCCCTTCATCTGCTCCATGTCCTCTACTCTTTCTGCTAGCAAAGACCAGCGACTGCAGCACGGGGGCCACACCTGGGATGGACCCTGGAGGGGCAAGCATGTGGTTCCTTTGACACTCCACACAGAAGGCCCATGCAAGGCCATGTTCAACCAGAGGGATGGAAGGGGGACACTGAACCTTCTGGCACAGGGTGGGCTCTGGTAGGGGGCAAGAGCCCAGGAGACTGTGTGGTTTGTCCTCAGCCTCTCCTGATGCTTCCAGGGCATGTCCATTTTCATGTAAACTTAAGAGACAGTGTCAACAGTAAAGAGCCTGCTGCCTGCCCTGGCCTGGGGTCCCATGAGTAAGCAGCTCTACAACAGCCCAGTACAGTGGAAAAACTCGCCCATAAAACACTGACCGGGCCGGCCGCGGTGGCTCACGCCTGTAATCCCAACACTTTGGGAGGCAGGCGGATCACAAAGTCAGGAGTTTGAGACCAGCCTGGCCAATATGGTGAAACCCCGTCTCTGCTAAAAATACAAAAATTAGCTGGGCGTGGTGGCAGGCGCCTGTAGTCCCAGCTACTCGGGAGGCTGAGACAGGAGAATCGCTTGAACCCAGGAGGTGTAGGTTGCAGTGAGCCAAAACCGCACCACTGCACTCCAACCTGGGCAACAGAGTGAGACTCTGTCTTGAGAAAAACAAAACAAAACAAACAAAAAAACACCGACCAGGCCCCTTCCTGTTCAGAAGCTGTGATACCATACAAACCCGTCTACCTTATTCAGGAAGGTGCCTGAGATACTCCAGATCCTCTGGCTTGGCCTGGACACAATCAGGGTGTCCATGGAGCCCCAGAGGCTCTCCCTGCTTCCCCAAGCCTGGGCCAGAGAATCCCTGGGGCCTGACATGCAGCCCCTCCATCCAGCAAGGCTAGGCCCCCAGCCTGGGCAGGAGGGAGATGTGACAGCCAGTCTCCTTCCTAGATGTCTGTCCCCTTGGGGGTCTCCGCAGGGTTGTGGCTGCTCTCCGGTGGAGGGAGAGGCTCCGGACAACCTGACCCAGGTCACCTCTTCTCCCCTTCCCATATCCAAGGAAGCTTTGTAAGGGCCCAAAGGGTATAGGCAAGACCAAGGCCAACAGGGTTTGGGGAGAAGAGCTCACGGGACAAGGATGGAGACAGGCCCACAATGACGGCACAGGGAGGGTCGGCAGAGTTGCACACTGGCCTCTGAAGACCCAGCCCCCAGGCTCCAAGGTGACGAGATCTCAGAGAGCATTTCTGTTCCACGGGGTAGTGCAGGCTGCTTGAGGAAAAAACCTGCAGCATGGGGTTGGGGGGAGGGGGGGTGCGGGGCACAGCCAGTGACCTTGAAGGATTCAGTGCACAGGATGTAAAGATCAAGGTGCCCCCAACACATGCCACACACGCTACCCTCACACACGCTGCCCACGAAAGGCCTCAGAACACCCGCTCCTGCCCCACATCCACACTGCTCAAGTCCAAATCAAGTCCTTCCTGTGGCACAAGAGCCTGTTGCCTCCTCCACCCCAGCCCCCAGGGACCACTGCCGAGTCCCAGGTGCTGCAGGGCAGATGGGGACCCAGGGACAGAGGCTAGAGCGGACACCCCTCCTGGCACCGATGGCTTTCACCCAACTGGATCAGAAACATGCTTGGCAACCAGAGATTAAATTATTCACATTGCAGTAAACTTCTTTTTAAGGTCTCTGAGAGTTACAATAGGAACATCATGTGCAAAACTGACAGCCGTCCAAGGGCCCAGCCGACAGGACTGGCTCTCCCTGCCCGCTCGGCCGGGCCCTCCCCGAGCGGGGACACACTGCAGGGCTTGGCTGAGCCCTGGTGGACAAGGCAAAGAGCCTTCCACCCCGCACTGAGGCTCGTGTCCCTCGGCAGCTCCCTGCTCCTTCACAGTAGAGGACCTGGGCCGCCCGGGGCCATCTGCACCGGGCGCCTCTCCCTGGCCACCACCAAGGGCTGACACGCAGGTCTGGGCAGCTCCTTCTGGGAAGGCCTATGACGACTGCGCGGAAGGTGTGGGTGCCCCCCCATCCACTGTCCATCATGCTGAGTCCTGGTCCATGCTGCAGCCCAGCGCCTCAATGTCGCTGCTGATGTCCGAGATCATGCGGTCCCACTCATCCCCCTCTGAGGGTGCCGACCGGTCATCAGAGCTGCCCGTGGCCCTGTTCCCATTGGTGGTGGAACTGGATGTGGTGCTCAGGGCCCGCCGGTGCCTGCCAAAGCTGTCAGTGATGATGCCGCGGCCATCCTTCACGCCAATGGTCTCCAGGAAGTTCTCGAAGTGCTGGCTGTCCTTCTCAGGGATGAAGGGCCTCAGACCTGCAGACACACAACACCCAGCATGGCACCTCCAGTTCGGCTCAGCCCACTCAGCTCTTCTCTCAGGGCTCAAAGCCCCCTGACAGGGCCACAGCTGCCCCTGGTGCATGGCCTTGGGGACCCTGATGCCATGCTCACTGCATCTAGCATCCTGGTTGAAATCATGCTTCCTGGGGCCAGACAGTTTGGCTAAAACCTCAACTCTTGACAGACACTGCTGCTGGCCCTGACAGCTTACTGCCTCTGCCACATGCACACTCCCTGGCCTCAAGGCACCAGCACAGGCCAAGAACCTGTGGCCTCCTCTCATTCTCTATTAGTCCTCACAAAGGACCCATTTTACAGTGGGGAAAGCTGAGGCCCAGAGCAGTGCTCAAAGCCACCTGCTGGCACCCGGCAACAAGGGTGCAGTCCTCAGAGGCAGGCCTCATGCCAAAGTCCAGTTTCCCTGCCATGACCTAGGTGACTGTCCCAACTCAGAGGGCTGCCCTCTTATTTGGGAAGCCTAGTGTGTCTCTCAGAATCTCTACTCCCCGATGTGGAGGGGCAGACAGAGTCCCATGCCAGGAGGCAACGCAGGGCCCAGCACAGAAGGGGCAGGCACTGCTTAGACAGAACCTATTGTACAGACAGGCTGCCCCAGCCTCCAGCCCTTCACGCTCCTAAGAGCGGGGAGCCCTGGGCAGGCAATCCACGTTTGCCACTGCCAGGTCGGTACGATGGTTAACAAACCCACCTTCCTTGGTTTGCAGGGAAAACAGGCCAGGACCCAGAAGCCTTCAACTGGCTACTAGCAACACATTACCGCAAACTTGCTGTGTTCTAAGTGTCGGCAGAGGGAAACCACAGCTAAGTCACCGCCCCTGAGAGGTGTGGGGCCAACATCCAACTCTGCTGCTCAGACCACACAGCCCTCTAGCCGCACTGACCTAATGTGCCGAGCATTTTAGGGGTCTTGGCAAACGCTGGTCCTTCCGCCTTGAAGTCCTACACATTCACCAAAACCCATGCCTCTCTGGCTCCTCCAGCACTGTTTTCCTAAATCTCAGGGTTGTGTTCACTCCCAGCCCTGCTCCTGGGGGATCTCTGCTACTTCCTGGCAGGGCCCACCCAGCTCAGCTTGAGTTCCCAGGAGAATGAAGGCCTGTCGGTGGGCCCCCAACAGTACCTGGGAAAAGCCCTTCTGACTAATCACAGCAGATTCCCCGATCTCTGGACTCTGCTCTCATGCCATCTCTGGTTCAAATCTCCCATCCCTGATGGAGCCCCTGCTGCACCCACTGAGGGGTCCGTGTGCACATTCCCAGGAGGGATCAGCCTCTCCAAGCCAGGTTTGGACAAGCCACCCTCTTTCCAGGGCCCACTCACCAAGCAGCAGGAACTTGCGGCTGTCCCCGTAGAGCTGCCGCAGGTTGATGCAGAACTCGTGGATAGAGGCCCCATTGCGGTACTCGTGCAGCAGTGCTGCAAACTGCTGGATCTCCTGTGATGACAGCTTGGTGCGCAGCTGCAAGAGAGCAGAGCCAGATAGGGGGCTGGGCACAGTAGGCAAGAGTCGGCAGTCGGGCCCACCTTGCCACAGCCACTAACCCCAGCCAGAGCACCAGCTGTCTCTGGCTTCACCTCTGCACAGGCTGGGGCATCAGAATGACCACAATGTGTCCCCATCCTACCAGACCTGGCACGGGGCCACCCAGAGGAGACCAAGGCACCCGGGCAGCTCCACTCTCCTGAGCTGGAACACAGAGTGCATGGGAGGGACAGGAGCCAGCAGGGCAGGGTGGAAGTTGGCAACCTGGCCCGGGGCCAATGCCTGTGCCCTTAGGCTACACACAGGCACACAGGCAAATCAGGAAGACTTGAGTTTGCAATGACAGAACTATATAAGATGGGGAGGATAAAAATGTCTGGCCATGTGGCCTTGCAGGGGCCACCGTTCCCTCCCCTCCCCCAGGACCCAAGCACAGGCCCACAGTCCAGCCCTGACGGCCACAGCACTCCCAACTCAGCCCCACTGACTGATGCTCTCCTAGACTATCCCCAGGAAAAGGCAGTGATGTCAGCAAAATTGACCAAGAGTGCTCTAGGTGACCTCACTCACTGCAGCCTGCCCTGCACTGCTCCTCCTCCTCCTCCCCTTCCCCCCATCCTCCCTGGGGCACCCCCTCCCTCATGCAGCCCAGCGTCCCTGCAGCGGAGGCCTACCGTCAGCATGTAGTCCTGCAGCAGCTCAGTGGCGCTGGCGCTCAGCTCGCTCTCACTGATGGTCTTGCTGTGGGGTGATGCACCACCCACATCCACAGATTCAGGGAAGCAGCTGCGAAAGAATGTGGTATGTGAGCGGGTGGCTTCCCCGACCCTCCATCCCACACACGTTTCAGGAAACCTAGTCCATGCCGTGTGTGTGGGTCCCTGTCCTTGAACAGAGGAATGTAAGTGATGATGATGATGATGAGAGGAGAGCTGACTGGGCATGCAGGGTGGTCAGCTTGGCCTGGTCCTGGGGCTCCCCGGGGGCATGGCTCTGAGTTGGGCTCTGAGTGAAGAGAGGGAGTACACAGGTCAAGGCAGTGGGCAGCATTGTTGGGCAGGGGAAGGAGCCAGGGTTGGGGAGGTGGCAGGAATGGAGAGCGCGAGTGGGTGAACTACTACAGAGCCCCAGGTGGTGGCAGAGATGGGCTGGAAGGCCAGCGCCTCGGCAGGCTCGGGCAGGGGAACAGCTCCATCCAACATGCCTATTACAAGCTCACTCTTGGGAGGCCATGGGAAGGTAGGCAGGGAGAGACAAGAGGGACAGCAAGGGCTCTAGAAGTCTACGAGGAGAGGGCGGCGAGCCAGGCCTCAGCCATTCACTAAGCTGGGTACAGTGGGTCTGGGGATGGCTTAGCGAGGGTGAGCTGAGATGGGGGAGCTGACTGGCTGCAGCCTGGACAACACCAGACAACGCATTTGGTGCGTGTCCCACCGCAGGGCTTGGTGGCATGTGCACTCACAAAGTGCTGGCTTCCACCTCGTAGGTCTCCTTAATGTCCACTTTTGTAGAAGAGTCATCTGTAAGGAAGATGCAGAAAACTAAGATGACTTTCAGGGACATAGTGGGGAGGCATTTTGAGTCCAGCCCACTGCTGTATTTACAGGAGACAGCGGCAGCCCTGGTCTTCAGGGACCCTGCTGTCCTTCATCAAGCTGCCCGCACTCTGGAATGTGCTGTGTGCCTCAGGGCAGGGCTTCCCAGACTTGAGCCCACATACACCCCTCCTGGGGATCCTGGCAAATGCAAATCCTGCTGCACGCTGGGCTGAAGTACACATTCACCCATGGCCAGAGCCAGCAAAAGCTGTCTTTGAGGTATCACTCATGTGCCAGGCAGGGTTACTGGGGCTTTGTCTCCTTTAACCCAGGCATATATCACCCCTGTCTTCACTTGTAGATTAGGAAGTAAGTCAGAGAGTTACACAACTTGGCCCAGGTCACACAGCAGAAACCACAGTCAGAGCCGGGCAGTCTGACTCCCCATCTGAACCCAGTGAAGCCACAGGATTCCCAAGACCCTCAGACCAGCAAAGGGTCTGGCACTGAGCAGCTACATTCAACAAATGACATTAGGTCCGTGTGACACAGACTGTAATTTGCTATTTCAAACCTGAGGAAGGCACATTTCACACCAGCACAGACAGTGAGTGAAAGCTTTGTGAGCGAGGCAGGTGAGTGTTGCAGAGAGGGTAAGATTTTAAATGAAGCAGAGGGAGAGGCTGAGAGATAAAAGGGACATTTCTGGCACTAGGAACAAGGTAAGTATGGAGGGCAGAATAATGACCCCCCAAAGACGTCCACATCCTAATCCCTGGAATTGGTGAATATGTTACCAATTTCAAAGGGGAGTAAAGGATGCTTATCAGCTGACCTTGAAATAGGGAGATGACCCTGGAGAATTTGGGTGGGCTCAATGTGATTGCAAGAGTCCTGAAATGCAGAGGAAGCTGACAGTCAAAGGAAGATGTGACTGTGGAAGAGGTCACGTGGCTGGCTGTGAAGACAGAGGAAGGGCCATGAGCCAAGGCATGCAGCCGCCTTTAGGAGCTGGAAAGACAAGGAAATGGCTTCTTCTCTGGAGCCTCCAGAAGGAACCAGCCCTGTGGACACCTCAACTTTAGCCCAGTGGGACCCACAATGGACTCTTAACGTATAGAATTATAAGAGAATATATTTCTGCTGTTTATGCTGCTATGTTTTGGCATAGCTGTAGTAGAGAGAACACAGCAAGCAAAACTCCAAGGCAGAAATAAGCAGAGAATGCATGCATGTGCGTAACGTGTGCACATCTGTGTGTGGATCCCACGGGGAGGTCTTGGGAAAGGCTGGCAGGGGAAGAAGCCCACTTCAGCAACCCCCAGTAGTGGTGTTACATGATGTGTTTACTTTATGAAAATTCATTCAACTGTACATGTATGACTTGTGTACTTCTCAGTAAAAAAAAAATTATTAAAGAAAAAAAGGCCCTTTGGGAATTTTAAAGCACAAGGGCCAAACCAGTCGCACTAAAACTGAATGTTTAATTACAGCTCGATAAATCATCTGCTACTCATATGGTACATTCCTCTGGATAAGCTGTTGACTTCTAAGCCTCCACTTCCCCATCTCTAAAATGGGGATGAAGATTGCACCTATCTCGCTGGGCCACCGAGGACTAAATGAGATAGAGAGGATGCCTGAGAGCTCAGCAGCTGTCTCTCTGCAGCTGCTGGGCCAACACAAGGCGTGTAGTGCCCACAAAGGGCTCTGGCACCAGCAGCAAGAAAGGGAAGAAGGAGGCACTGAGGAGCAGCCCTCACACCAGCACAGGCTTCTCCACCATTTACTCTCTTCACTGAGATGTGCGAGTTACTGGGGAAAGGGCAGAGGGCTGGGACTTATCTCCGTAAAAAGAAGAAATTGTACTCAACAAGCCGCACTGTTTCCAACAGCCTTTTTTTTTTTCTTGGTATTTTTTAGTAGAGACAGGGTTTCTCCATGTTGGTCAGGCTGGTCTTGAACTCCCGACCTCAGGTGATCCGCCCGCCTCAGCCTCCCAAAGTGCTGGGATTACAGGCATGAGCCACCACACCCAGCCTCCAACAGCTTTTTATGCACCTCAATTTATATAACCCATTAATCCTCAATAAGTAATACATCTGAAAAACAGATGATGTTTTTGAAGACTTAACTCAAGTGAGCTTGCTGATGAAGTGTTTTCAATGGACTAACAGACTCCTGAAAATGCTGTGTGGGCCATGCAGGAAGAGACAGCTCTGGGGTACCTTCCATTCTTCCCCATCTGCCACTGCTCCACCACTGCCAGCTGGCCTCCCAGGGCAGCCTGAGCAGCTTCCCATGGGTCTGGCCATGGTCCTGGAAGGAGTTTCACATTAAGAGCAGCCATAGTCTGGGCATACTGAAAAGGAGGCTCCCCAGACCCACTCTCAGCCTCCCCAATTCCATCACAGGCCCCAGTGCTAGGAGCCTTCTCCAAGCTCTTTGTTCCGAGTTAAGTGAAGTGACTTTAGCCACAAGTGGTTCCAAAAAAGTGTTCACAGACCCCAAATTTATTCCAGGAAGCCATAGCGCTGACCTGGTGCAACTCTCTCAAGGACAGGTGACACTTCTGCCTTCATGAAACCCTATGGGCTAATGTGAACAGCAAAGTCTGGAAACAAAAGGCCACCATGTCACGGCAGTAACTGCGCTATTCCAGGAGTAACTCATGGGGAGCTGGGGGCCACTGCAGTAGCCCCTCCTGTCCCTGCTCCCACCCGCTGCCCACTCTCACTCAACATACCGCTGTGCAGGGACAGGTGGTGGGTCGGGGTAGAGGCCCCATCAAATATCGCTCTGTCCAGAAAGTCGATGGTGGACTCCGTGTAAACAACCTGGAAGACCTGGCCTAGCAGACAGCAAAGCTCCTCCGCAGCGACCTGCAGTGGGGGACAGCAGCTGCTCGGTCAGTCTGGCTGGAGACTGCGCCTTCCCAGGCGGCTTCCAGGATACCTGGGGCAGCCCAGATGCTCAATAAACATGAATGAAGAGTGGATACCAGAATGTGTCCCTCTGCCTTTCACTGACCCAAAGGGGTGTCAAAAGAGAGACCCAGCCAACTGCCCCAGGACTCTATCTAGGACTGCCATGTGGCCCAGGGGTGGTATTGCAAGTGTGAGGGGACTGTGCAGGGCACAAGTGTTAGCTGCCAGTCCAACGTCTTCTTTCCATTAACCTGACCTATCAACACCCTCACAACCCTATCCCAGCCCAGGAAAGAGGTGAGAGGAGATACCATCAGTATCACAGCCCACCTGGAGGCATTTCTAACAGCTATAAAACAGTTTTATAACAGTGTGCTGTCTAAAGCAGAGGCTCTCAACTGGGGCAATTTTTGTACCCCTCCCAGGGGACATGTAGCAATATCTGGAGACATTTTCAGCTGTCACAAGGGGAGAAGCTGGGATGCTGCTCAACACCCTACAGTGCACAGGGCAGCCTCCCACAATGGAAAATTATCCGGCTAAAAATGACAGTAGCACCAACACTGAGAAATGCTCATTAGAGGATATTTAAGGTGGGTGGTCACTAGCATCCATTTTACAGATATGGAAATTAAACAAAGGTGTTAAGTGACTGCCAAGGCCCCACAGCTATTGGGTGGCTGAGGGGGCCCCAAATCCTAGCCTACAAGGGCCCAGCCCTTGGCTCTTCCAGGTTGTGAGGAATCTGCAAGCACAGTCCTTAACACCAGGCAGGTCTAGGATGCACAGGTGACCGCCGCTGCCCGCCCATCAGCGTGGGGGCACCTTGAAGAATGATAAGCAAAAAGCTCAGTGGCCAGGTGGTCTCAGAGAAGTTGCTGGGGGTTGGAGGTAGGAGGGTCAGAAGGCACAGGGGTGGGAACCGGTGGGGAGCCTGGGCCTGGGGCAGGACCTGGGATGCAGTCATGCGCAGAGGAGCTGTGGGCAGGGCCAGGATGGGGGCAATGCCTGGGGCAGGGTTGAGCAGAGAGAGGTGGGGCTGGGTGGAGACTAGGGTGAGGCAGGGACAGGCAATGGCAGAGGAAGTAGCTGGGGCACCCAGCAGTGCCCAGCACTGTGCTGGGTGTGGCCAGGGTGGGGCTGGCCATGAGCAGGGTCTGGGAGGAGCCAGTTCTGAGTAAGTGGGGCGAGAAAGTCTCACCTTGCTCTCTGCAGCCAGGATGACCAGGCAGCATGCCTCCACGGGCCCAACTGCACTCTCCGACAGGGAGCCTGCACTGAGGCCTCTGGAACTTTCCGCACACAGACTCTGGCTGGGGGAGATCCCTGGGTCCTGGGCTGAGAAGTCAACACCATCTCAGTTTAGCACAGTGGAAGGGCAGGCATGGGGGCACTTGAGGAAACAGCTGAGGCCGCCATGGAAACAGGCTGAGAGGACCTTTACCTGGCTCAGGCACCCACAGAACGACTCAGGTGAAGGGCCTGCACCAGACACACTTCGCTTCTCTAAATAAGGGTGGGAACACGCGACCCCTGAGCTCCAAGGGCACCAGAGCTGCATGTCATCCTGCAGTTTCACACGCTTCAAGTTCATATACAACAGACCACATATACAACCCTGAGAACAGTCACCTCCAGGAGGTTTCCATGTGTTCTGGGGAGTTCCCTTCTTACAGATGGGTAAACTGAGGCATGGGAAAGTGAAAGGCCTGGCCTGAGGGCGTGTGAGTTGCACTGTCCACATGGCAATCTAGACGGTCAGACCCCAGTGCCCTTGTTTCTAACATCCTACCCATTGCCTCCCTAGACAAATGAGGTTCTCCTGAAATACATGGAGTAACTCAGTGGTTTTCCTGATGGCAGAAGTGAGGCCAATCCCCAGGAAGCAGGGCTCTCACCATCAGTTCGGACCACCCTGGGAGGACTTCAAGACTGAAAACAAAACCTAGAAGTGCCACTAGTGCCAGGGTGTCAGAGGGCAGGCCAGCCTCAGGAGGGAGAAGAAGGCCGTCCCAGGCCACATGCAAAGTTAGCGCATGCACAGAGACAAGGGCTCCATAAGAAACTGTACCTCAAACCCCACAGTGAGACTCCTGGGGCTGCTCTGTCCCTATGGCAGCCACTGGCCACAGGACTACTGAGTATGCAAAATGTGATGAGCCCACATTGAAATGTGTGAGTGCAAACTATACACAGGGTTTCAGAGGTAGGCAAAGAAAGAATGCTATGTAGCTCAACGATTTTTATATTGATTATATACTGATGTAATAATGTTTTGGGTACGGAGGGGTAAATAAAATATATTATTGAAAATAATTGGCCAGGCGCAGTGGCTCATGGCTGTAATCCCAGCACATTGGGAGGCCAAGGCGGGTGGATCACCTGAGGTCAGGAGTTCAAGACCAGCCTGGCCAACATGGTGAAACCCCATCTCTACTAAAAATACAAAAAAATTAGCTGGGCGTGGTGGCTCATGCCTGTAATCCCAGCTACTCGGGGGGCGGAGATTGCAGTGAACCAAGACCACACCATTGCACTCTAGCCTGGGCAACAAGCACCAAACTTGTCTCAAAAAAAAAAAAAGGCGGGCACAGTGGCTCATGCCTGTAATCCCAGCACTTTGGGAGGCCAAGGTGGCGGATCACAAGGTCAGGAGATCAAGATCATCCTGGCTAACACGGTGAAATACTATCTCTACTAAAAATACAAAAAATTAGCCAGGCGTGGTGGCAGGAGCCTGTAGTCCCAGCTACTCAGGAGGCTGAGGCAGGAGAATGGCGTGAACCTGGGAGGCAGAGCTTGCAGTGAGCTGAGATCACGGCACTACACTCCAGCCTGGGCAACACAGCGAGACTCCGTCTCAAAAAAAAAAAAAAAAATTTACTGGTTTCCCTTTACTTTTTTTCTTTTTTTGGTATGAGTTTGGTAAGAAATCTCTACCTTTTAAACATTTTTAAATGTTGGCTCCCTGGTGTGTGCCTGTGGTAGTTCTCAAGGAAGCAGGGTGGGCAGCCTAAGGATGCGGGCAGCGAGTTGTGTGCCTCTCCTATATCATCCAGGAAGTGCTACCACGGGTGCACGGGTGACCCTGCCCCATCTGGCACCAACTCAAGTCATCACCCTCCAAGCAGCTCCTGCCACATGGACCCTATTGCAGCTAGACCTGGCCCCCAACTTCCCCACTCCTGTGCTATCCCAAATACCAGCGTACTTTTGGTCCAAAGAGGCACAGAGACTTGCTTGCACATAGCAGGCACCAAGTAAACGTTAGCTATTCACCTGCTAGTCTCTTATGCTGAGAACTCTGGATGCCTAATCCTAAATACAGCATGGCGGCCCAGTGCAGTGGCTCATGCCCATAGTCCCAACACTTTGGGAGGCTAAGGCAGGAGGATCGCTTGAGGCCAGGAGTTCAAGACCAGCGTGGGCAACATAGAGAGACTTCATCCTTACAAAAATTTTTAAAATATTTTAAAAATTAAAAAATAAACACAGCACACCTTATGTAACACAGGGGACACACAACTGCTCCGGTGCATCCACAAAAACAAGGAAGATGGCCCCCAGGACACAGGGATTCACTCTCTTCCTTTAAATCAAAAGTTCTCTCAAAGACCAGAAGTCCTGTTTTTCATCTAATTTTGGAAAGTTTCTCCTATGGCGCTCATTCTCTCTCCATTAAAAAAAATCTGTCATCCATTTCCTTTAGCAATGTGTTCTAATAATTAAAGCTGAGAAACTGTCATGCAGCAGAAGAAATAAAGGGAGGAGCCTATCTCCCCTCCCTACCAGCTTGAAACACCTGCAAGAAGCGAGTCAGAAACCAGTCTCCTCACTCCTTGTCCCTAAGGATGTCCCAGGCCTAAGGCCTCCCGCAGGGTCCAAAGGTAGAAAAACAGGAGGGTCACCATGGTGTCGGATAGTATGGCTGGAAGGAGCCACCAACCCAGCCTTCTAAGCCAGATAGGGTGAGTAATGTACATGTGTGTAGGTGTGGTGTGTGCCTGCGTTGGGGAGGGTGTACGCAAGTCTAAGCTACTGCTACACAGAGAACAAAACAGAGCAACAGCCACCTTCATAAACCCCGCCAGTGTTCCCTGTGTAGTTTATGACCACAGCAACCCCAAGCATCTAGACTCACAGGCTTTCAGTGGACTGCTCTCAAGAGCGCACTCAAGCTGGCAGCTTCATGGCTCAAGGGGTCAATAATGAACACACTCGCCAGATTCTCAATGAACTACTGACCTTAAGTGGAACAACAAATTCCCCTCTCTGCTACCTAAAACACAGTGTGTGGTCTAGGCAGACCCACTGTGACCCCTTCACACCCTGCCACTGGCCCTCTGGAAATGAAAGGCTTTGGGATCAACCCAGTCACCAGCAGAGATCCAAGGAGCCCAGGATACTGTCCCCACTGCAACACCAGCCTCGAAACTCAGGACTGGGAGGGGCAAAATACAGGTAGGGCGAACCATGGTCTCTCCCCTCATCCTCAGTGGCCTGAATGCCTGGGCTGGAAGCTGCTGGAAATTAACGGGCAGCTTGGGCTTGGGTCCAGTGAGGCAGCACTGTACTCACCACAGCCAAAAATAACATTCTGCCCAATTCTGCCCAATTCTGCCCAATTCTATCCCATTGTGAAAGCAGCAGACGGCAAGGACACACAGAGAGTAACCTCTATGACCAAGAGCTCCTGGGAGGTCTGGGTCTCATCTTTTCTGTCCCAGGTTTGAGGACACTGTGCAGAGCTCAAAATATCAGTCAAGCTGAGGTGAGGTCCCTATCCACTGCACTCTCTCTAGGCTCCACCACACCTGGGCAGAGGGGCAACTCCACTGTACCCAGAGGGAGTCAATAGGAGCCCCACCGGGCAGAGGAACAGGATACCAGTCCTAAATACTGTATCCCAGTATTATTGAGTCCCCAAAGGCTCTTAGTGTGACAGTCACCCCCAGTGTCTGGTAACTGATCTCAAGCCCTCTTCTGGCTGATCTCAGAGACAGGAAAGACAATTATTGGTCGTGACAAACAGCAGCACCCAACACGAAGCTGCAAAAACTGTCTCCAGAACTTCATAAAATTCACACATGTACTCCTTAGGACAAGGACCCTCCTGACCCCTGACCTCCTGTACCTGTCTTCAGGACCACCAGGTGTGCAGCGTCATCCCGAACATAGGAGACGGCGGCGATGTCATGGATGGGCACCCTGAGGATGATATCCTCCCCGTCCCTCCAGGCCAGCTTGACGTTGTACGCAGACAGGCTGAGCACAGCATCGTGCTCCTGAGTCAAGTGTCCCGGAAGCTGGTGGGCTCTCTGGAAGGAACCACAGGGCATCAGAAATACAGACTCAGCTGTCAACCGGCATGGGGCGCTTCTCCTGAGAATATTGTGCTGGCCGATGTCACACATGTGACAAATGCTGAGTGAATAAGGTCAGTGTTATTCCCCTCAGAACAGTGCTTATTCCAGGGACACCAATGTGTTCAAACCATTTGGGAGATTCTTCTGGAACTGCCTTCAGATTCAGACTTACGGCACATGGTTTGAAATATCTTGAAAGTGTAAATTTTGGAAACAGCCCAAAATCACATGGAGCAAGTGTCGAGAATCAACTTAATGTCCATACTAAGGAATAGTCTTTATGGCCAAGAGCCAAGTGTACCCATAATGTGATGGGACTGGCTCATTCCTCACAGCCACGAGGCCAAGAGTACAGGGACCAAGGGCTGGTGGGGGCTGAGGGCTAGTGCACAGGGTTAAGAGGATAGGGTTACCTTTGCATTGTCTATGAAATGCAGGATTTCAGTCCTACTGGAGGGATTCAGGTATCCTGGTATGGACGTTAACTGACCTAAATACTGAAAGAAAGTGAAGAAAAAAATGCCATGAGAAATGGGAGCTGAGCCAACACCACCATCACTACCACCGAGAGCACAAACCAAGTGCTTCATACTCAGGCCACCAGGCCCATGGGTCTCCATTCCGGCTCGCGTGGAGGCCCAACTCTAGGAAGAGAGTCCTGGGTTCTTACAGAAATCTCTACTGGCTGAGGACAGTGCTGCCCCATCTCCTACTATTCTACAGTGAAGGTCATCATCAAAAGTCCTGCAATGAGTATCCCAAACTACTAGTACCAAAACTACTAGTTTTGGTAGAATCTGTATTCTAAAACAGGGATGGTCAGGGTTTTCTCGTCACTGCTGGGGAAACTGAAAACAATGGCATCATGCACAACTTCACTAAAAAATAAACTTCCTCAATTGCAAAGGTCAACATAGCTGAGAAATGAGCATAAATAGAGAAATGAAGTGCTATGGTTTCAATGTGTCCCCCAAAAAGCATGTGCTGGAAACTTAGTCCCCACATGCAACAGTGTTAAGGGTGGGGCCTTTAAGAGGTGATTAGGCCAGGTGCGGTGGCTCACGCCTGTAATCCCAGCACTTTGGGAGGCTAAGGTGGGCAGATCACCTGAGGTTGGGAGTTCGAAACCAGCCTGACCAACATGGAGAAACCCCGTCTCTACTAAAAATACAAAATTAGCTGGACGTGGTGGTGCATGCCTGTAATCTCAGCTACTCAGGAGGCTGAGGCAGGATAATTGCTTGAACCCGGGAGGCGGAGGTTGTGGTGAGCCAAGACTGCGCCATTATACTCCAGCCTGGGCAACAAGAGCAAAACTCCATCTCAAAAAAAAAAAAGAAAGAAAAGAGCTGATTAGGCCACGAGAGCTCTGCCCTTGTGAGCACATTAATGCTGTTATCCTGGGAGAGGGTTTGTTATCTCAGGAGCAGGTTCCTGATGAAAGGATGAATTTGACCCCCTTCCCTCTCCTGCCCTTCCACCTTTCGCCCTGGGATAACATAAGATGCAGATGCAGCCCCTCACCAGCTGTGCCCTTCAACCTTAAACCTCCTAGCCTCCAGAACGATACGATTTTTTTTTTTTTTTTGAGACAGGGTCTCACTCTATCACACAGGCTGGGGTGCAGAGGCGTGATCTTGGCTCACTGCAACCTCTGCCTCCCAGGCTCAAAGCAATTGTCCCACCTTAGCCTCCTGAGTAGCTGGTACTACAGGTGTGTGTCACCACGCCTGGCTAATTTTTGTAGAGACAGGGTTTTGCCATGTAGCCCAGGCTGGTCTCGAACTCTTGGACTTAAGCAATCTGCTCACCGCAGCTTCCCAAAGTGCTGGGATTACAGGTGTGAGGCACCATGCACAGCCTAGAAATATCTATTCATTATAAATTTCCCAGTCTGTGGTATCTGTTATAGCAGCACAAAACATTTAGTAAAAAGGTTTTTTTGGTCACACATGGCCATGAGGCACTTGGCTTAGCAAACCTCCATAATGCAGGGCCTCAGGTGTAGAAGGCTGTGGGCAGCAGCACTGTACCTGCTGTGCTCCTGCCTGCATCTTACCAACCACCATAACATTTTCAATGTTTCTGTTTTTTAAAATGGGTTGCTGATTCTTCCCAAGAACAGGCTTCTTGCACTCAACATTTCTCAGTTGTTCATTACCTCACACAGTTAAGTTCTCTATTAAAAAAGAATGAAATGGGACTTTCCAATTTCCTGTCCAGCTTGTAAAGGCTCAGAAGTCATCACTCCCATCCTCACAACAAGAAAGCTGGCAAACTTAAAATCAATGACTGTTCTCAGATCCATCAGATAATTGAGGTCACATGAAAAAACAATAACCCCAAAGATGGAGAGACAGATATGCAATGCTAAGAATCACAGCTCATTGCGGGGCAGAAACCCTAGAGCCAGCACCAGCAGAGAGGAAAGGGGAACTGACAAATGGCAGAGACTGAGCATGGACCAGTAGGAGACAAAAACTCCAGGGGAATAGTCACTGGGGAGGTCCCCATACCAGTCTGAGTTTTACCTCCATGAGCCCCACCAGGCTCTCAGGGTGAGACTGGAGAAACATCTCCTCATACTCTGGTAGGAGGAGGGAAGAATACATCATTTAAAAGTATAACCAGGCCAGGTGTGGTGGCTCATGCCCATAATCCCAGGACTTTGGATGGCCAAGGCGGCAGGTTTGCTTGAGGCCAGGAGTTTGAGACCAGCCTGGGAAACATGGTGAGACCCTATCTCTACAACAAGAACAACAACAGCAACAACAACAACAAAATAGTTGGGCACGGCAGTGTGCCTGTGGTGCCAGCTACTCAGGAGGCTGAGATGGGAGGATCATTTGAGCCCAGGAGGTTGAGGCTGCAGTGAGTCATGATGGTGCCACTGCACTCCAGTTTCCCAACCAACATATAAAGGGCTCAGAGGTCATCTCAAAAAAAAAAAAAAAAAAAGAAAGAAAGAAAGAAAAAGGCATGACCAGAGCATTCTGTTATCCTTAACAAAGGGCTTTCCTCAAGGAAAACTATTTTACCAGAGCCTAACCACCTAGGGGTAAGGAAACACCCAATTCCTGCCTCCTCTATCGTTTATGTCTCTCCTAAGGGGGAGGAAAAAAACAAAACTGAGAAGCACATGTGAAGGCCACGGCCCAGGGACACAGGTTCACTAAAACACTGAGACCTAATCCCAGGACTACAGAACACTTCCTCTCCCCTGAAAGCCACATCAACAGGACCCCTGTGTAATAACAGGGATGCACACCTATAAGAACTGCAGGCCTCAGACTCTATTTAAGAAGGAATCTTGAAGAAAACCCAAAAACAATGGAAGACAAAAACAAGGATACACAGGAGATTTTTATCCCCCAGCATCACAAGGGCAGCAAACAGTAAACACAGCCCAACTCCCAGCCAGCCAAACGTACCTCACACTAAGGCCTATTAACCTGACGCCTAAGTTCCTCATATCAGAACCAGACTCAGACATAGTGGAGATTTTGGAACTACCAGATTGGGAATTTAAAACAACTACGATTAATATGGTAATGGCTCTAACGGAAAAAGTAGACATCATGTAAGAACAGATAGGCAGCATAAGCAGAGATGGAAACCCTAAGCAACAATCAGTAGGAAATGCCAGAAAGCAAAAGTCCTGTAACAGCAATGGGGACTGCCTTCAACAAGCTCAAGAGGCTGGACACAGCCAAGGAGAGACTCTCTGAGCTTAAGAATACGTCAACAGAAACTTCCAAACATGAAAAGCAAAGGGAAAAAAGAACGAAAGAAAGAAAACAGAATATGCAAGAACTGTGGGACAGTTACAAAAAGTGTAACATATGTGCAATGAGGATATCAAGAGAAAGAAAAGAACACAATAACTATTTGGAGTAATGAGAGCTGAGAAGTTCCCCAAACTAATGTCAGACACCCATCCACAGATCCAATAAGGTCAGAGAACATGAAACGGTAAAAAGCAGGTAATTTACACTGAGGCAAATCACATCAAACTGCAGAAATCAAAGACAAAAAGAAAATTAGAAAGGAAGATTCTCTCTTTGCAGAAATCTGGGAATTTTTTCCACAGGAAAAAAACATCCTACCTATAAAATGGCAAGAACAAGAATGACACTGGATTTCTCTTCAGGAACCATCCAAGCAAGAAGAGAGAGGAGGGAACTATTTGATTCTGTATCCAGTGAAATTATCCTTCAAAAGTGAAAGAGAAATAAAGATTTTTATCAGAAAAACAAAAACTCAGGGATTTAACATTTCAAGAAAAGTTAAAAGAACTTCTTCAGAGAGAATGAAAATGATTTGGTCAGAAACTCTGATCTATGTAAAGAAGGGGAAAAGCATCAGAGAAGAAATAAATGTAGGTAAAATTAATCTTTTATTTTTCTTATTTTAATTGCTCTAACACATTAACAATTTGTTCAAAATAAAATTTGTGTATTGGGTGACTGTAGCCTAAGGATAAATGAAATAAATGACAGCAATGTTATAAGCAGTGGGAGGAGTGAACTGGGAATACTTGGTTACAAGGTATTTGCACTACCTGTGAAGCAGCACAGCATTATTTGAAAGTGGATTTTGATTAGTTGTGAATGTATATTGCAAACCCTAAGGCAACCACTAAAATAAATATATATATATACACACATACACATTTTTGAGACAGGGTCTTGCTCTGTTGCCCAGGCTGGAGTGCAGTGGCACAATCACAGCTCACTGCAGCCTCAACCTCCCAGGCTGAAGCGATCCTCCCACTAGTAGATGAGACTACACGCACATGCCACCAGGCCCAGCTAATTTTTGTATTTTTTGTAGAGACAGACGGGGTTTTGCCATGTTGCCCAGGCTGGTCTCGAACTCCTGAGCTCAATCAATCCGCCCGCCTCGGCCTTCAAAAGTGCTGGGAATACAGGCATGAGCCACCGCACCCAGCCTGTATTTTTTGTTTTTTCTTTCTTTCTTTCTTTTTTTTTTTTTTAACAGACAGGGTTTCGCCACATTGCCTAGGCTAGTCTCAAACTCCTAGGCTCAAGTGATCCTCCTGCCTTGGCCTCCCAAAGTGCTGGGATTACAGGCATGAGCCACCATGCCTGGCCAAAACTTTTAAACAAAAAATCAGCAAATTGAATCCAATAATGTATTAATAATTATACACCACGACCAGGCAGGATTTATCCCAGGTGTGCAAGGCTAATTCAATGTTCAAATATCAATCGTAGCGGGGGCAGTGACTCATGCCTATAATCCCAGCATTTAGAGAAGCCAAGATGGGTGGATCACCTGAGGTCAGGAGTTCAAGACTAGTGTGGCCAACATGGTGAAACCCCATCTCTACTAAAAATAAGAAAATTAGGCTGGTCATGGTAGCTCACACCTGTAATCCCAGCACTTTGAGAGGCCAAGGTAGGTGGATCACCTGAGGTCAGGAGTTTGAGACCAGCCTGGCCAACATGGCAAAACCCCGTTTACACTAAAAATACAAAAAAAAAAAAAAAATTAGCTGGGCGTGGTGGCAGGTGCCTGTAATCCCAGCTACTCAGGAGGCTGAGGCAAGATCGTGCCACTGCTTTCCAGCCTAGGTGACAGAACAAAAACTCTGTCTCAAAAAAAAATATATCGTTGTAATCCATCACATCAACTGGCTAAAGAAAAATCATATGATTGTAGCAATAGATGTAGAAAAAGCATTTGACAAATCTAACACCCATTCATGACAAAAGCTCTCAGCAAACCAGGAATAGAGACTTCCTGAACTAATTAAAAACATCTATTTATGAAACTGGAAACCATCATTCTCAACAAACTATCGCAAGGACAAAAAAACAAACACCGCATGTTCTCACTCATAGGTGGGAATTGAACAATGACAACACATGGACACAGGAAAGGGAACATCACACACCGGGGACTGTTGTGGGGTGGGGGGAGGGGGGAGGGATAGCATTAGAAGATATACCTAATGCTAAATGATGAGTTAATGGGTGCAGCACACCAACATGGCACATGTATACATATGTAACAAACCTGCACGTTGTGCACATGTACCCTAAAACTTAAAGTATTAAAAAAAAACACCCTAAAGCGAACATCATACTTAATGGCAAAAAGTTAGATACCTTCCCCCTAAGATCAGGAACAAGGCAAAGATGTCCCCTCTTATCACTATGATTTAACATCATATAGAAGTCTCAGCTAATGCAATTATGCAAGAGAAGGAAACAAAAAGTATAAAGGTTGGGAAACTGTCTTTGCTGACAGATGACCTCTCTGACTGGGAACCAAGCAAGGAGGTCACTCTGGAGATTTCCGAATCCAAGCAACGTAAACACGGTGACATGAGTCAGTCTACCTGCTGCTTGCTATGCAATGTAGCCTTCTCACTGGATGGAGCAGGAAACAGGCAGAAGAGTAACTGGCTGAAGCACACTCAGGGCACGGTGGCAAATACAAGTTCATCTTGGGCTTAGTCAGATGGGCAACCTAAACTTCAGAATTGCGTGTGCTGGGCAGCTCCATAAGGAAATGTATAGTTATTCCAAGAAGTTTTATATTTCATAAGGTGAGGATGGAAGTGGGGAGGGAAGAATGCAAAAGTATGTATTGGCTTCCCCAATCTCTATAGTGCTGGTAAGACCCTTCTGATAATTAGAGCAGTTTCAGAACAAATAAGCAGCACATCCAAGTACTGGCTCATCCTTAGCCTGTCATCAGTGAACATTTTGGAATGTTTCCACAGACCTGCCCTTAGCTGAGGCCTTTCCATCCTCTTCCTATCTGCTCATATAAACCAAATGTAGATACTGCTTACATTTATCAGTAATAAATTTCAACTATTTTCATACTTCCTGATTTCAAAACTTACTACACCACCACAGTCATGGAAAGAGCGTGATATAAAGACAGACACTGACCAATGGATTGGAAAAGAGAGCCCAAGGCCAGGCGCGGTGGCTCACACCTGTAATCCTAGCACTTTGGGAGGCCGAGGCGGGTGGATCACGAGGTCAGTATATCAAGACCATCCTGGCCAACATGGTGAAACCCCGTCTCTACTAACAATACAAAACTTAGCCGGGTGTGGCGGCGCACACCTGTAGTCCCAGCTACTTGGGAGGCTGAGGCAGGGGAGCTGCTTGAACCCAAGAGGCAGAGGCTGCAGTGAGTCGAGATCATACCACTGCACTCCAGCCTGGGTAACAGAGTGAGACTCCATCTCAAAAAAAAAAGAAAGAAAGAAAAAAAGAGAGCCCAAGAAAGACCCTTGTGTATATGGTCAGATTATTTTCAACAAGGGTGCCATGATGAGCATTCAATGGGGAAAAGACAGTCTTTTCAACAAATGGTGCTGGGAAAACTGGATATCCACAGGCAAAAGAATGAAGTTTAGACCATTTACCTAACAATATTTACAAAGATTAACTCAAAATGGGTCAAATATATAAATGTGAGACCTAAAACTATAAAATTCTTAGAAGAAAACACAGGAAAAGCTTCATGATATTGGATTTATCAATGATTTCTTGGCTATCACACCAAAAGCACAGGCAACAAAAGAAAAACAAATCTGGACTTCACCAAAATTAAACACTTTTGTGCGCCAAAGAATACAATCAACACGGTGAAAAAACCCACAGTATGGGAGAAAATGTTTCCAATCATATCTGATAAGGGATTAATATCTAAAATATATAAAGAAGTCCTAGAACTCAACAACCAAAAACCAAACAACCCAATTAAAAACTGGGCAAATGACTTGACATTTCTCTAAAGATACACAGATGGCCAATAAGCCAAGCATGAGAAAAGATTTTCAACATCAATAGTTATTAGGGAAATGCAAATCAAAACCGTAATGAAATACCACTTCACACCCACTAGGATGGCTACTTTTTTCTTTTAATAGTGACGGGGGTGGGGTCTCACTATGTTGCCTAGGCTGGTCTTGAACTCCTGAGCTCAATTGATCCTCCTGCCTCAGCCTCCCAAAGTGCTAGGATTACAGGCGTGAGCCACCACACCCAGCCTAGATGGCTATTTAAAAAAGGGAAAATTACAATTGTTGGCAAAGATATGGAGATATTGAAACCCTGTGCATTACTGATGGGAATGTAAAATGATACTCCTGTGAAAAGCAATATGGTGGTTCCTCAAAAAATTAAACATGGAATTAGCATATGATTCAGTAATTCCACTTCTGGGTATATATACAAAAGAAATAAAAGCAGGGGCTTGAAAAGACATTTGTACACCCATGTTCATAGCAGCATGATTCACAATCAACTAAAGCAAGAAACAACTCAAATGTTCATTGACAGATAAATGAATAAACCAAATGTGATCTACACATACAATGAAATATTATTCAGCCTTAAAAGCAATGGAAATGCTGACACATGCTACGACATGGAAGAACCTTGAGGGCACTGTGCTAAGCGAAATAAGCCAGTCACAAAAGGACAAATATTGTATGATTCCACTTACATAAGATACCTAGAGTAGTCAAATCATAGAGACAAAAAGTAAAGCGGTGGTTGCCAGGGGCTGTGGGAGGGAGATGGAGAGGCATTGTCCAACAGGAACATGGTTTCAGTAAGGGCTGGTGGGAAGCTCTGGAGATGGATAGTGCTGATGGTTGCACAACAATGTGAATTGATTTTATGCCATTGAACTCTACACTTCAAAATGATTAAGACAGTAAATCTTTTTTTTGAGATGGAGTCTCGCTCTGTCACCTAGGCTGGAGTGCAGTGGTGCGATCTCAGCTCACTGCAACCTCTGCCTCCTGGGTTCAAGCAGTTATCTGCCTCAGCCTCCCAAATAGCTCGGATTACGGGCACCCGTCACCACACCCAGCTAATTTTTTTGTATTTTTAGTAGAGACGGGGTTTCACCATCTTGGCCAGGCTGGTCTTGAACTCCTGACCTCGTGATCCACCCGCCTTAGCCTCCCAAAGTGCTGGGATTACAGGCATGAGCCACCGGGCCCGGCCGATAATAAATCTTATGTATATTTTACTACAATAAAAAATTTCATCTAATTAGCTTTATTCAATTTCATTTGCTATCCCTCCTAGTTTTGTATCATCCACAAATATTATTCTCTGTTCTCAAAAGGGTAATAAAAAATACTGACTAAGATGGGGTCATATGTCAAGTGCTTTGCTGAAACAAAAGTACCCCGGAATTATGTTTACAGAATTGTACAGGAATTCTCCCTGGCCTCCCTGTGGCTGGGGTGACACGACATCACCATCATTATCTTGCTTTTCTTTGGTGTTATCCAAAATCTGGCCATGATGCTTCAAAAACTCAGGCTCACAGATCTCTAAAGAGGATTCACGATTCTACTTTCTTCCTATAGGGATGAATCTTTACTCATTTGAGATTTTTTTCACTGTGAAATATTTATAGTAGGAAAACAACTTTTGTCAATAAAGAAAAAGTACAGCTCTAATCCTTGTTCTAATATCTGAATAGGATACGGTATGTATGCCTCCTGGACAGTTCTCAAAATGGGCTCCCCATCTGCCCTGGGGAACCCTGTCTCCTGGGTGTCCCCTGGCCAACACCCAGTGCCCCTATGGCAATGCCATGCCCAGCCCACACCCACTGTCCCAGCAAGCCAAGAGCACAGCTACAAGAGAGAGGACCACGGTGAAGCAGTGAGAGAGCAAGGGGACATCTGACCAGCCAGCCATCAGCTCCATCAGTTCTGGGATTAGTGAAAGAAGACGGTATGGCCAGGTGGCCTCTCACACACCCTTGCCTGACTGCCAACCACACAGCTCCACGCTGGCAGGCTCACCACCTCCTCAAGCACCTTGTCTAGGGGGTGGGGTAGGGGAGTTGGCTCTAAACAGAAAATTCTTCTAAAAACAACTTCTGACAAGATATAAGTGTTTTTTTTTTTAATATTGATCCTAAATCAGTCTCCCCATAACTTCTCTTTATTGGCCTTGATTGATAAAGTTCCCGTGGCAGGGTCTGGGCCCTAACAGGGAAGGAACAGGATTCTGAGATTTGGGATGGGGATAGCTGGGTAAATGCCTTTGAGAACCTTAGTCCTCAAATTCTTCTTAACACTGTGCCTACAGAAGTGACCTATCCCCTTTTGTTGTACGACAGAAGCCCCCCACACACTCCTTGCTTGAATATAACACATAGGCCTCAAATGAAATGGGAATCTCATGAGATACTGCTTGCTCTCCCCAGAATCTGCCCTGTCCTCCTCCATGGCTGACACCGGCTACGGGATGTGTCTAACGAGTTCTGACAGAGCTGGGGAATGCACCTGGGAGAGGACCTCAAGGTGCTGGATCCAGGGGGACAGAATATTAAGCTGAATGAGAGATCTTCTCTACTACGGCATGTACTATAACACAGCATTTAACACCCTGAGAAGGGGTCCAGAGGCCATTCTCAGATACTGCTGGCAGGCTCTTCAAAGTTCAGCCAAAGTGATGGCTCATATTAAAGCAGAGATTGTGGGACTGCTGTGGCAAAGTGGATCCAGGTATCGAAAGGCTCAGGGAAGTAGACATACTATAATCGACATACAAAATGACAGGAAAGCCCACCCGTGGCCCATGTCCCTCAGGAGAACATGATGGCATTCCATCAACCATGGCACTAATGAGTGTGCAGAAGGTCTACAGGCATCACTGGGAAGCTCTGTACTGGCCAGCCTCCGAAGGGGAAGCTAACCATCAGGTGTGCGTGTACAGAACTGGGCTCCCCAGGAGCAAGGGGGTAATAAGACCTTCCCTAGCAGAAGCCAGGGAGCAGCACTGACTCGCACAGAGCAGGTGTAGGTGTCAGCTGGTAATAGGCAGCAAAGTCAAAATAGTAGCCAGGGGAGCCTGGGATCCATGCAGGGATCTATGGAGACGGCTCACAGAATGCTGGAGTTTCCATGGGCAGGACAGATACGAAGCCAAGAAGGGTGCTGCTTACTATATATAAACAAGAAAATCAAAACGGAATAAGCAGAAGGCTAAGGTGAGCTTCTACAATGCAAAGTATCAATCCCTGACTCCGTTTCTAGATCTGGAGCAGCTCTCAGACTCAGAAACACTGACTGAAGGAGAGACCAAGCCTGCGTGGGAGTCGACCTGCAACACCAAGGCAAGTACACACCACAGTGATTTCCCCAGCTCTTCCCAAAGGGACTTCATTCACCTGGGTAAAAGTACCATAGGAACTGCAAGTCTTCAGAGGTTTTTGAAATAGAGGGTCTGAGACAATGCACATACTTAGGGACCCAAACTATCAAAAAGGTCCTCTGCAGAGTAGGAACATATGGGAGTCAGATAATACATGAAGCCCAGCCAGGTCCACCTGAAAGTACATCCACTGGGTAAAGACTCCACTGGTGGCCATCTGCCCACTTCCCTGAATATAAGAGACGTAATACAAGAGGAACGGACATACTTAGCACTTTGCAGAATCCTTCCATTGGTCCTTTGTCTAAAGAATAAGAGCTATAAGTAGAAAAGGCCATTTGGAAGCCCCTGAAATTTATCCGGCCCCTGACCCCTGGCCATAGTAAATCAAAAACAGTATCATTTCCCAGTGGGAAAAGCAGAGATTAATGCTGCTCTTGAAAACATAAATGACACAGGGTAGGGGCCCCCATCTCATGCCCAGTCTGGCTCCTATAGAAATTATGGTGGATAAATTGTGGTAGATGACTGTAGACTGCCACAAACTGAGCTAAATGGAATCTTTATTCAAGTGGATAAACAATCTTGGGTACATGGTTTGTAGCTACTGATGCGGTAAACACTTCTTCCTCAAACCAATCAGGAACTACTGATGTTCATGTGGGATGGACAACAGTACATGTTCACGTTCTTACTGCAGGACTGTGCTAACAGTGCCAGCTGCAGGAACAGGTGGCCCAAACCTAAACACTTCCCAGCGGACCTGTTCTGAAGCCTCTCCCTTAAATTACACCCACAGCCTCAGAAAGGGTTCCCAATACACAGCTGACAGAAAGAAAACCCCAAGCCTGGTTCACATACTTAGGCACAAGCAAATACACTACAGCCCTTCACCGTGGCAGACCTGCCAGCAGGATACCAATTCTGCAGCCCTGATAAGGCATCATCCCCTCCAAGAGACCAACCAGTTGTCCTGTCTGCTGGCCAGCTGAATACTTCAGAACTCCTTTGATCCTGCAATAAGAAACACTTGTTCTGGCAAAAATTAGCATGTCCTCCACATAAGGGTTTGCCTCTCCTGCCTGCAGCAGCTGCCAACCTACTCTCCAAGGGCTTGTGGAGCATGTGGTTTCCGATGTGGGACAGCAAGTACCATCATCACCTTGGATCAAGGGACTCACTTAGTGCTAAAGGAGGTACAGCAGTAGGCACATGATCACGGAATTCAATGTCCTATAAAATACCCTCACGCCTGTAACCCCAGCACTTTGGGAGGCCGAGGCGGGTGGATCACGAGGTCAGGAGATCAAGACCATCCTGGCTAACACAGTGAAACCCCGTCTCTACTAAAAATACAAAAAATTAGCCAGGCGTGGCCGGGCGCAGTGGCTCATGCCTATAATCCCAGCATTTTGGGGGGCCGAGGTGGGCGGATCACGAGGTCAGGAGATCGAGACCATCCTGGCTAACACAGTGAAACCCCGTCTCTACTAAAAATACAAAAATACTAGCCATGTGTGGTGGCACGTGCCTGTGGTCCCAGCTACTTGGGAGGCTGAGGCAGGAGAATGGCATGAACCCGGGAGGCAGAGCTTGCAGTGAGCTGAGATCATGCCACCACTACAGCCTGGGAGACAGAGCAAGACTCCGTCTCACAATAAATAAATAAATTAGCCAGGCGTGGTGACGGGCGCCTGTAGTCCCGGCTACTAGGGAGGCTGAGGCAGGAGAATGGCATGAACCCGGGAGGCAGAGCTTGCAGTGAGCCAAGACCACGCCACTGCACTCCAGGCTGGGCGACAGAACGAGACTATGTCTCAATAAATAAATAAATAAATAAATAAATAAATACCCAAGCATCCTGGAGCTGTCATCTTGATAGAGCTGTGGCCAGCTGGGAGATGACACCCTGAAAGGATGCCCCCTCTTCTTTAGGATGCAGTATACATCTAAACCAATAGTTGCTACATGGTGCTATGTCCCCAGTGGGTGGAATGAGGCCTTGGGACCCACTGAAGTAGTCAGGGCTGTAGTTCATCTGGAAAGGTTTCCAGAAATCATGACCAAATGCCTCTGGAGAAGCTGAGTCTGGATAGAATGAACTTAACGTGAGAAATATGTGGATGAGGAAGTGCAGGGTGGAGTGTAGTACAGGCAGTGGTGTCTCACCCAGGATCCCCCCACTGCTCTGAGGGTGGATGGGTAACACCCTGAGCTACTTCTGTCTTCACCGAGCTGTGGCATTCTAGGCTTTAGAGCATGATCAGGTTGAAATTAACCCGAGTCTATGATTTTCAGGCATCTTTCCCCTCTGCCCTACCCTACCCCCTTCACTCTTTCTCTTGAGCATGCCCTTTACAGATCAGTGGAACATGATCCCCAGTTTCAGGCTCTGCTGCAAGAGAACCAATTGAAGACAATGATGAACAAAGACAAATGACAAACTAGGGGAAAACATTTAAAACTAACTTTACAGCAGAGGACTAACTTACCCGACACACTGAGAGCTACTGCAAAGATATAAGAAAAGAAGCAATAACCCAACAGAAAAAATGGGCAATGGATCTAGAAAGGTAGTCTGAAAGAGACCTGACTTTTGACCATTTGAAAGACACTCAACCTCACTTATAAGTACAAACTATAATGAGAAAACATTTTAAGAATATCAGACTGGCAAAGACCAAAAAGTTTGAATAAACACTGCGTTCCTCAGAGGGTGGAGAAACAGGTACAGTTGTCCCTCAGTATCTGCTGGGGCTTGGTTCCAGGAGCCTCTTGGGATACCAAAATCTGCAGATGTTCAAGTTCCTCATACAATATGGCAGTATTAGTTGCACATAACCTACACTCCTCCTGTGTAACAGTCATGCATCACTCGACAACAGAGATACATTCTGAGAAATATGTCATTAGGCAATTTCATCATTGAGTGAACATCACAGAGTGTAATTACACAAACTCAGATGGTACATTATAGCCCACTACACACCTAGGCTATATGGTATTGCTCCCAGGCTACAACCTGTACAGCATGTTAATGTATGAATACTGCAGGCAGGCAACTGTAACACAATAGTAAGTATTTGTGACTCTAAATACATTCAAACACAGAAAAGGTGATGCGTTGTGCTACAATGTTAAGACAGCTATGTCACTAGGCAATGGAAATTTTTTAGCTCCCTTATAATCTCATGGGACCATTGTCATATGTGTGGTCTGTCGTTGACCAATATGTTGTTATATGGCCAAGACTGTACTTCAAATTATCTCTAGATTACTTATACCTAATACAATGTAAATGTTATGTAAATAGTTGTTACACTGTATTTTTTAAATTTGTATTATTTTTTATTGTTGTAGTGGTTTTTTTATTGTTCTTTTTTTGAATACTTTCAACCCACAGTTGCTTGACTCAGGTGAAGAACCTGCAGAGGTACAGGGCCGCCTGCACACTCACAGAGTCCTCACGTATGCACTGACTTCAACCCTTTATGAAGAGCAATTTGGAAATGTCTGTCAAATTAAAAAGTAACCTAGCCTTAGATCTAGAAACTCCACTTTTGTAATTTATCCTATAGGTACAGTAAAACATACATAACAGTTGAAAATAAATTAAATATGTATTAATAAATCACTGGTTAAATAGAATATGACACAGCTATCTAATGGAATATCATGCAACCATTAAAATGGACGAGGCAGTTTTATGTGTGCTAATGTGAACACTCGGCGATAAATCAAGATACACTGTTCAGTGTAAAAAGCAAGGTGCAAACAGTGTATACCGTGTAATCATTTGGGAAACAAATGCATGTGTAAGCTCATATATGGACAGACTGTAAAGACACAAGAAGCTGGTGTCAGCAATTCCTCCCACGGAGGGTGCACATGATTTCTTTTCACCAAGAATCTCTGTTATCATTTGAATTTTGAACCATGTACATAAATTACATATTCAATTAGATAAAAATAAATAATAGGCCGGACATGGTGGCTCACACTTGTAATCTATCACTTTGAGAAGCCGAGGCAGGAGGATCGCTTGAGCACAGGAGTTCGAGACCAGCCTGGGCAACATGGCAAGACCCCATCACCACAAAAAAATACAAAAATTAGCCAGGTGTGATGGTGCAACATGTGGTCCCAGCTACTCAGGAAGCTGAGGTGAGAGGATCACCTGAGCCCAGGGAAGTTGAAGCTGCAGTGAGTCATGACTGTGTCACTACATTCCAGCCTGGGTGACAGAGTGAGACCCTGTCTCAAAAAATAATAACAAATCTGAGAAGAGCTTCTTGGGTTTGTTATCACAAATGTGATTAATTACCCTGTCCCATTATTAAAACCACACAGCAAGCCTGCTATGAGTCCATTCATAGTCACTAGGTGAGCCCACGTGAGCCTTGCACTGCACCAAATCCTACTGGGGAAAATGTCAGCTTGTGATGGAAACTACAGAAAGAATTTTTTTTTTTTTTTAGACAGTCTTGCTCTGTCACCAGCCTGGAGTGCAGTGGCACAATCTCGGCTCACTGCAACCTTCACCTCCTGGGTTCAAGCGAATCTCCTGCCTCAGCCTCCCAAGCACCTGGGACTACAGGTGCACACCACCACATCCAGCTAATCTTTGTATTTTTAGTAGAGATGGGGTTTCACCATGTTGGCCAGGATAGTCTAGATCTCTTGACCTCGTGATCCGCCTGCCTCGGCCTCCCAGAGGAATGTTTCTACTTTATGAAGGTTTTGTGAAGATTAAATGAGAAAAATATATTTAAAATGTTAAATAGTGTTGCTGCACACAGTAAGCATTCCAAAACAGAAGCTACTATTAAATCCCTCTCAACTTGTTCATTAATGTTCATTCTAAAAACAAAATACTTCCCATAAACACCACACTGGAGTATGTGGGATTAAATGTCTCCTATCACTGGTGGATTTTATTATTGTGATTGTTTTTATTTTATGAAATGTATACAGTTTAAAAAGGCAAATAAAGTTCAAAAAATTGTAAAACAAAACAACAACAATCTCCTTTACTAACTGGGACAACCCCATCCACAAACCACTTCCAAGAGGCAGCCACACTGAAGTCTTCTGATTCTTCTAGGATCTAGAGCCATTTTTCTAAATAATGGGCTTATATTCCTATTGCTTATCAATTTAAGATATTGACTTCCAATTGTATCACCATTCCCACTTTCCCTCTCTTTTCTTACAACTTAGATAATTTTTCTTAATCATTACTTAGTTTTTACATCATTTTATTATCTACATTCTCTCACTGACATGCCAAGTAGTAGTCAAATTGCAATTTCTTTATAATTAAACTTTTATTTTAAGGTAATTGTAAATTCTCTTATTATAAGAAATGATACAGGGAGATCCATCGCTCCCTTTACCCTATTGCCCCCAGCAGTGACATCTTGCAGAACTACAGCACATCACACCAGGACATGGATGTAAACACAGCCAGAGCACCCATCACTGTGAGGACCCCTCCTGTTGCCCTTTATAGGCACACCTACTTCTCTCCACCCCTAGCAAACCCTAATCTGTTCTCCACCTCAGCAACTGTGTCATTTCAAAGATGTTACAGAAAGGAACATACAGTGTGAAACCTTTAGGAACGGCTTTTTTCACTCAACATAATTCTCTGGAGGCCCATCCAGGTTGCTGTGTAGTTTGTTCCTTTGTTGTTGCTTTAAGACAGGGTCTCACTGTCATCCAGGATGGAGCACAGTGGCATGATCATGGCTCACTGCAGCCTGGACTTCCTGGGCTCAAGCAATCCTCCAGCCTCAGCCTCCCCAGTAGGTGGGACTACAGGCAGGTGCCACCATGCCCAGCCCTTTGTATTATTGAATAGTCTTCTGTGGCATGGATGGACCTCATTTTGTTTAACCATTTATCCACCAAAGGACATGGAGTTGTTTCCAGTTTTGGGCTACTATGAATACAACTGTTTTGAATATTAGTAGGCAGGTTTTCATGTGAACATAAATTTTCATTTCCCTGGGATAAATGCCTAGGAGTGCAATTGCCAAGTTGTTCGTAGTTGCACGTGGAGATTTGAAGAAACTGCCAGACTGCTTTCTAGAGTGGCGGTACCATTTTACATCCCTACCAGCAATGAATGAGGGGTCCAGTTCCTCCACATCTTCTCCAGCATCTTGTGTTCTACTTTTTTTAAACATTCTGTTAGGTGTGTATTGGCAGCTCATTATGGTTTTAATGTGCATTTCCCTGATGGCTAATGATGCTGAGCATATTTTCATGTGCTTACTGCCATCTGTATATCCTCTTCATTGAAGTATCTCCTCCTGTCTTTTGCTTATGTCTTAATCGGATTGTTTGTTTTACTGTTGAGTTTTGAGAGTTCTTTATATACTGTAGATACCAACCCTCTGTCAGATATGTGGTTTAAAAATATCTCCTCTCAGTCTGTAGCATATGTTTTCATTGTCTTTTATAGAGCAAGAGTTTTAAATTTTGATGAAGTCCAGTTTATCAGTTTTTTCTTTTATGAATTATGCTTTAGGTATCAAGTCTCAGAACTCTGCGTAGCCCTGCATCCTGAAGATTTTCTATGTTTTATCCTAGAAGTTGTATTTTATATTTAAGCCTATGATCCATTTTGAGTTAATTTTTGTGTTTAAGTTGTGAAATTCAGGGCAAGGTTCAATTTTTGCCTACAAATGTCCAACTGCTCCAGCACCATTTGTTAAAAGGCTATCCTATCCCTTCTCCACTGAATTGCTTATGAACCTTTGTCAAGAATCAGCTGGGCATATATGTGTGGATCTGTTTCTAGTTCATTTTGCTCCCCTGATCTCTGTGTCAGTCCCTCTGCAGATACCACAGTCTTGATTGTGATAGCAGTATGATCTATCTTGAAATCAGACAGGCTGACTCTTCTCATTTTCTTCTTTTTCAAAATTATTATTAGCTATTCTACTTATTTTGCCTCTCCATTTAAATTTCAAGAATAGCTTGAAATTTAAGATCGTGCCACTGCACTTTAAGAATAGTCTTGTTTATATCTACAAAAAATTCTTGCTGAAATTTTGATAGGAATTGTAGAATTCACTTTTAATAGTTACAAGCTATTCAAATTATTTCATATTGGATGACTTGTAGTAGTAGTTTGTGCTTTTCAAGGAGTTGGTCCATTTATATCAACTTAGGGACAAGTAACATACTAATTAGGTTGAGTCTTCCAATCCATGAATTCAGTGTGTCTCTCCACTTATTCAGATCTTTGATTTCTTTCATCAGTGTTCTATAGTTTTCAGCATACAAATCTTATTCATGTTTTGTAAGATTTATACCCGTGTTTCATTTTTTAAGTGATTGTGAATGGTATTGATTTAATTTTGATATCCACATATTCATTGTTCAAAAACATATCTTGTTTGTCTGAGTTTGTTTTGTTTTGTTTTGTTTTTTTGAGGCAAAGTCTCACTCTGTCACCCAGGCTGGAGTGCAGCGGCATGATCTGGGCTCACTGCAAGCTCCGCCTCCCGGGTTCATGCTGTTCTCCTGCCTCAGCCTCCCGAGTAGCTGGGACTACAGGCACCCGCCACCACGTCCGGCTAATTTTTTGTATTTTTAGTAGAGACAGTGTTTCACCATGTTAGCCAGGATGGTCTTGATCTCCTGACCTTGTGATCCACCTGCCTCGGCCTCCCAAAGTGCTGGGATTACAGGCGTGAGCCACCGCACCCAGCCCCATTTGTCTGAGTTTTTAATCAAGAATGGGTGCTGAATTTTGTCAAATAAACTTTCTGCCACTGATTGATATAATTATGTGATTTTTCTTCTTTAGCTTGTTAATATGATGGATTACATTTTTTTAAGCGGTGATTTTTCTTTTATTTCTGCAAACATATGGTATTATTAAGCAATTCATCTAACTTCCCATTTATGGAAATCAATACAAAAGTTCCAAGGTGATTCAAGTTCCCATGCACAATAGCAGGGCCTGAATGGAAACCAGGCGCTGATTTTTCAACTGAAACTGCACAAACTACTCTAAAGAAATTGCTCTATCAGCTGTCACTTCTAGCTGCACCTAGCAGCTATAACGATAGTGGAGCAAGTGTTCAACATATATTTGTTGAATAAGTTAATGTCAGATAGAAAGAAAAGGCTAGACATATGTAAAGGTATCTGATAAGATACAAATATTGATACAGCAAGAACACAAAGACAGGCCACAAATAATTTCACCAATTTCTATTATACCTTCAGAACAGCACTATCCAAACTAGTTTTGTAAAACCAAGAGGCTTTTCTAGTCATCTTGGGGATCGGTTAGAGTTTAGTTATGAAATCTTCAAAACAAAATTTTAATAACTTTTGAATTAAAAATCATATTATAGGGTATACTTAAGAGGTCTAAGGAAGGAAGGAAGGAAAATAAGAATCACTGTAACAATCACAAAGTATTATGGTTCTAGGAAAATTTGGAAATAATTATATTCTCCATAGTAATTTGCCATATGAGGTCACTAATGTCTCTTCCCTACCTCTAGAAAATGGTAATTCTCTCCATAAACTAGTAAAAAATGTTTGGTGGTTCTGTGATATAGTCTAATTCTACTGAACATAAAAAGACAGCCCAGTCAAATTGGGCTAAATCTTGAGGACCAGAAGTGTAGTTTATGCTGTAAGGAAGTCAAGAGTCAAGATGGGGAACTTACAGCAATTGGGGTTTCCCTCCTTTGAATCTCATCCTGGAGATGCCTCAGAAGCAAGTGGGCTATAGATGGAACTCAGAACGTAATATAAAAACTACAGCTGGGCCAGACGTGGTGGCTTACACCTGTAATCCCAGCACCTTTGGAGGCCGAGGCGGGAGGATCACAAGGTCAGGAGATCGAGACCATCCTGACCAACACGGTGAAACCCCATCTCTACTAAAAATACAAAAAAAGATTAGCTGGGCGTGGTGGCAGGCTTCTGCAGTCCCAGCCACTCGGGAGGCTGAAGCAGGAGAACAGCGTGAACCCGGGAGGCGGAGCTTGCAGTGAGCGGAGCCTGCACCACTGCACTCCAGCCTGGGCGACAGAGCGAGACTCCATCCCAAAACGAAACAAAACAAAACAAAAAAACTATAGCTGATATTCTGGAGGGAATGGAAAAAATAAAGACAGATCTGTGGAACACAGACCTCAAGCACTGGAAAGGCAAGATCACAAACTAAACAACTAATTCTGGAGGGAGAAGAACTGATAAGCCAGAGAAAACAAGAATTTACAATAATCCTAATAAATATTCTCAAGGGCATGTAGGAGGGCACTGGAAACAAATAGGGACAAGGAGTTATAAAAAAGGACCAATCAGATATAGTAGAAACAAACAATTTAATTCAGGGTTGAATGAATACAGTTGAGGAATGAATTCATAAGACGGAGAGTGGTTTGAAACATTCCCAGAAGGCATTGGGAAGAGTAAAGAATAGGAAAAATGAGAGAAAAATGAAAGGGCATGAAAAATAAAATAAATATCAATATGTGATTAATGGGAGCCCTAGAAGGAAAGAAAAAAATAAAGTTAAATATTTGAAGAAATGTTAATTAAAATTTCTCCACAATTTTTTTTTTTTTTGGGATGGAGTCTCACCCCATCACCCAGGCTGGAGTGCAGTGGCACAATCCCAGCTCACTGCAACCTCCGCCTCCTTGGGTTCAAGTGATTCTCCTGCCAATGGATTACATTTTCAAGTATCAAACCAGCCTTGCATCCTCAGAACAAACTCCACTTGTTCACGGTGTATAATTTTTTTGTTGTTTATTCTCACAGCCACAGTAGGTATAATTTTTTCTATATTGCTGAATATGTTACCTAATAGTTTCCTGAGGAATTTTATGTTTGTATTGGTGTCTGTTATTTCTTTTAATTTTGCACTGTTTTTTGTCTGGTTTGGTATCAGGGCAATACTGCCCTTACAAAATGAGTCAGAAAATATTCCAAGTGCAGTGGTTCATGCCTATAATTCCAGGACTTTGGGAGGCTGAGGTGGGAGGACTGCTTGAGTCTAGGAGTTCAAGACAGCCTGGTCAACACAGTGAGACCTCATCTCTACAAAATAAAAAATTAGCTGGGCATGGTGGCAGGCACCTGTAGTCTCAGCTACTCAGGAGGCTAAGGTGGGAGGGCTGCTTGAGCTTGGAAGGTCGAGGCTGCAGTGAACCATGATCATGCCACTGCACTCTAACATGGGCAACAGAGACAGACCCTATCTCAAGGAAAAAAAAAAAAAAAAAAGAAGAAGAAGAGAAGAGAAAGCAGAGAAGAGAAGAGAGAACAGAAGAGTTCCCTCCCTTTCTGTTTTTCTGGAAGAGTATGTAGAATTGACATTAATTCTTTAAATGTTTGATAGAATTCTCCAGTGAAACCATTTGGGCCTAAAGACTTTTTTTAATGGGAGTTTTCAAATTAGATACTGAATTTCTTTAATAATTATAGGGGTATTCAAATGATCTATTTCATATTGGATGACTGTGGGAGGAGTTTGTGCTTTTCAAGGAATTGGTCTATTTTTTGGCCCACTGTGTGTGGAGTTGCTTGTGTTCTCTCATTATCCTTTTGATTCTCAGGGTCTCTCAGAACTTGAAGAATGTTGTGCCACTGGTCCTCATTATGTGTAACAAGAAATCTGCTTTCTGTTTTCCCCTATGAGTAAAGTGTTTCTTTCTTGCCACTTTCAAGATTTTTTGTTGTTGTTGTCTTTACTTTTCAGAAATTCTACTATGATGGGCTTTAGTAGTGGATTTATCTTGTTTGGCGTTTGCTCAGCTTTCTGAATCTTTTAAGTTTGTCCTTTGCCAAACGTTTCAACCCATAAGATCTTTGAAAAGTTTTTCAGCCCTTCCCTCTTTCTCCTCTCTTTTCAGGACTTCAACAATACAAATGCTAGAAAATTTAACCTAGGCCCTCAGAAGGGAAGGGAACGGCACCTTTTTTTTTTGAGATGGAATCTCGCTCTGTTACCCAGGCTGGAGTGCAGTGGTGAGATCTCAGCTCACTGCAATCTCCATCTTCCGGAGTCAAGCAATACTCCTGCCTCAGCCTCCTGAGATTACAGGCGTGTGCCACCACAACTGGCTAATTTTTGTATTTCTAGTAGAGATGGGGTTTCACCATGTTGGTCAGGCTGGTCTTGAACTCCTGACCTCGTGATCCGTCCGCCTCAGTCTCCCAAAGTACTGGGATTACAGGCATGGGCCACGGCGCTCGACAACACCACCTTTACCACCAAGTAGGGGTCAAAGGTCAGATTCCCTACTTGGCCTCCTGCGTGGAGGGCTCCTTCCTCGTTACTGCTGGGTATGATAAGAGTTCTGGTTCCCCATGTGGCTTCCACTGATTCTTCCCTGGTTGGAAGGAATAGGAGGGCCTCATTACTGCCCCACCCAATGTGGTCTCCACTAACACTCCAGAACCACACAAGGTTCCTTAGGGGTTTGTTACTGCCCAACAGGGATAAAAGTCCATGGTCCCTATTCAACTTTCTCTGGAGGAGTAAGTGGCCCTCACTTAGCCTCTGGTAGCAGGCACAGAGGTAGGACCACAGTCCTTTCTATCATGTTTGGTTTGCACTGAGCAGTTGTCTAAATATTCTCTGTTTTGTGCTAGGCTGCCCCTTTCCTGGTCCTTTGGTCAGAAGGAGCTGGCTTTGGCAGGGGGTTCTGTCTGTACCTGTTGGTGTTTCTGGGCTGCCAGTTTCTTCGGCTCATAGTCTGGGCTACATGAGGCAAAAAGACAACCTGAAGAAATCACTACTGGGTCATTTTCTGGGTCCTGGGTGGTCTGCGTTCTCTTTACCTTTCAGAGTGTTCTTACGTTATTGCATATAGTGTCCAAGGATTTTAGATTTTAGATGCACTTAACTAGAAGAACAGGGAAAAGAATGTCTACTTCATCTTCCCAGAAACAGGAGTTTCCAACATTTAAGTTTTCATTTTTAATGATTTATTATCAATTCCTCCACACCTCTATTTGCTTTGTTTCTATGTACTATTCTATTTCTTCAGCAACTTCTCAATACATTATTCTACCCAAACATATAGTCTATACTTACTTATCCCAGAGCTTCTGTGGCCTGTTTCTTAGATTAATTTCCTGGGACTTCACTTTCCTGTCATCCTGGGAATTATCTTTGTTCCTTTCCCTGGCAGACCCCTTGGGCTATGAATCCGTGTCTTCCTATTCTTGGTTTGCCCTTGTGTTTTGTTTTGTTTTTGAAGACCGCGTCTCACGCTGTCGCCTAGGCTGGAGTGCAGGGGTGCGATCTCGGCTCACTGCAACCTCCGCCTCCCGGGTTCAAGCTATTCTCGTGCCTCAGCCTCCCAAGTAGCTGGAATTACAGGCGTGTGCCACTACACCTGGCTAATTTTTCTGGCATTTTTAATAGAGACAGGGTTTCGCCATGTTGGCCAGGCTGATCTCAAACTCCTGGCCTCATCTGATCTGCCCCCCTTGGCCTCCCAAAGTGCTGGGATTACAGGCGTGAGCCACCATGCCCGGCCTCCCCTTATGTTTTGATGCAGCACATCCTCCAGTAACTTCTAAGAACAGGCTTCTGTGAGTTGAGGTTTTAGAGACCTGTCTAGTCATCATGACAGGATCCTTTCAATGGGGGGAGTCATGTCCATCAGTCAATTATTCAAAATGTTCTTCCTTTACTGTCTTAATAACTTCTTCTCACTCTTCCCTTCATTCTTTTTTCTTGGGAGTCAGATGTTGAACTTCCTGAATTGGTCATCTAATTTCATTTCTCTTTCTCATCTTTTGTTTATTAACCTTCTTTGTTTTTTGAATATTCTTTCTGGGACTTTTTTTTACTTTTTTTTTTGAGACGGAGTCTCGCTCTATTGCCCAGGCTGAAGTGGCACAATCTGGGATCACTGCAAGCTCCACCTCCTGGGTTCACGCCATTCTCCTATGTCAGCCTCCCGAGTAGCTGGGACTACAGGTGCCCGCCACCGCGCCCGGCTAATTTTTTGTATTTTTAGTAGAGACAGGGTTTCACTGTGTTAGCCAGGATGGTCTCAATCTCCTGACCTCGTGATTGGCCTCCCAAAGTGCTGGGATTACAGGCATGAGCCACAGCACCTGGCCTTTTTTTTTACTTTTATCTTTCAACACCTCTATTGAATTTTTTAAAGATATATAAATAACATAGTTGTTTTGTTTTGTTTTCTTTTGACATACAGTCTCACTCTTTCACCCAAGCTGGAGTGCAGTGGTGTGATCTTGGCTCACTGCAACCTCCACCTCCCAGGTTCAAGCAATTCTCCTGCCTCAGCCTCCCAAGTAGCTGGGATTACAGGCGCCTGCCACCACGCCCGGCTAATTTTTGTATTTTTAGTAGAGACGGGGTTTCTCCATGTTGGCCAGGCTGCTCTCGAACTCCTGACCTCAAGTGATCCGCACACCTTGGCCTCCTAAAGTGCTGGGATTACAGGTGTGAGCCACCGCACCTGGCCTAATTAACAGTTTTAATTCCAGAAGCTCTTCCTCTCACCTTTTTATTTAAAAGTAGAATCCTGTTGTCACTGTCAACAATATTTCCTCTTATCTTTCTGAAAATATTATATACTTTTACATTTCTTCCCCTATTTTCTGCATTGTTGCTGTTTATTCATGTTTGTGTATTTGTCTTGAGCTCTGCCTTTAGGTTGAAAGTTGTCCTCAAATGTGTACTTATACTCAGCTGCCTGTGTTTGAAATGAGGCTCCAAAAAGCTGACAGACGTCGGATGCCTGGCGGGAGTCCTGACTGTTGGAGTTTATTCAGGCTGGTTGGTTGGGTAAACCCAAGGGCCAGTAGGGGCTGCTTAACTTCCCCAATGAGCACCCTTCCAAGAATTCCTTTGTGGGAAAGGCCTGGTTGCAGGCATTCTAGAAGCTTGAAAGAAAAAGGAATTGGGAATTCTCTCCATTCCACATACAGGCTTTGACTTGACTTCCTTATCTTCTGTCTTGGTCTCTCCCCACCTGCCCCTGTACCAGGTTTCTGCACGTCCAAAGCCCCATCTTCCAGTGGGTGGGGATGAGTTAATCATCTGGCTGAGCCAGGTGAGAGTGGAAATCCCTCCCATGGACATTCGAACTGCCCCATGCCCCTCCTGAGCCCCCTGGACTCTGGGTCCTCTGCAGGAACTCGGGTCTGGCTGCATTAGCTCTAACTCATCTCACCCTCAGCGGTTTCCTTCTTCCATGTTTACGGACCACCTCATCCACTGTTGTCTCCTTTCCTATTCTCTCTGACCTCATGGCTTTATACCTTTTTATTCATATATTTTCATTTTAGGGGAGGGATTAAAAATCAACTTATGCACGTCACATGGTTTATGCACAGTATTTTGGCCTCAGGCCTTTGAGACCCAATGATGAGCCTCAAACACATGGTCTGAATTCTAGGCGGTGACTGTTAGACCTGCAAGGTCATGGCCTTGACCAGGTAACTCTTTTCAACTGCAAACTACAGGAGATGTGAGTTTTCTCCCAGCTCTTTAACCCTCTTCTGGTGGAGCAGCACATACTACTCACACAGCCAAGTCTTCGAGAGAAAGAAGGTGGCATTGCTACTACAGAAAAAAATAAACTGGGGTCAGCAGACAGAATCTGGGTTTTCAGTTATCCAATTATTAAATTTATCAGCATAGACAAGACAATGGGTGGGATAATCAACTACTAAGGTGTTTGTGTGGCTGTGTCTTATAAACTCAAGAGTGTCTGGTGGATACAAGCATGACCGTCACTGTCGTTTGGCAGGCACGTCCTGTGGCCCATGACGACTTACCTTTACCTCCTTCTCAATATAGTCGCTCAGCAGTCTGTCTGGCTCGACGCGCTCAGGCAATGACAACACCACAGTGTGCAGAGGGCGCCTCTCTGTCACCTTCTCATGGGCTTTCTTATCTCTACTCTTTTCACCTTTTAGGAATACTCGTTTAAATGGCGAGACAATTCCAGGCTGCAGGCAGAAACGGCAATGATTGGAGTTCATTATTTACAAATGCTTTGTGTTGTACCTATGGTTAACAAACAGAAGTAGCCAAAACTACTACCATGGCCCCCATGCAACAGGGATCACTGACTGCCAGACTGGTGAGAAAGGTACCAACAGCACACAAGCCTGAGGGACCACAGCCAGCACGCAGGCCGGCACGGTGGGGCTGGGCTGCCATGCAGCCTCTGGCATGGAGGCACCTTGTTCTTCACCTGTTCCTACAACACATAGAAGCCAGGTAACCTTATCTGGCAAGACAATGATAGAAGGGGGAGATTCCCCACAGAAGATAAAACATAACATCACTCCAACTCTTTCCAGCTCAGCTGGGACACTTCATTTCTGAGAACTCCAGGAAGGCAGGTGGAAGGTGTGGCCAGTGCTAGCATCAACAAGTGGAGCATATGTTTTTTATGCAATTCTTTCCCCAGTGGGGAACACTCCAAGTGGGGACACTGAGTGTGTTGAGCTCCAATGCAGATCAACAAGGGAGAAACCAGGCCAGGCACGGTGGCTCACACCTGTAATCCCAGCACTTTGGGAGGCTGAGGCGGGTACATCACTTAAGGTCAGGAGTTCGAGACCAGCCTGGCCAACATGGTGAAACCCCATCTCTACTAAAAATACAAAAATTAGCCAGGTGTGGTGGCACATGTCTGTAATCCCAGCTGCTCGGGAGGCTAAGGCAGGAGAATTGCTTGAACCCAGGAGGCGGAGATTGCAGTGAGCCGAGATGCCACTGCACTCCAGCCTGGGCAACAGAGCAAGATACTGTCTCAAAAAAAAAAAAAAAAAAAAGTAGGGGGAGAAGCCCTGATCAGCAGCTGGCCAGCCCCTAACTCTGATGACTTCACACCCTATCCAGCATTTCATGAGGGTTCTGAAGGCTAATCCTGCAATCAAAGTCACCTTAAAGAGTGAGAATCAGTGAGAGAGCAAGAGAGGATTACAGCAAGCCTCGCCTGCAGAACCCAGGAAAAGACCTGACACTTCATTCACAATAACTCCGTAAGAAAGCTTTTCATCACCACCTTTGACAATGGCGGCGGGGGGTGGGGGTCTGGGGGGAAGCAATCCCAAATTGTGCTGAGAGATCATGCTACAATCCCTATCTACAGTCACCCAAAGGAACATAAACCCGAGAAAACAAGACACTGATGTGCAGCCGCAGCAAGGAAACATCACGCAGGCCTGCAAAAACCAGAGCCGTGACTAAGAGTGAGAACTTATTCCCCACCATCTCCTCCATAACTCTCAACAGAGGAAACGCAGGAGGAGATGACAACACTCCTTTTGCAGGTGCCTGCCAGGATAGGGTGACCCAGTGCACAGATGGCAGCCGAAACCCCCACAGTAGGCCAAGCTCAGACCCCCCTTATCACCAAACACAGAAACTAACAAAACATATATACAATAAACCACCAAACTTTCATTAAAAGCTCTCATTTCTGTCTCTCTCCAGCATATGGGAAATTCACCCATATGCAAAATCCAATATAAAACGGTGTAGCAGAACCTGTGGTCCTATAAGGACACCTCCTCAAACCCACCAATTTCACAGACAATTGCAGCCAAGGACTACACTATTCAGTAACCACTCCTGAAAAAAGCAGAAATTGGTCGTCCAGTGGCTCCCAGCAGGCCCTGCAGCTGCCTCCCTAATGAGGCTGGGGTTGGACCCTGCCCTGTATGAGCCCCTCCCCACCACCACCATCATGCTCAGCTCTCCAGCATTAGCGGGAAAAGTAAATAAGCAAACAAAAGCCACCCCAAATAAAACAAATCCTCAAAGAGCAAAACCCAACATTTTTCCTGACCCTGCTGCCTCCTGACAGCCAAGGCTGAGCTTTCTGCTCCTCAGCTTCCTTCTTACCTTTATTTATTTCACCCTTTCATAGCTGGGTTTTTATTCCATTCACCCACTAAAACAGACATGGAATCAGGAAGCTCTTTCAATAAAAACGAAAACAAAAAACACAACAGAAAGTCTTGCTTCCAGAGAAGTGCACTAACGCTGCCACCACGCCTCTGTCACTCTGTCCCCTGTGTTTCCTGCATCTCACGCACCCTTTGCCAGCTCTCTTTCTTCTACCAGTAAAGATAGATGTTCCTCAGGTCCTAGGCATGATCTCTGCTCCGGCATGCATTGGGCTGCACCACTTACTAAGCAAACTGGTTGGATGAGCTCTCACCATCTGCACAACAGGCTAACAATCCTTAGAGAAGTGCCACAGGCAATCAATACAATAATCTACATAAAGTTCTGAGCACGTCTGATATGTTGTGAACAAGCAAAATATATACCAGTTAATTTTATGACTGTATTTACCTTGACAATAAGTTAAAATTTATCTCTTCTTCCACTGCTGTCTATACATATATATATATATGTATATATGTATATAATCAGACTGTCTCCTACTCATCACTACCACAGACTATAATAAAGTTGGACCAGCATCACAGCCTAAGCTCTTCATTCGTGCCCCCAACAGGTGACACACCTGTGACCCAGGCTTAAAGCCCTATAATCTGCTAAAATGCTTCCTCTCTCACTTGGGCTGACTGGACCCACCCCTGCATCCGCCTTCTTCACCTGGAATAGCTCCCCTTGCCCGACCTGGAATAGTCTTCCCTTGACCCAGAGTGGTTCCCCATTGACCTGGAGTAGTCCCTCATCTACCTGAACTAGTCCTCTCATAGACCCAGAGTAGTTCCCCGTTGACCAGGAGTAGTCTCTCCCCTTTGACCTGGAATAGGCCCCCTCCCAGGTCCCATTCTCTGCTGCTCAGTACATCCGGTGGTAGGGGAGAGCATGGAGTAAGGATGACTAAAGGTCCTCAGAGTTGGTAACAGTTGGAGCCAGATGATGTATACAGTAGCTTTGTTAACTTTTCTCTGTATTTTTTTAATATTTGAATTTTTAAATATTTTTTGAAAATGATGAATATATTTTCTGCTTCCTGCTGATTACACTTAAACTGAGGCAAAATATAAAAGCATAAAAAATTAAGATCACCAACATCCTTACAAGATGATCCGCTCTAAGACGAACCACAGAGGGGACAGAAAGTGCTCCCAGGCTGGGTGCAGCGGCTCACGCCTATAATCCCAACACTTTTGGGAGGCCGAGGTGGGTAGATTGTTGAGCTCAGGGATTCAAGACCAGCCCGGCAACCTGGTGGGACCCCATCTCTACAAAAACTACAAAAATTAGCCAGGTGTGGTGGTTCACGCATGTAGTACCAGCTACTTGGGAGGCTGAGGCAGGAGGTTGCTTGAGCCCGGTAGGTCAAGGCTGCGGTAAGCTGTGATCATGCCATTGCACTCCAGCCTGGGCAACAGAGTGAGACCTTGTCTCAAGAAAAATAAAAACTTTTTAAAAATGCTTCCAGAAGCTGGGTGCAGTGGCTCACACCTGTAATCCCAGCACTTTGGGAGGGTGAGGCAGGCAGATCACTTGAGGTCAGGAGTTAAGAGACCAGCCTGGCCAAGATGGTGAAACTCCGTCTCTACTAAAAATAACAAAAATTAGCTGGGTGTGGTGGCGGGCGCCTGTAATCCCAGCTACTTGGGAGGCTGAGGCAGGAGAATTGCTTGAACCGGGGAAGCGGAGGTTGCAGTGAGCCGAGATTGTGCTATTGCACCCCAGCCTGGCCAACAAGAGTGAAACTCCATCTCAAAAAAAAAAAAAAAAAAAAAAAGGCCAGGCATGGTGGCACATGCTTATAATCCCAGCACTTTGGGAGGCCAAGACTGGCAAATCACTTGAGGTCAAGAGTTTGAGACCAGCCTGGCCAAGATGGTGAAACCCCGTCACTACTTAAAATACCAAAAATTAGCTGGGTGTAGTGGCAGATGCCTGTAATCCCAGCTACTCAGGAGGCTGAGAAAGGAGAATCGCTTGAATCCGGGAGGCAGAGGTTGCAGTGAGCTGAGATCACACCATTGCACTCCAGCCTGGGCAACAAGAGAGAGACTCCGTCTCAAAACAAAAAAAAAAAAAAGTGCTTCCATAAGAGCTTGCTGGGACTGGCCTGGGCTCAGAAAGCATGTGGCCTTGTGCTGCCCAGGCCCTGGCTCTATGACAGCAGTGAAGACAGGATGTCCCTAAGGCACTTTCGGGCTTCATTCTCCTTAATCCCTGACAAGCTTTGAGCCCCAGGACAAGTTTGGACATGACAGGTAGTTTGCAGTGCGGGGTTCTCATGGGAGAATGGTGAGAAATGGTCACCTATGATTTGTCAGCCAAGAAATCATGGTAAACTGTAAGTTAAAAACGGCCCTCAAAATTTAGTGATGCAATTTTAGCCATGCAAAAAATCATGTTTCTCTAGCCTCACTAAAAACACACCAGGCTTTGCTTGCCTGTGATTTCCTCTCTTCTGGCACTCTCAAGTGACAGATGGCACATGAATTACTTTTCAAATGTGTATGCTTGACCACTCACTTATTCTCCCAGGCCCTATGATGTGCAAGACCCTGGCCTGGAGGTTATGGAAATACAGAGGCATTTGGCCCATGAGCCCAGCTTTTCGGAAGCTTGCATCTCCACAGACATGGATAATCTCACATCAGCCACAGGAAAATGGCTGTCCCTAAACCATTTCTGCCTGCTAGCCCCCAAAGCTCATTCCTCCTAAATGATAACTAGCTGTGTCATGGACAGTGACTGAGCTCTGAATCTGACAGTGTGGGCAAGCAGCCTGGCTCCATTTGTTGGCTCTTCTGAAAGCTGCCTGTTAGCCAAACTAGTTACTAATCTACCTATGGGAGCAACAGGAAACCAACTCTGAGACAGGAGATTTGCCAAGATCAACCTCTAACCAAGAAGCCCACACCAAATCAACAGGTCCCACAAACCACATGCAACCTACACTGTTATTTTAATGTTGATGTACAGGTCATAAAATTATAGTCTCCACACAGAATTACAGTCTGCACTGGGAAGGACTCTGGCGCTCCCCCGTCCTACAATCCCACCCCTAAAGAGAGACCCTCTGCAGTTAGGCAGTGAGAAATAGTAGGAACTCTTGCAGGGCAAGGAAACCAGGACGGCCATCTGTAGATGCCTCTTATTGCCCAAGCATCACATCAATTCTTCCCTACATCGAGCTCAGCTCTTTCCTCCTCTGGCCTTTGCTCTTTTTTTTTTTTTTTTTTTTTTTTTTTGAGACGGAGTTTTGCTCTTGTCACCAAGGCTGGATGGAGTGCAATGGCATAATCTTGGTTCACTTAACTTCTGCCTCCCCGGTTCAAGCAATTCTCCTGCCTCAGCCTCTGGAGTAGCTGGGATTACAGGCACCCACCACCATGCCTGGCTAATTTTAGTATTTTTAGTAGAGATGGGGTTTCAACATGTTGGCCAGGCTGGTCTCAAACTCCCAGCCTCAGGTGATCCACCAGCCTCAGCCTCCCAAAGTGCTGGAATTACAGGCATGAGCCATTAGGCCTGGCTGCCCTTGGCTCTTACCCAGCAGCCAGCATGGAGCTTGCACAGACTGGACAGCAATAAACGCTGGTACTGACTCTTGATGGAACGCTTGGACCAGGCTAGGCATCTGGGGAGGCCCTTTGGTTAGAGGTGACACAGCCCCTGCCCTCAACGATGTCACAGTCAAGCCGAAGTAGTAAGACCAGAGTAAAGTAACTGAAATTAAATCCACAGTAAAAACAGTCAATCAATGCTGAAGACACACAGGATGCTCCAAAGGTACACTTAGGGCTCAGCCACCCTGTTCTTAAAGCTGCTGTTCTGAGCAGCAAGAGACAAGGAGAGGAATGAACAGGAGATACAACCTTCTGACTGCTCACAGACTAGCAGAGGAGGGCGACCCCGGAACGCCAAAGATAGGGCATGCCAAGGCGCTTCAGAGGAACCTGCCCCTTCTACCTGGGCCTCCAAATCACGAACATTTTAACAAGCAGATTCTGTGGACTACTTGGAGGCAGGCGTCTCTCTGGCCCTAGTCCTTAGTCTTCAATAGCAGCTACCCTAAGTTTCTTTTTTTAATGTCTCAAATAATTTTAATTGATGGGTAAGCCTTCCTAGAAAGTGGAATATTAACACTATTAAGTAAAGAAATGCATCTTTGCACATCTGCTGCAGCCTCCCTCTGCCACTCCTACCCATTCAGCACGGAATGCAGGGTAGCTGCTGTTCTCGCTGAGGATGATGGGGCTTTTCAGAGGTAATGTTTGCTCAGCTCTCAGCTGCAGGGGGTGGTAGGAGGGACAGCCGGTGCTGGGGAAGAGCTCTCTGCTATTCCAGATACAAAACTGAACAAGAAGCCACCTCAGATTTTTGGAAAAGAAGTTGCTTTTGAACACAAAATTTAAGCTGATGGCTGGGCGCAGTGGCTCACACCTGTAATCCCAACACTTTGGGAGGCCAAGATGGGAGGATCACTAGAGTCAGGACTTCAAGACCAGCCTGGGCAACAGGGTGAGACCTCATCTTTTAAAAAAAATACAAAAATTAGAACATAAAAATTAGCAGGACATGGTGGCACACACCTGTAGTCACAGCTACTTGGGAGGCTGAAGTGGGAGGATCACTTGAGCCTAGGAAGTCAAGGCTGCAGTGAGCTGTGATCACACCACTGCACTCCAGCCTGGGTGACAGAGCAAGACCATCTCAAAACAAATAATAATTATTAATTAAAAAGAAAAAAGCTGAGCGTGGTGGCATACGTCTGTAGTCCTAGCTACCTGAAAGACTGGGGGGAGAGAATCACTTGAACCCAGGAGCTCAAAGCTGCAGTGGGCTATGACTGCCCGCTGCACTCCAGCCTAAGTGACTAAGCAAGGCCCTCTTTTTTTTTTTTTTTTTTTTGACCTGGAGTCTCACTATACAGCCCAGGCTGGAGTACAGTGGTGTGATCTCGGCTCACTGCAACCTCCACCTCCCGGGCTCAAGCGATTCTCCTGCCTCAGCCTCCCGAGTATCTGGGATTACAGGTGTGCACCACCACACCTGGCTAATTTTTGTATTTTTATAGAGATGGGGTTTCACCATGTTGGCCAGGCTGGTCTCAAACTCCTGACCTCAAGTGATCTACCCACCTCGGCCTCCCAAAGTGCTGGGATTACAGGTGTAAGCCACTGCACCTGGGCAAGGCCCTGTTCTCTTTAAATCTAAAAAAAGAAAGAAAATAAATTTAAAGGAAAGTTCTAGTTAAAAAATAAATCGAGGCCAGGTGCAATGACTCACGCCTGTAATCACACCACTTTGGGAGGCTAAGGCAGGTGGATCACCTGAGGTCAGATGTTCAAGACCACCCTGGCCAACATGGTGAAACCCCGTCTCTACTAAAAATACAAAAATTAGCCGGGCATGGTGGTGCACACCTGTAGTCCCAGCTACTCGGGAGGCTGAGGCAGGAGAATTGCTTGAACCTGGGAGGTAGCAGTTGCAGTAAGCCAAGATCACGCCACTGCACTCCAGCCTGGGTGACAGAGTGAGACTCCGTCTCAAGAAAAAAATAAATAAAATAAATTGAGGGCAGGCACAGTGGCTCACACCTGTAATTCCAACACTTTGGGAGGCCAAAGCAAGAGGATCGCTTGAGGCCAGGAGTTCAAGACCAGCCTGGACAACATAGCGAGACCTGTCTCTAAAAAATATTAAAAATTAGCCTGTAGTTCCAGGCACTCAGGAGGCTGAGGTGGGAGGATCACTTGAGCTTGGGAGGTTGAGGCTGCAGTGAGTTGTGATCACACCACTGCACCCAGCCTAGGAAACAGAGTGAGACCCTGTCTGGAAGGAACGAGGGAAATAATTAAATGGTTTAGCATATTTTTAATGTACAGAATCAGGATTCCAGTAAACCATCATGGGTTCTTTAACTCACTAGAATGTACTATAGATGGACACATAGAATTTAAAAGGTGGGATTAGCCCAGGCAACCATTCTTCATTCAACATGTATTTGATTGAGTATGCCTGTTCATCACCACTAAATGATCTTGTCACCTTTGAACCTCAGAGACCAAAGGACCAATTCAGTCCCCAGAAGGAAACCAGGCTAAGTGCTATTTCTCTTCCATGAGTGGAGTCCCAGCACCAAAGTGAGGTGTGGAGTCTATCCCAGCCTAAGTCTCTCCTGAAGAAACTGAGGCTGTGAGGGTCGAAGGGACCTGCCAGAGTCCACAGTACGGAGCCAGGAGGAGGGAACACAGGGCTCTGAGTCACCATGCAGCGCTGTGCAAAGACATCCATATGGAATATATGCCACCTCAGATAACTATACAGAACTTTCTAAACTCACTCTGGAAGATGCCTAGATCCTTACAAATTCTTACAAAGTTAACGTCTTAAGCTTAAAACAACTCTTAAAGTTGGAAACCTAAAATGTACTTCTGAGTTAAAAAACTAAAACTAAATCTGGCCTACTAGGGCTTACCTAGTGAGAATGCCCTCCTCACACAAAGCCAAGGCTCAGGCTCTGGGCAAGGCTGGCCCTCAGATGCCAACTGCGGGTCTTGAGTTTTGTTAAATCTGAAGCTCAACATTATCAGCTCACTTGGGTGAACAGGATCTGGAGTAACTGGATCTGCTCAACAAATTCTCAGAAACTAACTTATAAGTCAGGGCACCTGTTTATTAATTTACAAGGAGAAATGAATCCACTAAAAGAACCAGCAAAAGCAGACTCATGAAACAGTGGCCTCTACTTGGGGACCAAAGTAAATAGTATGGCTATACCTTCTAGCTGCATTCTCCATGCAAAACATTGAGCTCAGTATTACTCTGGAGAAAGTGCTAAAAAGTCTATGAAGGAAGAAAGAGAAGAACACTTAGTCACACTGAGCAGTACCCAGCATGTCTCTGCTACAGGGTTCAGGCATTTTCATTTGCGCAAATTATTTAACCCTTATGAATAAACTACAAGGTGGGTTTTATCTAATAAAACAAAACCGCCTCTGAACAAAGATGTTTAAAGTATTATAAAAAGGCCTAGGTATCCTTAAGGCCAACATTCAGTACATCTCATGAGTATTCACTATGCGCCAGACACTGGGGCTGTAGAAGCCACCGTCCCTGCCCCCAGGGAACCCCCAGTCTAAAGAGGGAGACAGACAAACCGCAACTGCACAGCCACATGAGGGCCCAGCAGGAATGAGGGAAAATGACTGGAAGAGGCACCAAACTCAGTGCCTGGGTCTGAGAAGACAGTGGAACCTGGAGCGATGATTCTGTCCAGCTGGACAGTGATAGGCTATAGTCCCAGAGAGACACCTGCCATCCTCATAAATCACACTGCCTAAGGTGCACATCCGAGGCACTACGACAAATCCCCTCCTACAAGCTCCATGACAAAGAACTCCTCTGTGGACACCCACATTGCACCCCTGCCTATGTGAATTTCCACAAACTTCCAGCACTCCCTGCAGTGTCAGTTGACAGATTAGCTTTTTTTTTTTTTAAGTGCTTTGGTGCCTACCAATGGAAAAAGGACCTTTCCTCGGTGCTGGAGAGGTCTAAATGATAAGTATGACACAGCCGGTGTGCACCCGCATCTCAGGACACGGCTAATTTCTTTCTTTTCTTTTTTTTTGAGCCGGAGTTTCACTCTGTCACCCAGGCTGGAGTGCAGTGGCGCAATCTCGGCTGACTGCAACCTCCACCTCCCGGGTTCAAGTGATTCTCCTGCCTCAGCCTCCCAAATAGCTGGGATTACAGGTGCGTGCCGCCACACCCGGCAATTTTTTTGTATTTTTAGTATAGACGGGGTTTCACCATGTTAGTCAGAATGGTCTTGATCTCCTGACCTCCTGATCCACCCACCTCCACCTCCCAAAGTGCTAGGATTACAGGCATAAGCCACTGTACCCGGCTGACAGAGCGAATTTCAAGGGGAACCAGAGCTCTGCCCACTACCGCCTGTTTGCTTCAGTGAGAAAGGCATAGGCACCTTAGTGCCCACAGGAGGCCACACTGGCGGTGGCCAGGATCCATGCTGGTGGAGTCTCAAGCAGAACCCCACTAGTGTTGCAGGCTTCGTGGATGAAATTCCAGCTTTGGGTGCTCTCTTGCTTGGCCATCTCCCTACATCATTTTTCAACCAGGCTCTTGGGTCCCGACCACAAATCCATAGGAAAATTACTTCTCCGTGGAAGATGTAAAACCTGTGGCTTCTTCTTCCTTGAGTCAAGATGGATGAATCCAACAACCTATACTCCCCACCTGGGTGGAACGGCACTTCTCCATACACGCCCCTTGCCACAGGGTCTCAGACCAGGAAGCCAGCAAATGAACCCTCCACCCACCCCATCCTCCCAAAGCAGGGGTCATGGAGACTGGGCTACCCTAGCTCACAATGGGCAAGCCCTGGGAAGCAGCCATGAAAGCCACCCACAAGGGACTCACACCATCATCATTCTAAATGGCGCTTTCCACACTGGACTTGCACCTACCTCATTCTCCATGGAATACCCTGTGTGAAATTCTGTTTGAGGAATTTCTTTGGAGAGATTCTGGTTCCTCCTCTGCCGACAGCTACTATGCATTCTCTACTCACTTCTGAATTTGTTGAAAAATATGGCCAGATGTTAGCCCTCCCTCTGAAAAAAACATGACTGAACAGGAAGACCAGAAACCACAGCTTCCTTCTGCAAAGCCACTGAAGCTGTTTACAATTTTTTAAAAGTTTAAAAAGCAGGCAGCACCCAGAAACTGTTGGCAAAATCCAAACAGTCTGCATGCACAAAAAGACACAAAGTAAACCAGCTCATTTTCCCTACTTCCCACAGCACGCGAACCCCACAAGCAGCCTCCCTGCATTTCCAGCAGAAATTCTGCAGTCAACAGAAGGACATTAATTTCAAAGTCCACCATTCTGCACATTCAAATGCCAAAGCTAAACAAGCAGACAGAAAGCACTGTGAGGGGCTACCATTTCCTGGAGACAACAGGCCGTGCTGTTGGTGAAGACCCATGGTACCTGCCTCATACGAAGGGTGGAAACACGCGACAAGGCTGTTCCAGTTACCCCATTTGCAGTGCTTGCTCAAAGGCAGCAAGATCTTTACAGAGATAACTCCATTCCCAGGTGGGGCTTGGGCAGGGCACACCGGGCTCTACGGGTCCTCAGCCTACAAGTGCCTCTACCTGCCTCCAGGACTCATGAGTTTGAGTCAGCAGCACTTTGAAATTAAACAGCGTGCCTCTGGCCAAGCTCACTTCTTCAAGGCAAATTTCCTAATCTAGAAAAGCAGAAGTTGGATCTGTTGCTGGTGAAGGCTCTTAGAACTCTGATAATTCCAGAATGGCTTGCAAATAGGGAGGGCTACTTAATTAAATATTCTGGTTGGCTGGGTGCGGTGGCTCATGTCTGTAATCCCAGCACTTTAGAAGGCTGAGGCAGGTGGATCACCTGAGGTAAGAAGTTCGACACCAGCCTGGCCAACACGGTGAAACCCCGTCTCTACTGAAAGTAGAAAAATTAGCCGGGCGTGGTGATGGGCACCTGTTATCCCAGCTACTTGGGAGGCTGAGGCAGGAGAATCGCTTGAACCTGGGAGGCAGAGGTTCCAGTAAGAAAAGATAGCACCATTGCACTCCAGCCTGGGTAACAGAGTGAGACTCCATCTCAAAAAAAAAAAAAAAAAAAAAAATCTGGTTAGAGTGACTATATTCACAGATCAATAAATAAACATAACAATTACAATATAATTTTTTAAATATTAGGTTGAACCAAATCAAAGTGCTGATTTTCAACAGTGTTTTGGCTATAAAAATGGTACTTTCATACAATTCTATTTCATTAACCTGTAACAAATAAAGTTTAATATTTCCTGATTCCAAAAAGACTGATTGCTTCAGAATAAAATTTAGTGCTTCAATTATTATTCCATATACCACAGATGTAGAAACTGTCATAAAGTTGGAAAAGCAGCATCAGAACTAGATTTGAGTCAATATCCGGTATTAACTGGACTGTCACTTTCTGTCTTTAAAAACCAGAGTAGAGTCACAATTTCAGATTGCTCCTTCCTAAAAGTTGCCTATACAGGGCAGAACCAGCTGACCCTGACCTTCAGGTAGGCTCAAAGGGAAAAAGGCAAACCAGGAGGGAGATACAGAAAGAGGTGCCACTCAGCTGAGCAGCCTCACCTCTATTTTGGCTACTGCAGGGAGGGGAAGGATTCCAGGGAAATAGACATGACTAAAAAGAAAACCCACATGCTCTGAACACTAGTCAACCCCAACCTTCCCTCACAAACACAGTGATCCCCACGGTCAGCATGAGAGAGAAAAGCCAAAGAACAAATGGGAAGAGACAGGCACAGGAACCTACATTCTAGCTAGTATACTTAGAGACACTTGAGAAGAACTGCATCCATAAAATAAGACTAGATAGCTATGAAAAAGAGAAAACGGCCGGGTGCAGTGGCTCCCGCCTGTAATCCCAGCGTTTTGGAAGGCTGAGGTGGGCAGATCACCTGAGGTTAGAAGTTTGAGACCAGACTGACCAATATGGAGAAACCCCGTCTCTACCAAAAACACAAAATTAGCTGGGCGTGATGGCGCATGCCTGTTAATCCCAGCTATTCGGGAGGCTGAAGCACGAGAATCACTTGAACCCAGGAGGCGGAGGTTGCGGTGAGGTGAGATCACGCCATTGCACTCCAGCCTGGGCAACAAGAGTGAAACTCCATCTCAAAAAAAAAAAAAAAAGAAAAAGAGAGAACAGAGAACAAGAAATATATCTTAGAAATTACAAATATGACTGCCAAAATAAAAAATTCGTAGAATAATAACAAGGACATAGCGGAGAGCCCAAAGAATGATGTGAAGGAGAACTGCGGGGTTGGCCAATGCCTGCCTGCTGCTGATGGCCACAGCTGCAAATGTTTTACAGATGAACATTTGCCACCAATTCGATAAAGGGAATCACCAACTTTGAACCCTGATTAAGCAAAATGTTAGCCCCCAAAAAGAATTCCATTCTCAGTAGTAGAACCATATTACAAAAAATTGTACTCAATTATTATACCTTGAATTTCATCAATAAAAAAATTTACGAAAATTTGCTTTCTCTCTTATATAAGTACCTACTTAATGGCCTCAATTTTGCCCCCTGGCCCACACAGCCTGAAATATTTACTGTCTGGTCCTTTACATGAAGTTTGCCAACCCTGTCTTAGAACATAAAGTGAAAAGGTAAAAAGTTTAACATGAGAAAAATTAAAGGCCACAGAAGCTGGGTCCATCGAGTCTAACAGTTTCCTAAGAGGAGAATAAGAGCAGGCAGAATCAAAGAGGGACACAAATATCAGAAGACAACAACGATGAACTCAATTTTATGGACAGAAAAAGCACAGTAACAAGTAGGCTGAATGTAAGAGACAAACCCTCAACATTTAGACTCATCTTCACAAAACTGCAGAATTTCAAGAGAATCTTAGGTTTCCAATAAGAAAATGCAAAAAAAAGTACCTGTAAAAGCAGTAAGACTCAGATCAGCATCAGATGTATCCTGATAAATGGGAATATGGTAATCCCTTTAAAATTCTGTGTGGAAATTAATTTAAATCTGGAAGTTAATTTAAAACCAAACTGTCAATCAAGGTGCAAAATAGTTATTTTCACACCTGCAGTGCCTTGGGATCTTTACACTCTAAAAACCCCCTTTTGAAAAACATACTAGAGGATCTACTCCCAGCAAAACGAGGATCATCCAAGAGAGAAAAAGATGTGGACTCCAAGAAACAGTGGAACCAACCCAGGAAGCAGAGAAAAGAAATCCCAGGGTGACAATGACAGTGTTCAGCAAGCAAACAAAGGAAAATCTGTAAGATTCCATTATGTAAACTAAGAGCCTAGAAGTTCTTGACGATAAAAACATGTTTCTTGGGCCTTGACTAAGGGCTGGCCTGGACATGCAGAGATGAAACTCCACAATGCCTACAGGTAATCATTTAATGTTTGACTGACTGCTGAATGGTGATGCCAGAAGTTATTATCAGCTGAAGAGTCTTTCCTGAACATTATAATCAGCTGAAGAGACTTTGCTGAACTGGCTACTCAGTAGAAATCCAAAAAGTCCACACTTTAGGTGTAAGGAAAACACCCAGAACTAAATTCAAAACTGATACAGAGGCCGGGTGCGGTGGCTCATGCCTGTAATCCCAGCACTTTGGGAGGCCAAGGCAGGAGGATCACCTGATGTCGGGAATTCGAGACCAGCCTGACCAGCATGGAGAAACCCCCAACTCTACTAAAAATACAAAATTAGCAGGGCGTGGTGGCACATGTCTGTAACCCCAGCTACTACGGAGACTGAGGCAGGAGGATCACTTGAACCTGGGAGGCAGAGGTTGCAGTGAGCCAAGATTGTGCCATTGCACTCCAGCCTGGGCAACAAGAGCAAAACTCTGTCTCATAAAAAAAAAAAAAAAAAAAAAAAAAAAAAAAAAAAAAACTGATACAGAGCTATCAAAATAATGACTAAACAAAGATGCACACGACAAAAAAAAAAAAAAAAAGATTTCCCAGTAATCTCACTGCCTACCATAATAAAACTGAATCTCATTCACAATAACAAGGCATTCTCTAGAAAAAGGCTGAGTAAACTCTACCACACAGGCAAGCCACCTGTTTTTGTAAATAAAGTGGGGTTTTCTTGTGTTTTGTTGTTGTTTTTGTTAGTTTTGTTTTTTGAGACGGAGTCTCACTCTGTCATCCAGGCTGGAGTCCAGTGGCACGATCTCAGCTCACTGCAACCTCCACCTCCCAAGTTCAAGCGATTCTCCCGCCTCAGGCTTCCAAGTAACTGGGATTACAGACGCGCAACACCACACCCGGCTAATTTTTGTATTTTTAGTAGAGATGGGGCTTCGCCATGTTGGCCAGGCTGGTCTCGAACTCCTGACCTCAGGTGATCCACCCTCCTCAGCCTCCCAAAGTGCTGGGATTACAGGTGTGAGCCACTGCACCCAGCCGTAAATAAAGTTTTATTAGAACATTTAAAAAAAGAAGTCTGGGCCGGGCATGGTTCTCTCACTTATAAGTGGGAGCTAAACTATGGCTACACAAAGGCACACAGAGTGATATAATGGACACTGGAGACTTAGAAAGGGAGAAAGTGGGAGGGAGGTGAGAGATGAAAAATTACCTACTGGATACAATGTACGCTTTTTGGGTGATGGGTACACTAAAAGCCCAGACTTGCAGGGTGAGGTGGCTCATGCCTGTAATCCCAGCACTTTGGGAGGCCGAGGCTGGTGGATCACTTGAGCTCAGGAGTTCGAGACCAACCTGGTCAACATGGTGAAACCCCGTCTCTACTAAAAATATAAAAATTAGCCAGGCGTGGTGGTGGGCACCTGTAATCCCAGCTACTCGAGAGGCTGAGGTAGGAGAATCGCTTGAGGTCGGGAGGCAGAGGTTGCAGTGAGCCGAGATCGCACCACTGCACTCCAGCCTGGCCAACAGAATGAGACTCCGTCTCAAAAAATAAAATAAAAGCCAGACTTCATCACTATACAATTCACCCATGTAACCAAAAACCACTTGTACCCCAAAAGCTACTGAAATTTTTTAAAATTTAATGTTTCTTTTGAAAGAAAAAAGAAAAGCAATTCATCAGAAACTCTAAAGAAAAGGCCAGGCACGGTGGCTCATGCCTGTAATCCCAGCACTTTGGGAGGCCGAGGCGGGCGGATGACGAGGTCAGGAGATGGAGACCATCCTGGCTAACACGGTGAAACCCCGTCTCTACTAAAAATACAAAAAATTAGCCGGGCACGGTGGTGGGCGCCTGTAGTCCCAGCTACTCGGGAGGCTGAGACAGGAGAATGGCGTGAACCCGGGAGGCGGAGTTTGCAGTGAACCGAGATCGCACCACTGCACTCCACTCTAGCCTGGGCAACAGAGCAAGACTCCATCTCAAAAAAAAAAAAAAAAAAAAAAAAAAAAAGCTGGTCCAAAAAAAAATAATGATCCCCACATGAAACATACTAAAATGTGGCCTAATTCTGAACGCCAACCACAGCACAGATTAATAATCTCCATTTGTTCTCATTGCTTCACATTCACCTTCCAAAGTACAGATTTTGTGGCAAAAAGCTACATCCCCTCACTTACTGTAACCACACTACTTGACATACAATTCAGACTACAATAAAGTCCTAGGTGTGCTCCACTGCTATTGGACTGTCATTGCTTCTAGGTGTTTTCCATGCAGATAGCTAAGAAATACGTGACAGCTCTAATTCAAAATGAATCTAGCAAAATTTTTCCTTAAGTTCTTTAACTTTATACTTGTATCCTTTAAATTCTTACATGAAAAAAAGGTTGCTACCTACATGGTTGATTTCACATGCCACTAATGAATCATAACCCACAGTGTGCAAAACTGTGAGAAGACAGCTTCAACAGCTGTCACAGCCACGCAAGGCAACAGCAGGAACAATGACTCCACCTTCCTTCCCTCTCTCATCCCTTCCCCTCTCCTCCCCTCCTCCTCCTCCCTGTCTCATCTTCCCCTGCCCCATTCTCCTCCTCAGCTCCTCCTCCTACTCCCCTGCCTCATCTCACTCACTCTGCAAACTGCACTTCCAAAGGCATACCCAGGGGACAGGGAGATGGTGCTTGATGCATAGTTTTATTTATTTATTATTTATTTTATTTTATTTTTTTTTTTTGAGAAAGAGCCTCGCTCTGTCGCCCAGATTGGAGTGCAGTGGCGCGATCTCAGCTCACTGCAACTCTACCTTCCGGGTTCAAGCAATTCTCCCTGTCTCAGCCTCCCGAGTAGCTGGGATTACAGGCATGTGTCACCATGCCTGGCTAATTTTTGTATTTTTAGTAGAGTCGGGGGTTTTACCATGTTGGCCAGGCTGGTCTTGAACTCCTGACCTCAGGTGATCCGCCCGCCTCGGCCTCCCAAAGTGCTGAGATTACAGGCGTGAGCCACCGTGCCAGCCTATTTATTATTTTTTTTATTTTTTAGAGACAGGGTCTTGCTCTATTACCCAGGCTGCAGTGCAGTGGCACAATCATGGCTCACTGCATTCTCTAACTCCTAGGCTCAAGCCATCCTCCCACCTCAGCCTCATGAGTAGGCTGGGACTACAGGCATGTCGCCACACCTGGCTTTGGTGCAACAGCTTTAAATCCACCTGACCTCTGCCCTTCTGACACAGCACTCGATATTCTCGACCTCATGAGCACTAAGACCACCCTCAGACAGTGAGGGAGATTCAGGCAGGCAGTGACAGCTCCCCAGAAAGCTCTTTACACAGTGGGCACTAAGCAAGTGTTTGAAATAAATACCAAGGTAATAAGACTGTATTATTACTGCTAACACAGAAAAGCATACACAAACAGGAAAGCAACGTGAAAGACTAATAACAGTTGTTTCTAGTGGGTGTGATTTTTTTCATATAATATATTTTGCTACTTTCTTCTGAGATACAAATGTATTTTTTAGTAAGAAAACTTAACAAGTTCATTTTGGAAAATACTCAAAATTTTTAGCAAATACCACTTTCACCTAATAAAAACTGTTCTCTTGAGAGGTGGGTAAAGAAAAAAAGAATAAACCTTGGTTCTACCATACAAAACAATTTGTTAACATCTACTAAAATTACAAATGCACTTATGTTTCCCAGCAAGTGCATTTTCGGGAATTAATCCTACAGATGCATTACATACATGACAGGTTAGAAAATTAATTGCTTCATTATTTTTTAAGCAAAATGACAACCTAAAAGTCCATAGGAGGGCTGCTGTTTAAATACAGTAGCCCACAGATAAAAATGCCATTCCACCCTAAAGAAGAATAAAGAAACTATATATCTATAATGAAAGAGCTCCAAAACACACTGTCAAGAAAAAATAAACCCAAAGAAGTTCTTATTCCCTTAAGAGAGAAGTAGACTGTATCAAAATAACTTTCTCACAGACCGAGATTATGAACTCTAGATAAAATGTGAAAAACAATCTTCTAAAGACACTGGAGACAAACAAGAAATAAAAAAGAAGCTTGGAATTTATATGACCCTTGAAAGAAGGGAACATCACTGGGCAAGATCCACTTTTATATTGCTTTACTCCTGAGAGTATGCCCCAGTCTCAGAGGAGTGGAGCAGAGAAAAAAAAGCTGCAATTTTATTGGCCTGACAGGTTAAAGGAGGATTTGAGACTGCTAAAGAAGCTGGAAATTGAGAGGGAAATATAGGAAAGGAGGAACCCACTAAAAAAGGAACCCAAAGTCTGAGTATAAGGTCCCCTCAAATCTTTGGCTGAACCCTGAACTGCGTAAGCGGAGGTGAGACTCCCACAAGCCCAGAAAGGACACGATAGCTTGAAGGTTGAAGGAGCAAGCTGATGGCTGGGTGCGGGAGCTCATGCCTATAATCCCAGCACTTTGGGCGGCCAAGGCAGGAAGATCACTTGAGTTCAGGAGTTTGAAACCAGCCTGGGCAACATAGTGAGACCCCATTTCTACAAAAATAAAAATTAGCCAGATAGTGCATGCCTGTAGTCCTACCTACTTGGGAGGCTAAGGTAGGAGAATTGCTTGAGCCCAGAAGTTTAAGGTCACAGTAAACTATGATCACACCATTGCACTCTAACCTGGGTAACAGAGCAAGATCCGTCTCAAAAAAAAAGCTGAGATTTTAGCTCTCCCTAGCTGCAGGGTAGATAAGAGTTTGGAGTCCAAGTCCTGCCAAGTTAAAGGGGCTTAATCAGTACCTTAAACACTTGAGACTATCCATTTGAAACCCCACAAAGGCCACATCTTAGGAGTAAAACATACATTCCAGGACTAAGAAATTTACCCTAAGAGTAAGGACAAAGATCAAAACTGATCTACCAAACCAAAGTATAAAACCCAGCCAGGTGCGGTGGCTCATTCCTGTAATCCCAGGAGGCGGAAGCAGGAGGATGGCTTGAGGCCAGGAGTTCAAGACCAGCCTGAGCAACATACTGAGATTCCATCTATATTTAAAAAACTTTTTTCATTAGCCGGGCACAGTGGTGCATGCCTGTAGTCCCGGCTACTCAGGAGGCTGAGGCAGGAGAATCACTTGAACCCGGGAGGCGGAGGTTGCAAGGTTGCAGTGAGCCGAGATCACGCCACAGCACTCCAGCCTGGCCAACAGAGTGAGACCCTGTCTCAAAAAAAAAAAAAAAAAAAAAAGGCCAGGCGCAGTGGCTCACGCCTATAATCCCAACACTTTGGGAGGCCGAGGCAGGCAGATCATCTGAGGTCAGGAGTTCGAGACCAGCCTGGTCAACATGGCAAAACCACATTTCTATTAAAAATACAAAAATTAGCCTGGCATGGTGGTGCATGCCTGTAATCCCAGCTACTTGGGAGGCTGATGCAGGAGAATCACTTGAATCTGGGAGGCAGAGGTTGCAGTAAGCTGAGATTGCGCTACTGCACTCCAGCCTGGCGACAGAGTAAGACTCCATCTCAAAAAAAAAAAAAAGAAATTCTTAAAACTGTCAAATAAAAGACATTCAGTACAACAAAAATGACAGGTAACTTCTCAAGAGAAAAAATGGATGCCAGAAGATAATGAGTCTTCATCTTTAAAATGCCAAAAGAAGCTGGGCATGGTGGCTCACGCCTTGGGAGGCTCAGGCAGGCAGATCACTGGAGGTCAGGAGTTGAAGACCAGCCCCATCAACATGGTGAAACCCCATCTCTGCTAAAAATACAAAAAAAAATTAGCTGGGCGTGGTGGTATGTGCCTATAATCACAGCTACCCAGGAGGCTAAGGCAAAAGAATCACTTGAACCCAGGAGGTGGAGGTTGCAGTGAGCAAGATCACGCCACTGCACTCCAGCCTGGGTGACAAAGCGAGACTCTATCTCAAAATAAATAAATAAATAAATAATAAAAAATGCTGAAAGAAAACAGTCAACCTAGAATTCTATATCCTGTAAAACAGAGGTCCCCAGCCCCCAGGCCACAGACTGGTCTGGGTCCGTGGCCTGTTAGGAGCCAGGCCGCACACAGCAGGAGGTGAGTGGAGGGCCAGCAAGCATTACCACCTGAGCCCCGCCTCCTGTGAGATCAGTGGCTGCATTAGATTCTCATAAGAGTACAAACCCTGAACTGTGTGTTGGAGGGATCTAGGTTACGCACTCCTTAGAGAATCTAATGCCTGATGATCTGATATGGAAGTTTCATCCCAAAACCTTTTCCCCACTTTGGTCTATGGAAAAACTGTCTGCCACGAAACCGGTCCCTGGTGTCAAAAAGGTTGGGGACTGCTGCTGTAAAACTATCCTTCAAAAATGAAGATGAAATGAAGGTATTTTCAGATAATAAAAGGTGAAACAATGTGTCAGACCTACACCATGAAAAATTCTAAGCAAGGTCTTCAGGCTAAGAACTAAAAATAAAATCCTAAGCACTCCAACTGACTGAACAAAGCCTGTTTTGGTTCCAGCCATGACAAGATGCCTTGGGACGCACCTCATTATATTCCCTCCCTTTTGTAGTTCAGGCACAACTGACCAGCATTAATGTTAAAATAGAGACCACAAAACTGACAGAATGGACTCTGTGGCAATAAAATACCAAATTACATGCGTTCATGAAGATCATGGGGAAAAAAAGACACCAAATTATAAACAAGACCTACGACCGTGCCAGGTAAGGATTCAGCCACACAGTCTGACTCTTCAAGATCAACTCTGTTCTAACTGCCACAGGGTTCTTCTTTTTCTCTAGCAGCCAAACAAGCACTGTCCTGGATAAGCAATAGGAAAACAACTGCAACTCACCACCAGATGCCAACTGACCTCCTGTTCCACAAGCCAAAACTATAGCTGTGACTGTATAAGAGACTGACTTCAGTAACTCTCTCCTGACAAGAAGACCACCAGCCACAGACTGGTTCTAGCCAGTTTATAGAGGCTGTGCACTTGAGTGCCCTGTCTCCTTGCTTCACCTTTTGAGGTATGGGGCCTGAATATAATGTTGTCTCCACCTCAAAGTGAACATGGAATGCAAAGAACATGCCTGTCTGGAAAAAATAACTGTCAGATACTACGCTTAGTACCTGGGTGATGAAATAATCTATACACCAAATCCCCATGACAGATGTTTACCTATATAACAAACCTGCACATGTACCCCTGAACCTAAAAGTTCTTTTAAAAATGAATGTTTGGGCCAGATGCAGTGGCTCACGCCTGTAATCTCAGCACTTTGGGAGGCCGAGGCAGGTGGATCACGAGGTCAGGAGATCGAGACCATCCTGGCTAACATGGTGAAACCCTGTCGCTCCTAAAAATACAAAAAAAATTAGCCAAGCGAGGTGGCTCACGCCTGTAATCCTAGCACTTTGGAAGGCCGAGACAGTCAGATCACTTGAGGCCAGGAGTTAGAGATCAGCCTGGTCAACATGGTGAAACCCTGTCTCTACCAAAAATACAAAAATTAGCCAGGCGTGGTGGTAGGCGCCTGTAATCCCAGCTACTTGGGAGGCTGAGGCAGGAGAATCGCTTGAACCTGGGAGGCGGAGGTTGCAGTGAGCCAGGATCGCGCCACTGCACTCCAGCCTGGGCAACAGAGCAAGACTCCATCTCAAAAAAAAAAGATGCATGTTTGGGCCAGGCACAGTGGCTCATGCCTGTAATCCAGCACTTTGGGAGGCTGAGGCGGGTGGATCACCTGAGGTCAGGAGTTCAAGACCAGCCTGACCAATATAATGAAACCCCGTCTCTACTAAAAATACAAAAATTAGCCAGGCCTGGTGGCATGCGCCAGTAATCCCAGCTACTCAGGAGGCTGAGACAGGAGAATCGCTTGAACCCGGGAGGCAGAGGTTGCAGTGAGCCAAGATCGCGCCATTGCACTCCAGCCTGGGCAACAAGAGTGAAACTGTCTCAAAAAAAATAAATAAAATAAAATAAATTGCATGTCTGTTCAGTACACATGCATCAGGACCCCCTCCATGAATATTCATAACTCCTCCTATAACCTGTTGAATATGTATATACTTGGTCAGCACAAACCCATTCAGCACAAATTCCTGTTCCAACCCCTCCTCCTCTGAAGTGCCTACCTTTCAGGCTCTGCCAAAGGCTACGCTTCCCAGCCTGTGGGATGGCCAGCCTACAGGTTGCAACTCTTTGTAAGAAATAAAGTATCCTTTCCAAATATGTACATTTCTTGAATTTTTAAGTTGACAAGGCCAAAGGTAAATTATTCCAGATGGAAATTTTCCAGAGGAAATAAAAGTGCTAAAAATGATAAAAGGAGGGATAAACAGAAAAGATAAATTTTCTTTCTTTTCTTCGGTCTTTTAAAAATGTCAAATCATGGCTTTCGGATGGGGAGGTGGGGGCAGCATCAGTCTGTCAAGCTGAAAAGGGCAGAATGCCCAAGGCCCAGCAGTGGGTCAGCATGCATGTCAAGGACAAGACGGGAAGCATGTCCAGAGATGAGCTCTCTAACTGGCTTTTTATCCTGTGTCTTCTCACTATCCCTTCCCCTTCATCAGGGCCACGCTTAAGGAACCAGGACGTCCTGGGCCACCTCTGGACTGGCACACATGCCATAGGATTAGAGAAGGCATGTCTGGGACCAACTCTGCCTCAACATGCAAGACATGGGGAAAACTGAGATACCCAGGGCCCAGCTTAAGCCAATGTGTTCAGCAAGGCACAGGAACATGTTGGTCAGGGCTGAGCTGTGTAACTGACCTTTACCCTTTTTTCATCCTCACCTCCCCCTCCCTTTCATCAAACCCAAGCTTTTGGCCAGTGAATCCAGGAAGGGGAAGGGGAAGGGAATATTTCTTAGTTCAGCTTTAGGACAGCATCCCCAACAGCAAACTGTGGGGAGGGAACAGCAGCATGTCTTCAGCTGAGTTTGCCTAGCACAGCTAGGAGTGTTAACCTATGGGGAGACTGAGCAAAAAAGCAAATACACTGAAGAAAACAGGAACCAGATTTCTCACTGTTGGAAAAGCAAGGTATAAATGTGGAAAGGGGTATGACTGGAATAAATTCTGTGTCATGGACTGGAATTAGAGGTATCAGTGTGAACTCTAATGTTTAATACATAAATAGATCCAGAAAAAGAGCTATTTGGTTTCCAAATACCATTTCCACTAAAAGCAAGGAGGACTCCTTGGACGACTGTCTGGTTCCAGGGCTGGGACAGGAAAGAACAAGATTAGCTGAAACATCTTGTTTTAGCAAATGTAAGAAAGTGTTTAAAGAAAGACAAGGGCTTGTCAAAAAGATGCCAGATGCACAACATGAATATTCTTGGTGCTATTGAACTGTACACTTAAAAATGGTTAAGACTGGCCGGGCATGGTGGCTCACGCCTGAAATTCCAGCACTTTGGGAGGCTGAGGTGGGCCGATCAGCCGATGTCAGGAGTTCACAGTCAGCCTGGCCAACATGACGAAACCCCGTCTCTAATAAAAATTCAAAAATTAGACAGGCTTGGTGGTGCACGCCTGTGATCCCAGCTACTGGGGAGGCTGAAGCAGGAGAATCGCTTAAACCCAGGAGGTGGAGGTTGGAGTGAGCCAAGATGGCGCCATTGCACTCCAGCCTGGGTGATAAAGCAAGACTCCATCTCAAAAAAAAAAAAAAAAAGGTTAAGACTGGCCAGGAGTTGTAGCTCAGCCCTGTAATTCCAGCACTTTGGGAGGCAGAGGTGGGAGGACAGCTTGAGCCCAGGAGTTCAAGACTAGCGTGGGCAACATGGCCAAAATTAAAAGGTTAAGATAGTAAATTTTGTTATGCGTTTGCTTTTTTACTGCAATTAAAAATTAAAATAGGCCGGGCGCGGTGGTTCATGCCTGTAATCCCAGCACTTTGGGAGGCCGAGGTGGGCGGATCACGAGGTCAGGAGTTCGAGACCAGCCTGGCCAAAATGGTGAAACCCTGTCTCTACTAAAAATACAAAAATTAGCCGGGTATGGGTGGCAGGCACCTGAAATCCCAGCTGCTCGGGAGGCTGAGGCAGAAGAATCGCTTGAACCTGGGAGGCAGAGGTTGCAATGAGCCAAGATTGTGCCACTGCACTCCGGCCTGGGCAACAGAGTAAGACACCATCTCAAAAAAAGTAATAATAATTAAAATAAATAAAAATACAAATAAGAGACCAGAGCCAGCTTAAAGTGCTTCCCACTGGCTGAGTTTGGGACAATTTGAGCTTCAAAATAAATAAGGATACTAGAGAACTACAGTCTTGTAAGTAAAATAAGAATAAATAAGAACTTTAAAATGAAGAAACTTGGCAAGACTATCTTAACCAAGTAACCACAGTTAACATCACCAACATGGGACAAATCGACATTATTTTCCCTGATATGATGCAATGAGAAGAATACATCATCTGTGTGGCAGTCCTATCAAAAACACATAAACTCATGAGGAAAAAACAGACCCAACTGAGAGACATCCTACTAACTGATCTGTAATCTTCAAAAATATCAATCATCAGAGACAAGAAAAGACTAGGAACCATTTCAAGTTCAAAGAGCCTAAAGAGACATGCAAACCAAATGCAACACATGATCCTGAATCTATAAAATCTATGGATCCTAGAGCTATATAAAGAAAGTATCATAACAATCAGCAAGTCTGGGTGGGGTCATGAATTACGTAGCAAGATCAAATGGATGTCAATTTCCTGATTTTAATGATGTCAGAATGGTGTGGTTAGAGTGTCCTTGTACCAAGGAAGGTACAGTTGAAGTGTTAAAGGGTCATGGGGCATTATGTCTACAGCTTATTCTTAATGGTTCAGAAATGTTAACACTTGAGGGATCTGGGTGGAAGGCGTATGAGGGCTCTGTGTACTCTGTATATACTCTGTGTGCTTTAAGTCTACTACGTATATATAATTAAATCATTTCAATATAAAAAGGTGAAAAGTCGATTGTTTAAAGCAAAAAAAAAATCTAATGTAAGATTTATAACACGTATAGAAAGAAAATATATGCCAAAAAGTTTGCAAAAAACAGGAGGGAGTACAAATGGAATGATACTGCTGATAGGTTCTTACAGTGTACAAGAAAGAAATGATATTAATGGATGGTAATCTGTGACAAGACATGGATATATATAGCAATATATAGAGGAGTTACAGCAAAAAAGCCAGTAGCAATAGAACAGAGTTAAAAATAATCAAAAAGGAGAAACAAAGGAAGAAAGCACAAAGGGAAAGAGAAAACAAATATCAAAATGATAGACTTAAACATAATGACATCAATTATGTAAACTTCACAATTAAAAGGCAGAAACTATCAGACTAGATAAAAAAGCAAGCTGTAACAAAATGCTCTTTATAAAGCATGCAGTTTAAAACTCCAGACTTGTTGAAAGACACACACCATGCAAACATGCAGCATAAGAAAGTGGGGTAGCCAGGTGTGGCTGGCTCAAGGCCGTAACCCCAGCTTCTCGGGAGGCTGAAGAGGATCACTGAGGCCAGGAGTTTGAGACGACCTGGGCAACATAGTGAGACCCCATCTCTAAAAAAAAAAAAATTAGCCAGGCATGGTGGCGCACACCTGTACTCCCAGCTACCTGGGAGGCTGAGGCAGAAGATCACTTGAGCCCAGGAGTTCAAGGCTGCAGTGAGTTATGATCATACTACTGCTCTCCAGCCTCGGCGACAGAGCGAGACTCTTCGGCAGTTGCTAAAGTCCCTAAGGCAAAAAAAGAATGTGGTGTAGCTATATTAATATCAGACAAGAGATTGGGACAAGAAGTCTTACTAGAAATAAAGATGGTCATGTCATAATGAAAAAGATTCATTTCAACAAGACATTATGGGCTGGGAGCAGTGGCTCACACCTGTAATCCCAGCACTTTGGGAGGCCGAGGCGGGTGGATCACCTGAGGTCAGGAGTTCAAGACCAGGCTGGCTAACATGGCAAAACCCCGTCTCTACTAAAAATACAAAAATTACCTGGGCATGGTGGTGCATGCCTGTAATTCCAGCTACTCAGAAGGCTGAGACAGGAGAATCACTTGAACCCAGGAGGTGGAGGTTGCAGTTAGCCAAGATCGTAGCACTACACTGCAGCCTGGGTAAGAGAGAAAGACTACCATCTCAAAAAAAAAAAAAAAAAAAAGATATTATGATCCTAAATGTGTATGTACTTAACAACAGAGCTTCAAAATACATGAAGCCAAAACTAACTAAAGGGAAAAACAAATCCAAAATAATAACTAGAGAACTTAACACCCTCTCTCTCAATAACTGACAGGATTAGCTGGATGCAGTGGCTCATGCCTGTAATCCCAGCACTTTGGGAGGCCAAGGTGGCTTTAGGCCAGGTGTCCAAGACCACCCTGGACAACATACTAAAATACTGATACTCTACAAAAACTTTTTAAAAAGTTAGCCAGGGCAGGGCACGATGGCTTACACCTATAATCTCAGCACTTTTAGAGAGGCCAAGGCAGGCAGATCACTTGAGATCAAGAATTTGAGATCATCCTGGCCAACATATTGAAACCTCACCTCTACTAAAAATACAAAAATTAGCCAGGCATAGTGGTGGGCACCAGTAATCTCAGCTACTTGGGAGGCTGAGGTAGGAGAATTGATTGAAACCAGGAGGCAGAGGTTGCAGTGAGCCAAGATCACGCCACTGCACCCCAGCCTGGGCAACAGAGTGAGACTCCATCTCAGTAAATAAATAAATAAATAAAGCAACCATTAAAAAATAAAACATAAAAATAAAAATTTTTAAAAATTAGCCCAGCTGGGTACAGTGGCTCACACCTATAATCCCAGCACTTTGGGAGGCCAAGGCAGCTGGATCACCTGAGGTCAGGAGTTCGAGAGGAGCCCGGCCAACATGGTGAAACCCCATCTCTACTAAAAATACAAAAATTAGCCGGGTGTGGTGGCGGGCACCTGTAATCCCAGCTACCAGGGAGGCTGAGGCATGAGAATAACTAGAACTTGGGAGGCAGAGGCTGCAGTGAGCTGAGATCGCACCATTGCACTCCAACCTGGGCAACAAGAGTGAGACTCCGTCTCAAAAAAAAAAAAAATTTAGCTGGGCATAGTGGCACACACCTATCGTCCTAACTACTTGGGAGGTTGAGGCATGAGAACTGCAGGAGTTTGAGGTTATACTGAGCTCTGATTGCACCACTACACTCCAGCCTGGGTTACAGAATGAGACCCTGTCTCTGGAAAGAGAAAAAAACAAAGAATTAGGAGACAAAAATTTAGCAGAAAGTTTGGCAGTGTCTTATAAAGTTAAACATATAGTTCCCATAAAATTCAGCAATTCCATTATTAGGTATTTACCCAAAATAAATGAAAACATGTTCACATAATGACTCATTCACAAATGTTCACAGCAGCTTTTTCAAAATACAAAGTAGACTGGGAGGCCGTGGCAAGTGTATCACCTGAGGTCAGGGGTTCGAGACCAGCCTGGCCAACATGGTGAAACCCCATCTCTACTAAAAATACAAAAATTAGCCAGGCATCGTGGCGGGCACCTATAATCCCACCTACTCAGGAGGCTGAGGCAGGAGAATCACTTGAACCCAGGAGGCAGAGGTTACAGTGAGCTGAGATCACACCATTGCATTCCAGTCTGTGCGACAAGAGCAAAACTCCATCTCAAAAAAATATATATATATATACACAAACTAGAAAGAAACTAAATCTCCAACAAATGAATAAACAAATCACAGCATAAACATACAACAAAATATTACTCAGCAACTGAAACATGCAGCAATATATGGATAAATCTCAAAAACATTATGCTGAGTACAGTGATCCCTGCACAACACAATGTATACTGTATGAATCCATCTGTATGAAGTTCTAGAATGAACAAAATTAACCTATGGTGGAAAAAAATCAGAACAGTACTACCTTGGGGGAAGGACTTTCTAAGGGGCATAAGGGAATTTTCTCAGTGATGGTAGGTAATATTTTATTTCTTAGTAGGGGTTTCAGTTACGTAGGAGTATGCATTTGTCAAAATTTAGCTAATATTCACTGAAGATGTGTATTATTTGGCCAGGAGCAGTGGCTCACGCCTGTAATACCAACACTTTGGCAGGCCGAGACAGAAGGATTGCTTAAGCCCAGGAATTCAAGACCAGCCTGGGCAACACAGTGAGACCTCGTCTCTACAAAAAATAAAAAAAATTAGCTGGGCATGGTGACAAACCCATTTAGTCCTAGCTACTGAGGAGACTGGGGCGGGAGGATCACTTGAGTCTGGGAAGTCAAGGCTGCAGTGTGCCATGATTGCACCACGGCACTCCAGCCTCTGTGACAGAGTGAGACCCTGTTTAAAAAAAAAAAAAAAGTGTGTATTTCATTGTTACATAATTTTACATCAAAAGAAAACTGTAAGCAAATATTGAACCCTAGTTAATGACATGCATGCTAATGTATTTAGATCAAAGTGAAACAATGTCTGCAATTTATTGAGGAATGCATCAGAAAAATAAAATGAGTTGATGGGCAGGTACAGTGATAAACAAATGCTAGATATGGGATAAAACAAGTATAGCCAGGCCAGGCAGGGTGGCTCATGAGTGTAATCCCAGCACTTTGGGAGGCCGAGGTGGGCGGATCATCTGAGGTCAGGAGTTCTAGACCAGCCCCACCAACATGGTGAAACCCTATCTCTACTAAATACAAAAACTTAGCCAGGCGTGATGGCACATGCCTGTAATCCCAGCTGCTGGGGAGGCTGAGGCAGGAGAATCGCTTGAACAAAGGAGGCGGAGGTTGCAATGAGCCGAAATCACGCCATTGCACTCCATCCTAGGTGACAGAGTGAGACTCCGTCTCAAAAAAAAAAAAAAAAAAAACAAGTATAGCCAACGTTAGTGGCAGAATCTAGGTGCAAGTATTCACTGCAAAATTCTTTCAACTTTGGTGTACTCAAAAATTTTTTTTTTTTTTTTTTTTTTGAGACAGAGGCTCCCTCTGTCGCCCAGGCTGGAGTGCAATGGCGCAATCTTGGCTCACAGCAACCTCTGCCTCCCGGGTTCAAGCGATTCTCCTGCCTCAGCCTCTGGAGTAGCTGGGATTACAGGCACACACCACCATGCCCTGCTTATTTTTGTATTTTTGTAGAGATAGCATTTCGCCATGTTGGCCAGGCTGGTCTTGAACTTCTGATCTCAGGTGATCTGCCTGCCTTGGCCTTCTAAAGTGCTGGGATTAGAGGCGTGAGCACCGTGCCTGTCCCAAAAATTTTCATCATAAAATGCTGAGGGTGGAAGAATGTGCTGGAAAAAGCAAACACGGAGGCTGCACATACCTCTTTCAAGAAAGACGGACAATACTAAGTGAGAGGGGGAGCCTTAGAAAGGAACTTGAACTCAGCCTGATATTAGAAGTGCACAGGCAGGTGGGCTATGGTTATTGTCTATACCCAGTAGCATGAAAAGTAAAAGCTATGTAAAGGTGATGTATCTAATGGCAGTAATAAATTAGCTAGACATAATCATATCTAGGGCATTTTCAGACATCTGACAGAAAATCAACATGCACCATAACTGACACTTAGACCTGACCAAGGCATCTCATTAAGAACATGTACCCTTGGCCGGGTGCGGTGGCTCACGCCTGTAATCCCAGTACTTTGGGAGGCCGAGGTAGGTGGATCACCTGAGGTTGGGAGTTTGAGACCAGTCTGACCCACATGGAGAAACCCCGTCTCTACTAAAAATACAAAATTAGCCGGACTTGGTGGCGCATGCCTGTAATCCCAGCTACTTGGGAAGGCTGAGGCAGGAGAATCGCTTGAACCTGGGAGGTAGAGGTTGTGGTGAGCCGAGATCGCGCCACTGCACTCCAGCCTGGGCAAGAGCAAAACTGTCTCAAAAAAAAAAAAAAAAAAAAAAAAAAAGAACATGTACCCTTGGCCAGGCACGGTGGCACACAGAGGCACACATTGGTCAGGACTTCGGGAGGACGAGGCGGGTGGATCATGAGGTCAAGAGATCAAGACCATTCTTGCCAACATGGGGAAACCCCATCTCTACCAAAAATAAAAAAATTAGCCGGGCATGGGAACACGCACCTATAGTCCCAGCTACTTGGGAGGCTGAGGCAGAATTGCTTGAACCCAGGAGGCGGAGCCTGCAGTGAGCTGAGGTCATGCAACTGCACTCCAGCCTGGGCAGCAGAGCAAGACTCCACCTCAAAAAAAAAAAAAAAAAAAAATGTACCCCACCACATAAACCAACAAGGGAAACATTTCAGTTTCCACACCTGACCAGAGAGCTCATGGTGACAACACACAGGAAGCAAATTTGATTTTTTGAAAAAAACCTGTATGGAATTTTAAACTATAGAATAGACATAAAGATTTAAATAAAGGCTTCTCTCTTTTTTTTCTCCAAGGTACAAAAACAACATGTGAAATGGTTATCTCCCACTCCTCAACTAGGTTTCCCTTAAGAACAGTGACACCACGGGTTTAGGCTGACCAGTCTTCTCACTTTCAGAAAAGTGAAAAACCTCCTTGGGTTACAAGACACACCATCATCCTAAGCTGCAAACAAAAGCCCAAATTCCATGTTCCTATTATGCTTATTAAAGGGGATCACTTTCATTGCACATACATCTAATGCCTATGGTCAAATGCCCTAATTCTTAACATAATCCAAGCAAAAAATTGTTACTGTTTGGGCACACTTGGGAGAAAAAAAAAGGTCACATTTTTGGCACAGACACAAGGCTAAGGAAAAAAGTTCTTATTTTTACAAAACAAACAAACAAAAAATCCTAATGGTTCCATTGACAAATCCAAATGTAAACTCCCTCATACCTGTAGAATCATTTGAAGAGCAGTTGCTGTTCTTGATTGAAAGATAAAAAAGCCAAGGAGTGCGAAGCGCGCTAACAAAGATCCACTGTTCACAAGGACACAGCGATGCATGCAGAGGACATGGCTGGGCTCACTGCTCCCGCCACAGATCCCAGAGCACAAAGCCTGTCCCAGATGAAATGAATGACATCCCTGACTGTGCCAGCTCCCAAAACACCATACATGTTCTCCCAACCACAAAGAGTGTGCTGTGATTTATGGTTTACATACAGCACAGTGAGGGTTGTCCTGTCACTCTGAGCAGCTCGTCCGTGGCCATGTTGACAGTGTAGACTTGGTCCTCAGAACTCACCCCAGAGACCCTAAGGCAGCCAGCAGATGAGGCCAGAATGACCAGCAACATAAGGCTTGTTACTCTTCTGTCTTGATGAGTTACTACTGCACTTCTATCTACAAACTGAACTCTAGGGTTTGCTTCAAAATCACCTGGTGCATTAGCCTTCTTGGGCTGCCAGGACTAAGTATTATAGACTTGAGTGGCTTCAATAATAGAAACTTATTCTCTTAGAGTCTAGATGCTGAAAGTCCAAGATCAAGGTAAATTTAGCAGGGTGGTTTCTCCTGAGGTCTCTCCTTGGCTTGCAGATGGCTGCCTTCTCCATGAGTCCTCCAATGATCATTCCTCTCTGTGTCCTAATAACTTCCTATAAGGACATCCATCAGATTGGATTAGGGCCCACACAATTACCTCATTTTACCTCAATCACCTCCTTAAAGACTCCATCTTCAGGCCAGGCATGGTGGCTCAAGCCTATAATCCCAGCACTTTGGGAGGCCGAGGTGGGTGGATCACGGAGTCAGGAGATTGAGACCATCCTGGCTAATACGGTGAAACCCCATCTCTACCAAAAATACAAAAAAATTAGCCAGGTGTGGTGGCGGGCACCTGTAGTCCTAGCTACTCAGGAGGCCGAGGCAGGAGAATGGCGGGAACCTGGGAGGCGGAGCTTGCAGCGAGCCAAGATTGCACCACTGCACTCCAGCCTGGGTGACAGAGCAACAAGACTCCGTCTAAAATAAAAACAAATAAAAAAAAAAAGACTCCATCTTCAAATACAGTCACATCCTGAGGTCCTGGAAGTAGGGGCTTCAGCACATGACTCTGAGGGGACACTATTCGGCCCACACAGGCAGGAAGCAGGAATGAGGAGAAGGTGCACATGAAACTGACTGCCCACACATGGGCACAGGGGACTTCGTTACATGATTTTTTTTCTTTACATTTGCTTTTGAAGTTTTCATAAAGGTGTTCCTGATCACTCTTACCAAAGCCTGCTCCCACCATCCATCCCCGGGCTCCACTTCCTGCTCTGCAGCCACAGGCTCACCGTACACATTTCAGTCTCCAGCATCTGTGTCTGACACCATTGGTGCTAATAAACAATAGTTTAATGGACAAGTGAATGCATGATGTGGAACACCTCCAGTGGCTTCAAGTGCATACAGAACCAACACCCAACTTCCCAGCCCAAGGACTTCCCAGGACTGGGGGGTCCTCTCCACCTCATCTCTGCTTCTGAACTGCAGGACACAGTCCCGGTCTCAACCTGGCTGGAAGTGGCTGCTGCCTGCCCCATGTCTCTTCTGACATCCTAGGTCTGCCTTTAGTCTCTAATTTTAGGTGTAAGTGACCTACTTTCCAAAGTGCAATGTCCCTAACCCTCTTCTCAGTGGGCTAAGCACATAATAGGCAAGGCATGACCAAGTTATCTCACTAAAAACTTGTATCGCCACCACGTAAACCAACAATAGAGGGTGATTTAAATGCTCAATAGTTAGGTTTATAGGACTTAATCATGACCATTTACTTACACTGCAAAGTGACAACAAGGAGGGGGCACTGCTGACGGAAATGAAAAAACTGGAAGATCAAGAGTAAGCGCCCCAGTGGGGCAGACTGCAGACGCCCTTCTCGTCTGCAGGGAAGCCCTTCACTGCAATAATATTGCTAAGAGAAACGTTTTGCTTTACACTATCTTCCTCTGAAAGGATGCTCAGAGCAGCCCTGGAAGGTTCTGATGTGCTTTCTGAATCTAAATTATGACAGAATCTGACAATATGTTGAAAATTAACAAATACATACTATGTAAATGGTAACTCTTCAAGACAGAAAAGTAACCAGCCTTATGTTGCCGATCATTCTGGCCTCACCTACTGGCTGCCTTAGGTTCTCTGCTGAGCACCTCCTGCCTGGTTCTCCAGCCTCCTGACCCTGAGTTACCAAGTTGCCATCCAAGAATCACTGCAATAGCTACCCAAGAGGAAAAATAAAACAAAATATAGCAGCCCCAATTCACCTTCTGAACCCAAGTATGGCTTGTGACAGTTATAGAATCGGTTTAGTGGGTCATGACCATGAGCCTTTTTTTTTTTTTTGAGACGGAGTCTTACTCTTGTCGCCCAGGCTGGAGCGCAATGGCACATTCTCAGCTCACTGCAACCTCCATCTCCCGAGTTCAAGCAATTCTCCTGCCTCAGCCTCACAAGTAGCTAGGATTACAGGCCCCACCACCACGCTCAGCTAATTTTTGTATTTTTAGTAGAGATGGGGTTTCACCATGGCTGGTCTCAGACTCCTGACAGGTGATCCACCCACCTCAGCCTCCCAAAGTGCTGGGATTACCAGTGTGAGCCACCGCACCTGGCCAACCACCAGTTGTAATAGAAAGAAAAAAAAATAGAATTAAAAAATCAGAGCGTTTAAGTGTGGTTCCTTTAAACTTTCACTTCGGTTATACAGACACACACATTTATGTCTGCATCAGGTCAGCATGGAGAAGGTATGGCTTCCTGGTGCCTGCAGTGACCAAATTTTAAAAGGTACTGGTCCAATCCAAGCTTTCAGTTCCTCACAGACACTGGTCCAGCAGTGACTACAGCAGCTGATAGTTCAGGGCCTGTAACCTAGAGGATCTTTTCCCCTCCACTTTTTATTATGGAAATTCTCAAAAATACATAAAAGTAGACAGAACAATATATAACCATTACCAAAGCATTCAGCTATCCCCTTTGTTTCTTCTATTTTGAGTAAAGCAAATCCCAGAAATCATATTATTTCACCTACAAATATCTCAGAATACATGCCTATCAGATCAGAACTTAATTATCATACCCAACAAAATTAATAATTCCTTATTTATTATTTAATATCTAGTCCTACATTTCTAGGGAACTTTATAACCTTTTTTTTCTCTTTTTCTTCTTGAGACAGGGTCTTGCTGTCACTCAGGTGGTGGCACAATCACACTCACTGCAGCCTCGACCTCCAGGGCTCAAGCGATCTTCCCTTCTCAGCATCCCAAGTAGCTGGAACTACAGGCATGCACCACCATGCTCAGCTAATTTTCTTATTTTTTGTAGAGATAGGGTCTCACTACATTGTCCAGGCTGATCTCAAACTCCTAGGCTCAAGTGATCCTCCCACCTCAGTCTCCCAAAGTGCTGGGATTACAGGCGTAGCCACTACACTCAACCTATAACCTTTTTCTACCTTAAACAATGCAAATAAACTAGATGAATGTAAAAATATTTAACTTTGATCAGTGTGAAATCATAGCCACCTGGTGGGGCAACCGAAGACCAGAGGCAGCAGAGAAGCTGAGACCCACAAGGTTAAGGCCACAAGATGGTTTTTTTTTTTTTTTGGAGATGGAGTCTTGCCCTGTTGCCCAGGCTGGAGTACAGTGGCATGATCTCAGCTCACTGCAACCTCCACCTCCCGGGTTCAAGAGATTCTCCTGCCTCAGCCTCCTAACTGGGATTATAGGCACATGCCACCACGCCCAGCTAATTTTGTATTTTTAGTAGAGACGGGGTTTCACCATGCTGGCCAGGCTGGTCTCAAACTCCTGGTGTCAAGTGATCCGCCTGCTTCGGCCTCCCAAAGTGTTAGGATTACCTACACCCAACCCTGACAAGACAGCTTTTTTGGGCTGTGATCTGAGTATAAAAATCCACACAACCCAACTTAAGTGCATCCAAGTTTCTAATAAAAAGGAATTACTGTCAGGTGCGGTGGCTCAGCCACCCAGCACCTTGGGAGGCCAAGGTGGGTGGATCACCTGAGATCCGGAGTTTGAGACTAGCCTGACCAACATGGAGAAACCCCGTCTCTACTAAAAATACAAAAATTAGCTGGGCATGATGGCACACGCCTGTAATCCCAGCTACTCGGGAGGCTGAGGCAAGAGAATCACCTGAACCCGGGAGGCGGAGGTTGCAGTGAGCTGAGATCGTGCCATTGCACTCCAGCCTGGGCAACAAGAGCGAAACTCTATCTCAAAAAAAAAGGAATTACATAGTGCCACAATGCACAGAACATGAGTCCATACCGTAGGTAGGAGCCTTATTCTCCAAACCCCAAAACAGAACTTGTAGGCTAAAAAGTAGACACTCTGTAGACATCAGGACAGAAGAGCAGCCCCAAGTGGTCACTTCTACTCCCCAGGCCCCACACCTTTAGTGGCCAGAGGACTTTTCTGTCAATGCACTCATTCCTTCAGATGGACCCATGAGTGATCCATCTCCCCATCAGCTCCTGGGGGCCACAAGCTCTTCCTGTATCCCCATCACCCAGTGAGTTTCATGGGACACAAGAGGGGCTCAACAGACATTTGTTAAACGAACCATGGCCCACTTGAGGAAACCCAGGTGTACAGTCATCATCACCACATGTGCTGAGGTGACTTGAGAAAGGGCAGTGATACACTGGGGCCAAGTTTCCGTGAGACTCACTTTGGTCCATAGGTTCTCTGCCAACTCACTGATTCCTGTGTCCTGAGGAAAATGGGCCGAGGTAAAAAAAAGCCTGAATCACTGCTTGGCAGACACCAAGACAAGTGTCTGAGATTAAAAAGAAAAAAAAAAAAAAGGCCCACCTGAGCTCAGGTGATCCTCCTGCCTCAGCCTCCCAAGTAGCTGAGACTATAGGCGAGCGCTGCCGCGCCTGGCTAATTTCTGTATTTTTTGTATAGATGGGGTTTTGCCATGTTGCCCAGGCTGGTCTCGAACTCCTGAGCTAAAGTGATCGAGCCTTGGCCTCCCAAAGTGCTGGATTACAGGCGTAGCTACCATACCCAGCCTAATTCTGCATTTTTTGAAGAAGCTAACTTAGAAGAATTTAAGCGTCCAAACTGTACCTTCATAAAACTATTGTCAGCACTTCTGCTACTTATGTCTGAATTTGTGTATAAGTTTAGAGCAATGCAATTTACCTTAATGAGAATGATTTAACCACCGAAGTTATTAAACTGGAGGTGATCTCACATTGAATGTGGTAGCTGAGCAGGAAGGTTCTGCCAGCTTGCAACTGGCAGAGTACACGAGGTAGTGTTAAGTCATGACCTGGAGAAGAATCCATGCCCCAAAGCTCCTTGTCTGGCTTGTCTACAGGAAACAAGCTAAGACAAGTGGCAGAATACAGAAAAAACACAAAACCCCTGGCTTAAGCAACTACATAACAACTGATTATCTCCTCTAGTGAGAAAATGAAATTAATAATTAACCTGTTTATGCCTAAATTTTTTCATTACCCAACTGGAAAATTCTTGATAATTTTACTGTTTTTTCACTTGTACCCCAAAAACAGTCTTACTGCTTCTCTCTCTCTCTCCCTATTTGCTGGGTGTTTCATGTTTCTACCAAAGCTGATAGACAGCTCTAGAAAAAAAAATCACTCAATTCCATCCTTGCCTATCACACACAGGTAGATGGGCCAGGTACTCCTGTAAGCGGTGCACAATGAGGTCATCAGTCCTTAGCGCGCTCTTGGATCCCGGCATTCCACAGAGCACATGGCTCACTTTCCGCAAAGCTCAGCATCATCCACACTCGGGCCTGATGGTCCCTACTAAGCAGCCACCGGGTTAGCACCTCTCCTTTCCAGCTAACTCCTTTTACACTGCTTGGCTCCTCCCTCTTCTGTGCGCAGCACGCATCTCTAATCTAACACCTGCAGGCTGAATCACTATCTTGAGCTATTTTCCAGACTTAAAACATCTTTGTAGATAACCGCAAATTATACTGCACCTAAATTAGACATGCATGGTGCTAACATGAAACAATGAGTTGAGAAAGTAGAGAACCAGCACCACAGGACTCCCTGAAGGCCACCTGGCTACATTCTATTTCAAACAGGACTTTTAAATGGGGCACTCTGTCAAACAAGGTGGTGAGTAGCTGTCAATTAAAGGACACTTCCCTGCAGAGTTCAGGGTAGTAAAATCATAGTTAGGAATTATCGAGGTCTGCTTTAAACTTGTGGATAAAAGTGCGCACACACACATCAAAAAGAAAATGATAGCCAAGACGTGAAGATTATAAAGCATTTATTTGAAAAAGATACATTTTATTAAAATCCATTTTCCACTTTAATGGTAGTTCAATCCACATCGTTTTTCCAGTCTTAAAATGTTTCTTTATCGACTACTATAACCCTTTACTGTAATTAAAGCCACATTTTGTAAAACTACATAAACTGGGGTTTGACTATGAACTATGTCCTAAATCCCACTGCCAAATGTAGCTAGCGTCACTAAAATCAATCAATGGTTTTAGGTCTGAGTGATAGTGGACGAGTGAGCTGGCCATAAGGTGAAGGCCACCCTTGCTTTTACTGGATATCCAAAAACGAAGTCCAGTGAGCAGCAAACGTCTCCACGTTAACCACACAGCCCACTAGCTCCAGTTCCAGCCCTGGACAGCTTTCTGGCCCCTCGCCGGGCCCACTTCCTCTGCAGCCCCAGGTCCCGACGCGCAGGGAAGGCCGTCTGGGGCCGAGGTCGGGGCGAGCCGCTGCCCGGGCCAGAGGAAAGGCGCGGCGCTTCCTGCCCGCCCGGCCGCGAAAGCCCACCTGACCATTGTCCGGGGTCTCGCCCTGCCCCGCCCCGCCCCGCCAGCTGGCCCACTGCCCCCCCCCCCGGGCCCCAAGGAACACCCGCCCACCCCACCCTGGCCCCTCAACCCAGCCGCCCGCCGACCACAGCAGTAGGACGCCCCCGCGCACGCTCACCTTCTTGCCCTTCTTGCCCTCCTCTTCCATATCGCCGCGTGCGGCTCCCGCGGCCCGCCCGGCCCGCCCCGGGAGCCCCGCCGCCAGCAGCCGCTACATGCTCGACCCGGGCCCGCCGCCCCCGCGCTCCCGGCGCCGCCCGCCAGCCGGGCCCGAAGTCTCCGCCCCGGCCGCGCCCCACACCCGCACTTCCGGGCCCGAGCCCCCTCCGCCCCGCCCAGGCCCCACCTTCCCCAGCGCAGGCCCCGCCCACGGTTGTCGCTCATCCTCACTTTCAGGCCCAAGGGAATCCGACCCGCAGCGATCAGACCCCGCCCCTTCAGGGAGAACACGGCCCGTTGGCCCCGCTCACGGCGAGAGCACCGCCCACAGGCTGAAGATCCTGCCCCTTCAGGACGGCCGAGAACGCGCCTGCCTTGCACCACCCCCACCCCGCCCCGCGTCCTTCAGGAGAGCCGGAAACGCTCCTACCCCTACTTCGCTTCTGCACGGCCGCGAGAACGCACCTGTCCAGCCCCCTGTTCGCTCCGCCCACTCAGCGCGCGCGGGAGCGCGCGCGGGAGCAGCTCCAACTTTTTCAATTTGCCGCCATCTTTACGGCGGCCGACTTCCCAGCCTGCCTCGCGTCCAGGGAGGCGGAGCTCAGGTCTCTGAAAAGGGGACGGGGGGCGGGGGACGGGGGACGGGGGCCGGCGGGAGGGGACGCGGCCGGCAGATGGCGAAGGAGGGGCGCGAGGAGGCGGCCACTGTTGAGGGGCGGGGCGTCCCGCCGAGAGTCTGGGTGCGGTGCGGTTTTCTTTTTTCTTGTGTCCCACTTTATTCCCTGAGCCACAGGGAATCCGTTTTCTAGTACTTCTCTGTTATAAAGTCTGCCTGCCTTAGACAAACACATTTGGAAAATAGAAGTGCAACCACAAGGATGTGCAGACCCTATCAGAATAAAATCGTAGAACCTTACCAGTCATCCGGTATAATTTCCACATTTTCCAGATGAGGTCCGGGGAATGAGGTGATTCGCCCAAAAGCACACTACAAATTGGAGTCACCAGCAGGTCTGCTATTTTGCCACTAAACCAATCTGCCGGTAAGAACTTTGTAGCACAGCTAGAATGTAAACTGTGTTTTTTTGGTGGTTTTTTTTTTTTTTTGAGACGGAGCCTTGCTCTGTCGCCCAGGCTGGAGTGCCAGTGGCGTGGATCTCGGCTCACTGCAAGCTCTGCCTCGCGGGTTCACGCCGTTCTCCTGCCTCAGCCTCCCGAGTAGCTGGGACTACAGGCGCCAGCCACCACACCTGGCTAATTTTTGTATTTTTAGTAGAGACGGGGTTTCACCATGGTCTGGATCTCCTGACCTGGTGATCCGCCCACCTCGGCCTCCCAAAGTGCTGGGATTACAGGCGTGAGCCACCGCGCCCGGCCTAATAATTCTTTATATTAAACTTTTCTTTACTGTGTTTCTGTCTCCTGACTGGGCCTATGTTATACTGATATTCAAAAGAAATACTTGGTCTCTAGACCTCTCCAAAGGCATAAGTATTCCATTCTCTGCAAGATAAAGCAGAGATAGTGGAAACACCCTTTCAATCTGCCTTCTGCAATAATCCAGCTTGCCACATTTACACACGCAAATGATGTAGCGCATCTGGTTGTCATTATTTTCCCACCATTCACAGAACAAAGGCCTGATATTTAAAGTCTTCCACCGTCTTCCACAAATGCATATTTATCACTCCATAATACAGTAAACAACACTACTAAAACTTCTCTTAGCCTAACTCTGGATGTGCTGACTTCCTCAGGCTGTTCTTATCCATCAGAATACCTTTGCCCTGTCTTTGCATACACAGGTTCATGCTTCAAGCAAAAGTCCACTGGCTAATGATCAGATGGTGATAACTGGGAATAAAGACAATAAAATGAGAAAAGCAAAAAGGCTGTTAGCTTGCTATAACAAGGGAGTCAGCCACCATCATTTGTATTTGGATGAGACTCAATGTCAGGCAGAGGAGTGGGTAAGCTTTATAGTGAAAAAAGGGAAGCCTCCAGGGATGTCCTCATTTGAGGCTGTTGGCCTGGGGAAGCAAGGGGCAGGGCATCCCAAGTGATTGGTTAGGGGCACATATTTGTCTTTCTCTGGTTGCTCCTAAGCTGGAAGCAGGACCGAAAACTAGGAAAGCTGCCAGTTTTTTTTTAATTGACAAATAATTTTTTGTTTCTTTTGTATTTTTAGAGATAAAGTCTCACTCTGTCCTTCAGGTTAGAGTGCAGTGATGCAGTCATGGCTCACTGAAGCTTCAACCTCCTGGGCTCAAGCAATCCTCCCATCTCAGCCTCCCAAGTAGCTGGGACTACAAGGACGCATCACCAAGCCTGGCTAATTTTAGTATATTTTTGTTGAGACAAGGTCACACTATGTTGCCCAGGCTGGTCTCAAACTCCTAGGCTCAAGCAATCCTCCCTCCTCAGCCTCCCAAAGTGCTGGGATTATAGGCATGAGCCATCGCACCCAGCTAACACATAATAATTGTACATATTTATGAGGTACATGTGATTTGTGTGTGTGTGTGAGGCAGAGTCTCACTCTGTCACCCAGGCTGGAGTGCAGTGGCATGATTTCAGCTCACTGCAACCTCTGCCTCCCAGGTTCAAGCAATTCTCCTGCCTCAGCTTCCCAAGTAGCTGGGATTACAGGCATGCACCACCACACCAGGCTAATTTTTTTTTTTTTTTTTTTTTTGAGACAGAGTCTTACTCTGTATTGCCCAGGCTGTAGTGCAGTGGTGCAATCTCAGCTCACTGCAACATCCACCCCCCAGTTTCAAGCGATTCTCCTGCCTCCGGAGTAGCTGGAATTACAGGTGCCCACTACCACGCCCGGCTAATTTCTGTATTTTTAGTAGAGACAGGGTTTCACCATGTTGCCCAGGCTGGTCTCGAACTCCTGGCCTCATGTGATCTGTCCACCTTAGCCTCCCAAAGTGCTGAGATTACAGGCATGAGCCACTGCACCCGGCCAAAATACATGTGATATTTTGATACATGCATATGATGTGTAATAATAAAATCAGGGTATTTAGGATATTCGTCACCTGAACACTTATTTCTTTGTGTTGGAGACATTTCAGATCTCTCCTAGCTATTCTGAAATATACAGTACATTGTTATTAACTATAGTCATCTTACTCTGCTATGGAACATTAGAATTTAGGCTGGGTGTGGTGGCTCAAACCCGTAATCCGAGCACTTGGAGAGGCTAAGCTGGGAAGATCACGTGAACCCAGGAATTGGAGACCAGCCTGGGCAATATAGTGAGATCCTTCTTCTACAAAAAATACAAAAATTAGCTGGGCATAGTGGTGTGCACCTGTGGTCCCAGCTACTCAGGGGCCTGAAGTGGGGTCCTTGAGCCCAGGAGGTCGAGGCTGCAGTGAGCTGTCATTGCACCACTGCACTCCAGCCTGGGCAACAAGCCAGATCTGTCTCACACACACACACACACACACACACACACACACACCCATGAGAAATTATTGCTTCTATTTAGCTGTATGTTTGTACACGCTAACCAACCTCTCTTCAGCCCCCTACTTTCCCCCAACACACACCCTTCCCAGCCTCTGGTGGCTATCATCCCAGTCTCTATCTCAATGAGATGAATATTTGTTTAGCTCCCACATATGAGTGAGTAAATGCAATACTTGTCTTTGTTTTTTTGTTTAAAAAAAAATTTACAGGGATGAGGTCACTATGTTGCCCAGGCTGGTCTCCAACTCCTAGGTTCAAGCCATCCTCCCACTTCAGCCTCCCAAGTATTGGGATTACAGGCTTACATAGTGACCTCTAGCTCTATTTATGTTGCTGCAAATGACATTTTCATTTTTTTTTCCTATGGCCAAATAGTATTCTATTGTGTATATATACTAATTTTTTTTGACATGAGGTCTCACTCTGTCACCCAGGCTGGAGTGCAGTGGTATGATCACTGCTCACTACAGCCTTGATCTCATAGACTCAAGAGATCCTCCCACCTCAGCCTCCCCAGTAGCTGGAACCACAGGTGTCTGCTATCACACCTGGCTAATTTTTTTACTTTTTGTAGAGATGAGGTCTCTATGTTGCCCAGGCTGCTCTCAAATTCCTGGGCTCAAGCAATCCTCGCGCCTCAGCCTCCCAAAGTGCTGGGATTATAGGCTTGAGTCACCACGCTCAACCTTATTTTTTGTCTTTTTTTTTTTTTTAGAGACAGGGCTTCCCTCTGTTACCCAGGCTGGAGTGCAGTGGCATGATCTTAGCTCACCGCAGCTTGAGCTAAGGAGCTGGGCTCCTGGGCTCAATGGATCCTCCCACCTCAGCCTCCTAAGTAGCTGGGACTGCAGGTGCGCCAACACCCTTATTTTTTGCCTTTTTGATAATAACCATTCTAAATGGGGTGAAATGGTATCTCATTGTGGTTTTGATTTGCATTTCCCTGATGACTCATGATATTGAGTATTTTTTTATATGTACCTATTTGTTTTTTGTACATCTTCTTTTGAGAAATGTCTACTCAGATTCTTCGCCCACTTTTTAATGGATTATTTGTGGTTTTTTGCTGTCAAGTTGTTTGAGTTCCTTGTATATTCTGGATATTAGTCCCTTGCCGCATGAATAGTTTGCAAATATTTTCTCCCATTCTAAAGGTTGTCTTTTCACTCAGTTGATTGTTTCCATTGCTGTGCAGAAGCTTTTTAGTTTCGCTTAATATAGTCCCATTTGTCTATTTTTGGTTTTGTTGCCTATGCTTTTGAAATTTTAGCCATAAAATCTTTGCCTCGTTCAATGTCTTGAAGCATTTCCCCTATGTTTTCTTCTAGTAGTTTTGTAGTTTCAGGTCTTATGTTTAAGTCTTTAATCCATTTTGAGTTGATTTTTGTATCTGGTGAGAGATAGGGTGCCAGTTATTAATTAAGTCCTAGGCTTTGGGGGCTGTTAGAAAAGTTACTCCTGGATTGTCACTAGAGATAACACCTGGCTTCCTGCAAGTATGACTTACAGCAGGCTTGTTTCCTGGGCTGGTTGCTGTAGATAACGAATTGGTTTCCTGAGGAGGTTTCTGCAGGTTGTCAGTCAGAGTTCTAGTTGTACAAATGGTCCAGCCATTGTCTATTTGTATATTCAGTCTCTCGTAACAGACACCAATGAGACAATTATAACATAAAACAATCTTTTCTTTCTCTCCAGGTCACACCTTGGCTGTAAAGTGTCCTAACAGCCACCTACTTATGATTACTGCTTTCTTACCAATAACCTCCCCAGCCTGTTGTGTGGCTCCTACATCTTGAACAAAAGCGACCAAGGTACCCAATTACTAAACTGCCCACACTTCATGAAAGCAACTTTATAGCCATGATACTCACTTCCCCTTGTCCCCTCTTCAGAATTACTCAGGGCCAGCCCAAACCTTACAAAGTCCCCTTCCTATTCCCTCGTAATGAGAAGCAGCCCTTCTTCCTCTGGGGTGCTCTCCCTGGTCATGGTAGGTTAATAAACCCAAATCTTTTTGCCCAACTGATTTTTGTATTTTAGTAGAGACGGGGTTTCACCATGTTGGCCAGGATGGTTTTGATCTCTTGACCTCGTGATCTGCCTGCTTCGGCCTCCCAGAGTGCTGGGGTTACAGGTGTGAGCCACCGCGCCTGGCTTAAACCCAAGTCTTTTAGACTGCTGGTGAATTTGGCTGTTGAGCTTTGTGACCCAGCTCAATAATCACATCTTCCACTAAATTTCTGGATGCAATTTTTCCCTCCTCCAGTTTCCAGATAACTGTATCTGTATGTCTGTGATGCTAGAGTTAACCAGGTTTAGGACATTTCCTCTACTAGAATAAGCTCCTTTGAAGGTACGGACTATGTGGGATTCCTCCTTGTATCTGAAATAAACTCTAATAAGGGAAATTATGTACACTGAGCCAGACTGAGGTGGAGGGGCACTGGCAACATTACCTGAACATAGTTTCTCATAGATGCTTCCCAGCTAGGCCCTGTTCAGGTAATGTTTCCCTGGTTTTAAGAAAACCCCTAAACACTGAAAATTTACACTTAATTGGCCTATTCAAAGACAGTGTTCCCAGATTTGCATTTTTGCTAGATTTCAGCCAATTTTTTTTTTTTTTTTGAGACAGGGTCTCACTCTGTCACCCAGGCTAGAATGCAGTGGAACCATCTCAACTCACTGCACCCTCAACCTCCCAGGCTCCAGCTATCCTCCCACCTCAGTCTCCCAAGTAGCTGGGACTACAGATGCACACCACCACACTGGCTAATTTTTGTATTTTTTGTAGAGACAGGGTTTCACCATGTTGCCCAGGCTGGTCTTGAACGCATGGACTCATGCAATCCATCTGTCTTGGCCTCCCAAAGTGCTGGGATTACAGGCATGAGCCACTGTGCCCAGCCTTCCAGCCAATTTTTTTTCTTTTTTGAGACAGAGTCTTGCTCTATTGCCCAGGCTGGAGTGCAGTGGCATGATCTTGGCTCACCGCAACCTCCACCTCCTGGGTTCAAGTGACTCCTGCCTCAGCCTCCCGAGTAGCTAGGATTACAGGCATGCACCACCACACCCAGCCAATTTTTGTATTTTTAGTAGAGACAGGGTTTCACCATCACCATGTTGGCCAGGTTGGTCTCAAACTCCTGACCTCAGGTGATCCAGCAGCCTCGGCCTCCCAGAGTGTCGGGATCACAGGTGTGAGCCACTGCAGCCAGCCAACCAGCCAATTTTTTTAAGTGAATCTTTTCACTGGTCTCGAAACTGACTGCAGTTGTTTTCTTATTGTGCCTCTCAGCCATCTGTCCTTGAGTCTATCAGTTGTCTCCCTCATATGAGAACTGGCTTGCAAATAACTAACTAGATGTCTCTGATTTCTGTTTGTTTGTTTTGAGACAGAGTCTCGCTCTGTGGCCCAGGCTGGAGTGCAGTAGCACAATCTTGGCTCACTGCAACCTCTGCCTCCTGGGTTCAAGCGATTCTTCTGCCTCAGCCTCCCGAGTAGCTGGGACTACAGGCGTGTGCCACCACGCCCTGCTAATTTTTGTATTTTTAGTAGAGACAGGGTTTCATCATATTGGCCTGGCTGGTCTCGAACTCCTGACCTCATTCATGATCCACCCGCCTTGGCATCCCAAAGTGTTGGGATTACAGGCATGAACCACCGCGCCTGGCCTTCTCTGAGTTATTCTTTGACGTATGACATGCAACACTTTGACTGTTGTGCACATGATAAAACCATATAGACTTCATTAGTGAAGGAAAGACACTTCAGAGTTGATTAGAGTGAACTATCAGTGAATTTTAATATCCAGTTTCCAGGCCTATAAATCATGAAGGACCAAATCAACTCTGGATCAGAATGACCCCTCAGAAATACAGCCACACTGTGTGGCCCCCAACGGAAGCAACCTTGCAAGTTCCATTTTGACATCTCATTAGCTAACACTGTTTATTCTTCTAGAGCCAAATTGCTAATTTTCTTTTCAGGCATACATCTGTAGGAGACCAGAATATGCCACCCCAAAATATGCCTCCTTGGCCTAAGGATTATTCTGAGCTAGTAATTTTGAGAAACAGAAGCTATGAAAACAGCATAAGCTACCCCTTTGAAAGAGAAATTCACCCCGGCCACCACCCCGTCTGGGAAGTGAGGAGCGTCTCTGCCCAGCCGCCCCGTCTGAGAAGTGAGGAGCCCCTCCGCCCGGCAGCCGCCCCGTCTGGGAAGTGAGGAGCCCCTCTGCCCGGCCGCCAGGCCGTCTGGGAGGTGTGCCCAACAGCTCATTGAGAACGGGCCATGATGACGATGGCGGTTTTGTCGAGTAGAAAGTGGGGAAATGTGGGGAAAGGAAGGAGAGATCAGATTGTTGCTGTGTCTGTGTGGAGAGAAGTAGACACAGGAGACTCCATTTTGTTATGTACTAAGAAAAATTCTTCTGCCTTGGGATGCTGTTAATCTATAACCTTACCCTCAGCCCCATGCTCTCTGAAACATGTGCTGTGTCCACTCAGGGTTAAATGGATTAAGGGCGGTGCAAGATGTGCTTTGTTAAACAGATGCTTGAAGGCAGCATGCTCGTTAAGAGTCATCACCACTCCCTAATCTCAAGTACCCAGGGACACAAACACCGGAAGGCCGCAGGGTCCTCTGCCTAGGAAAACCAGAGACCCTTGTTCACATGTTTATCTGCTGACCTTCCCTCCACTATTGTCCTATGACCCTGCCAAATCCCCCTCTCTGAGAAACACCCAAGAATGATCAATAAATACTAAAAAAAAAAAAAGAGAAACTCACAGTCTTAAAAGAAATCGCTCTTTGTAAGGGTGTCTCCCTCTCTGTACCAGGAAGAGAAAGTTGACTCTAAATCACCAGAGACCCTTATCAATGGAGAAGGCAGCAACTTGTTTTGTGTGCTTCTCCGGGTCTTTTTCCCAAAACTGGCCTTCCTCACTCCCTTCTTTGTTTTTAGCTGAAGATGGTACTTAAACCTGAATTCTAAGCCACTCCTTTGAGAATTACTCATTTTCTTGGGCATCTCACATGTATATGCAAAGTATACATGTTAATATAGCTCCATTTGTTTTTCTCCTGTTAATCTTTTGAGCTGGGCATGGTGGCTCCCGCCTATAATCCCAACATCTTGGGAGGCCAAGGCAAGAGGATTGCTTGAACCCAGGAGCTGGAGATCAGCCTGGGCAACATGACAGGAGCCCATCTCTACGAAATAAAAAATTAAAAAATTAGGGCCAGGCGCAGTGGCTGACACTTGTAATCCCAGCACTTTGGGAAGCCGAGGCAGGTGGATCACAAGGTCAGGAGTTCAAGACCAGCGTGGCCAAGATGGTGAAACCCCCGCCTCTACTAAAAATACAAAAATTAGCCAGGCATGGTGGCAAGCGCCTGTAATCCCAGCTACTCGGGTGGCTGAGGCAGGAGAATTGCTTGAACCCGGGTGGCAGAGGTTGCAGTGAGCCGAGATCATGCCACTGCACTCCAGCCTGGGTGACAGAGCAAGACTCTGTCTCAAAAATAAATAAATAAATAGCCAGGTGTTGTGGCAAGCTCCTGTAGTCCCAGTTACTTGGGAGGCTGAGATGGGAGGATCACTTGAGCCTGGGGGTGTGGAGGTTGCAGTGAGCCATGATAGCACCACTGTGCTCTAGCCTGGGAGACACAGTGAGACCCTGTCTCAAAAAAAAAAAATCTATCTTTTGTTACAAGGACTCTAGCTGAGAATTTAGAAGGGTAGCAAGAAAATTCATCTTTCCTCCCCTAAATATGCTACTGATAGAGGCGGGAGACAGCCAAATGCCATCCAGGTCATTATGCACAGGGGGCTTGCCTAAACATGCCTACAGTGAAAAATTCTATCCCTTAACACATGTGCAGTAAGGGAAATAAATCAGTGTGGAGTGGCTCAGATTAGAGGCCTACATGTGCACTGGGGAAATGGGGTGGAGCCACCAGGAATTCATGCTTTATGCAGGGGAGCCGGGCTTCTTCAGCTCCAGTATGGTGGCCTGATATTCAGTCTGTGGAGTAGGAGCCTGTTGGCAGGACCACCTCTTTGCTAAGGGCTTTCTTTTCACTTAATACATTCTGACCCTTCAATGTGTCCATGTGCCTAATTTTTCCTGATCGGGAGACAAGAGCCCAGATTTTAGCTGAACTAAGAAGAAAAATATCGTGCGTCACTAGTTGGCCTGGAAGAACAATGGAATTACTCATTTGAGATGTGGGTTTGAAGAAAGTTATTTTTAGTATTCTGATAAGCAGTTAAAATACTGCTGTCATGTTTCTCTCTTTGTGCCAGTCTCATGCAGTTTCCCAGCAAAATCACAATTAAACTGATAATGTGATTTTTATGTTTTGGCATCCTTTCAGATTTTGTTTTTTTTGTTTTGTTTTTGAGACGGGGTCTGGGTGTGTCACCCAAGCTGGAATGCATTGGCATAATCACAGCTCATTGCAGCCTCAACCTCTGGGGCTCAAGTGATCTTCCCACCACCTCAGCCTCCTGAGTAGCTGGGACTATCAGCGGACGCCACCATGACTGGCTAATTTTTAAACTTTTTGTAGAGACGGGTTTTGTGATGTTGCTCAAGCTGGTCTTGAACTCCTGGGCTAAAGCAATCCTCCTGTCTGAGCCTCCTGAAGTGCTGGGATTACAGGCCACGATGTCTGGCCTCTAATTACTTTGATAATAAGTAAGCATCTCCCCTTCTCTTTTTTTTCTGAGACAGAGTCTCACTCTATTGCCCAGGCTGGAGTGCAATGGCACAAACTTGGCTTTGCCTCCTGGGTTCAAGCAACCTCTGCCTCCCAGGTTCAAGCAATTCTCCTGCCTCAGCCTCCCAAGTAGCTGGGATCACAGGCGTGTGCTACCATGCCCGGCTAATTTTTTGTATTTTTAGTAGAGATGGCGTTTCACCATGTTGGCCAGCCTGCTCTTGAACTCCTAACCTGCCTTCCAAAGTATTGGGATTACAGGTGTGAGCCACCACGCCTGGCTCTTTGTTGTTTGTTTTTGAGCTGGAGTCTCGCTGTGTCACCCAGGCTGGAGTACAGTGGCGCCATCTCGGCTTACTGCAACCTCCACCTCCTGAGTTCAAGCGATTCCCCTGCCTCAGCCTCCTGAGTAGCTGGGACCGCAGGCATGCACTACCACACCCAGCTAATTTTTGTATTTTTAGTAGAGACGGGGTTTCACCATGTTGGCCACGCTGGTCTTGGAACTCCTGACCTCAGGTGATCCGCTCACCTCAGCCTCCCAAAGTGCTGGGAATACAGGTGTGAGCCACCGCGCCTGGCCGCATCCCCCACTTCTCTAGTGAATTTTTTGGGGTTATCACTGTGTTAAAAAGCTCTTCTCTTTGAGTCCCTTGGGAGATCCCACTTTCTTCAGTAACACACCTTCTCTGGCCCTTCGTAGCTATTTACTTTCCCAGTACTCTTTCATCATCTTGAAACCACCATTGCAAAATTATAACTGAGACAGTGACAGAGATCTGACCGAACCAACTCCATCTTGCTTCTAACTTCCAAGCTGTCCTTGTTCATTCCTGAGTGTAGGCTGAACTAACTTTGGGAGGAACTTAGTTTATAGTTTAAAAGAAAGACAATAATAGCCCTTTCCCAAAACAAACCCCCATCTTGCCTGGGGACCAGAATGCCTTTGTAGGAGTAACAAATTAGCCAAAAGATTAGAAATTATGATTTAGGAGTCATGCAGCTAGAGGCTACAGGATTCTGACCCTCCCCAAATTGCTCCCGGGAATAACATCACTGAAGTCTAAGATCAGTGCTTGAGATATTTTGCAGACCTCGCACTGGATGGATCAGCTGGCACCACCCAGATCGATAAACTGGCTCATCAGATCTTGTGGCCCCCACCCAGGAACTGACTCAAGCACAAGACAGCTTCAATTCCCTATGATTTCATCTCTGACCCGATCAATCAGCACTCCTGACTCACTGGATGCCACCCACCCTCCAAATTATCCTTAAAAACTGTGACCTCCAAATGCTTGGGGAGACTCATTTGAGTAATAAAAAAAGTCCCAGTTTCCCACACAGCTGGCTCTGCATGAATTATTCTTTCTCTATTGCAATTCACCTGTCTTGATAAATTGGTTCTGCCTAGGCAGCAGGCAAGGTGAACCTGTTGGGCCATTACAATCTCATAGCAGTGGCAGAATGGACAGACCAGTGAACCCTGTGCTAGGACAACCTGCACCAGGCCCTGGCTGTTGTAGGAGGTCCTTTTTTTTTTTTTTTTTTTTGAGATGGAGTTTCACTCTTGTTGTCCAGGCTAGAGTGCAATGGCGCGATCTCGGCTCACCGCAACCTCCGCCCCCTGGGTTCAAGCAATTCTCCTGCCTCAGCCTCCCAAGTAGCTGGGATTACAGGCAGGCACCACCACGCCCGGCTCATTTTGTATTTTTAGTAGAGACCGGGTTTCTCCATGTCAGTCAGGCTAGCCCCAAATTCCTGACCTCAGGTGATCCACCCGCCTCCCCGCCTCGGCCTCCCAAAGTGCTGGGATGACAGGCATAAGCCACCGCGCCCAGCCTGTTGTAGGAGGTCTTGAACAAACCACTTAACTTGTTTGGGTGGGGCTTAGTTTCCACGTTAGTAATCTGGAAGTAACAGTTCTGCCTTATCTGTCTGTTAGGGTTTTGACACTTAGTGAAGTATGGGATTTGTATACTGTAAAGTGATTGAATGTATTTACTAGGTGCAATACATAAAATACGAGTTTCAAGCACTGCTCTGCTTTTACTTATAGAACCACGTTCTCACTTTTCTAGCCTGATCATTCAAGACCCTTGAACACATCGTCCTTATCTCCCGCTCCTCATTGAGACCCTTCCAGAACACTACAAACTTGTAATACTTAGCTGTATCACCAGCAAACCATGTCCTTCCCAATTTCAGGACCTTTCAATGTGCTTTCCTCTGCCTGGGGGTGGGTGGGGGGTGGAGAGTAGTTTCCTCCCAACCCATGAAACCTCTCCACAAAGGTAGAAGAGACAGAAAACCATTACTGAATAAGTATTAAACCAGATTGTGATGCCGTACATCACATGCAACCTGCTAAAGGCAACACAAAGACAGAAACTCACTTTTTCTATGCAGCTAAGTAGAGATAGCCCATCACATTATGTAGGTTTTGCAATTTGGAGTCAGGTGCCAAGTTAAGCCTTTGTCCTCCTAAGAAGCTGGACTCTTGGCCCTTTCGTCCCTTAACAATTGCATTTTTTTCTTTCTTTGTTTTTGAGACAGAGTCTCGCTCTGTCTCCAGGCTGGAGTGCAGTGGTGCTATGTCGGCTCACTGCAACCTCCGCCTCCCGGGTTCAAGCGATTCTCCTGCCTCAGCCTCCCGAGTAGCTGGTACTACAGGCACGCTTCACCATGCCCAGCTAATTTTTGTATTTTTAGTAGGGACAGAGTTTCACCATGTTGGCCAGGATGGTCTCGATCTCTTGATCTTGTGATCCGCCCGCCTCAGCCTCCCAAAGTGCTGGGATTGCAGGCGTGAGCCACCGCACCCAGCCAACAATTACACTTCAAGGAGATGGCTCCCAAGAAACATTCCTGAGTTGAACCTGGCCATATAAGAAAAAGACTTGAGTACATTTGGAAAGGAGAGAGGCTGAAATTTTGAAAGAAAAAGGGAGGGGGATGGTTTCTCGTCCCTTCTTTTCCTCAGGGAAAATTAAACCCTATGTATAATTTGTATTTGCCCTTCCACCTGCATCACCTTTCCCACATGCTCCCACAGGCAGGCTCCTGTTCATTCCCAAGGCTCCGTGTCCACATCGTGCTTGGATTCCGCCCGGCCCCGCCTGTGCGGCCGCACCAGGAAGGCACCACCCATTAGGGGCTCAGCGCGTCCCTCCAGGCCACGCCGTCAGGCCTCCGTCCTTTTAGCTGTAGGGGCAGATTACGTAACTCCAGCCTTCTGGTCACTAAAGGAGGGTAACAAAGGGCGGTCGAGAGACTCCACTGAGTTGACACGCAGACGCAGCCTCAGGACCCTAAACTCTACGCCCCAGCACACCCTACCAAGCGAGCGCCCGCGGCCGCGTGACGTCATCTACCCCAAACGCTGTGGCCCCGGCCACGCACGGCTTCGGGGCGGGACTACGCGGTGACGTCGAGGTGCGCGGCGCAGCGCGCGGCGTCAGTCTTGGCTGGCAGACCTGTACTCCGTACTCCGTACTTCGTAGTCGCAGCGGCGCGGTCTTCGGCAGTCTAGTCATCCACCGCCATCCTGGGCCCCACGTGTTGCCTGACCATTCCTGAGCCCAGGTAGGGGTCCTGGGGGATTGGGTTCAGTGGCGGGCGGCGTGGGAGGCTGGGCCGCAGTGAGTGGGGGCACCAGTGATTCTTGGAGACCAAGCCTTCACTACACGTGCTACTTCCTCTCAAGAGGCGGTTGAGCGCGTTCGGAACATTTTACCCGGAGGAGACTCGGGGATTACTTGATGAGTAACCTCGTGCTTCTCTTTCAGCCGAGAAGTGGGGCTTCTGCATGACCTGGGTGGACCCCAGTAGGTGGGATGGGACGTGTGGTCAGGAGGGACCTCACCGGAAGGCATGGGGTGGCGTGTAGACCTGCCGCAAGAGAGGCTGTAGAGTGGGCCAGGCGTTGCAAGGAGCTAGAGCTGGATAATGGTTCAGAGGCACAAGCTGAAGCTAACTGCGTTTGGAGCTAACTGCATTTGTTCCCTTCTAGGTGGGAGCCGTGGCTGAGGTGACGGTCTCAAAGTGGAAGAGCTTACTGTCACAGCAACTCCTTTGCAAGATGCCCCGGTAAATCACGTTGCAGAGACCCCAACTCTGCCTTCCTGGAACTAGGCCTGCGTTTTCTCTGAACCATTATTTCATGGGGAAAATGAAATCTACTTCATGTGCCTGGTCTACTTACTCCTTCAGAAGTGATTTCTGAGCCGTAAGATACATGAGAAAAAAATGAAGGGGAAAAGGCAGTATTTATATTAACTACATGATGATAAGGATGTTTCTGGTCACAGTGAAAAGCCATGCTAGAATTGTAGTGTCATAGAATAATGTGGAAGTTTAGTTCGTGTTGTCTGATCTATTTAATAATTTAATAAGGTTATCTCTTCCAAGACACCTTCCCTTCTTCCTCAGCCAGAAAGGATCTTTCCCTGAGAGTCATTAGTAGCTCTGGGCTCCTGGAACCAAGCTCAGGTGCCTAATTGAACTCTGGTCTCTTCCCACAGCCCCCAGCAGGGACTGGTGCTTAGTGAGAGTGGACTGCCAGATTCCTTGAGTGTGGGGGATTTGGGTGAATGAGGGTAGCAAGCCTCCAGCGTGCTTGGGTCTGCGGTGACCCTATGCATTCCTTCAGTGCTTGCTAGAACAGTTTTGAAACGGTTTGAGGCCTTGCCCTGCTCCATCCAGAGCAAGGTTATAGAAATTTCAGACAATGACTTCCTCCCTCCTGGATCTAGTGTCCTGGGCCTTGTATAGATCCGTGCCATCTAATGTGGTAGCCACTTGGCACACATGATTAAATTAAATTTGGAGTTTTATTTCATTTTCACACTAGCCACATTTCAGATGATCAGTAGCCACAGGTGGCCAGTGGCTACCATATTGGACCGCACAGATTAGAGGGCATTTCTGTCGCTGTGGAAGTTGTTTTGGACAATGCTGGTGTGAAAGGTGAAGGGAATCCTGAGTGTTTGCTGTGCTCCAGGCTCAGTACAAATTTTATTTTATTATACACTTAAAGCAAAAGTCTTATAAAAGTTGAGGATGAAGCCAAGAGTGGTGGTAAGGGTAGGAGTTGAAACAGTGAAGAGGAATAACAGGGAAGAGTCCTGCCCTGAGAGACTCATGGAATAGGATATTTACAAGGCAAAGCAAAGAGAACCAAAGTCTCAGTTCTGCAGAGGAGCTGAGTGCCCCAGGAGCTAGTGGAGGGTGAGGTCAATGTGTGCTCATCTTAAAGGAAAAACTCATGGAAGAGGAAGGTGCTAATGTTGAACACCTATTTTGCGCCAGACCTCTTAATTGTTTTAAATCTTTGAGGTATCATCATGAGGTCGTTTTTAAGTTCAGTACAGATGAGGGGCCCAAGGTCAGAATTATGTGTCCAGGGTTGCCCAGCCACAAACCAGCAGATCAGGGTTTGATGCCAGGCCTCTCTAACCCTGCATCCTGAGTGGAATATAGAAGCCGGTGGGAAGTTTGGATGGGAAGGAGATGGATGCCTTCAAGTTCTTGTCTTGGTGTTAGGTGTGTTAAAGGACTGGCTGGGATGAGAAGAGTGTTGCTGGCTTGAGCATAGCACGAGCAGCACAGCTCCTGTGTTCCTCTGGGTGGTGGGGTCACCTCTCTTAAAGGTAGAGGCTTTCAGCTGATTCTGTCTTTTCAGGCCAGGAATAGTTGCTGAACACCCCAGGCCTGCTGAGGTCCCTCCTTGAGTCTCATGTTCAAGCAGTCTTGTGAGTAAAGCACTGGCTACCCCTTTTCACTTACTATCTTTTCAAGCATGTTCTACCACCTTGGAAGGTAAGAGGTTAGTACCTTCTTCCAGAGCAGAGGGCAGGCATTCTTGCTGTGCGTTGTGAAAGGGTAGAGTCCTGCGCTCCTTTCTTGTAGTAGTCCAATGGCTCATGCAGGTGCCTCTGACTCCCCTATGGGAACTGGGGCTTGGGAGGGTGGTGGAAAATGCTGATGCTCTGGCTATTGCTATTGTTTTGAATAATCAGTGGTCCCTTGTCCCTAATCGAGGAATTTTGTATTTTCTACCAGTGTCCATGAAACTGGGAGGCGACCGTGTTAGCTGCCAGTTCCTGACAGCCACCTCTCACCAGTGGCTTCACTCTGTGTCCCTGACCCAGCACATGGCACAAGAGTGCCTGCCATCCGTCAGTGTTTCTACAGCAGCAATCCCAAGATGCTGGAGCTAGAGGGGACCTGACCTGAGAGAAGATACCTTCAGTGGCTGCCAGGCTGTTCCTTGGAACCTGTGCAGGGGTAAGTGTGCAGGAAGGTCTGACCTGGCAAGTCACTTCACTCCTGTTTTATTTAGAGTCACCTGGCTAATGAAAAGTATTTTGACCTTCCCGTATGGTAAGTCAGGTGATTGAATCCCAGAAAGGTTCATTGTCTTCAAGCTCACAATACTATTTTGGGACAAACAGTTGTCTAGTGTTTGGACTCATGAACCCTGATTCTTGAGGGTGGTATTTTACTGCTTTTGTGATTTGGTTTCAACATATATAGTCTTTTCTCCGGAGTTACCTTAGGTCAGTGGCCAGTGTTTCAGCCCCTGGAAAGGGCATGGGCTGCCACTGAGGTTGGTCACAGGCCTCTCAGCTCATGGTGGGAGTGGGTTCAGGAGTTGGTAAGTAGGGTTCAGTTCTGTTGTTGCCACCGATGGCAACAGGGGTTTGTAATAATCCCTAGTTGTGTCAATTATGTCACTTAATTTTCACAACAGGTCTCTGAAGTGTTTCTCATCTCATTTTTACAGATGAGGCCTGCCTGTGTTAATACACCTAGTGAGGAGTGGAGCTGAATTTGAATGCAAGCCTTGGCACCTTAATTGAGCAAGTTTGAAACCTCGCTTGTTGCCCTTCTGGAAGGAGTCAGGAATTTCCAGTTCTGGGCCTGGGCTGTGGGTCTGGCAGACAGACCTCTGGCCCTAGGTTTGGGTGCCAGGTTCTCTGCTTCCAGAATGAGAAGCTTTGCTGTGCACCAGGACCTGGGCCCTTCTGGTATCTCCTGAATGAAAAACAAGGGATATTTAATAAATATGGATTTAAATATGTGATTTAGTCTTGCCTGTTTTTTACATATGCCAGATGCAAAGATAGGAAGACCCTGCGTCTTCTTGAAGGAGTTGTCAGCTAAGTCCAAGGGATCCCCAAGTATTTCACCATTCTCAATGCTCATGCTTGTAGATAGCCACTTGGAACTCTGATCATCTTATGTGCATGTGCCACCAGTTTCAACTGACAGTGGCAAGCTGTGGTGAGAGTTCACAAGCCAAGGCCAACTGGCTGAGTTCTACAGTGAGGTGATGGTGCACAAAGGCACTGTCATCAGGAGCTTTACCTTCCAGGAGCATTTGATGGTTGGCTCGATAAGACATTCTGTCTCATCAGATAGTCTTAGGTATTCACCTAAGCATTCAAACAAGTTACAGAAGTAATACCCTTAATATGTGTGATGTGCCCCATGTTGGTATTGGGGATGTTGTCAAGGAATGTTGCAGCAGGCCAGGCCAAGCCCTGACAAATAGAGCCATTAAAGTACCAGTGACTTTTTTTTTTTTTTTGAGATGGAGTCTCTGTCATCCAGGCTGGAGTGCAGTGGCATGATCTCAGCTCACTGCAACGTCTGCCTCCCGGATGAAGTGATTTTCCTGCCTCAGCCTCCCAAGTAGCTAGGATTACAGGCGCCCACCACCATGCCCAGCTAATTTTGTATTTTTAGTAGAGACGGGGTTTCACCATCTTGGCCAGGCTGGTCTTGGAACTCCTGACCTCATGATACACCCACCTCAGCCTCCCAAAGTGCTAGGATTACAGGCGTGAGCCACCAGGCCCAGCATTTTTTTTTTTTTTTTTGAGACGAAGTCTTGCTCTGTCGCCCAGGCTAGAGTGCGGTGGCATGATAGCTCACCATAACCTCCACCTCCCGAGTTCAAGCGATTCTCCTGTCCCAGCCTCTTAAGTAGCTGGGATTACAGGCATATGCCACCATGCCTTAATTTTTGTATTTTTAGTAGACGTGGGGTTTTACCATGTTGGTCAGGCTGGTCTCGAACTCCCTGACCTCAGGTGATCCACCTGTCTCAGTCTCCCAAAGTGCTGGGATTATAGACGTGAGCCACCACACCCAGCCTCCAGTGACTTACATCCAATTTACTACTGACAGTGAATGGAAAAGCACCCAAAGGGGCCTGCAACAGGAGGCACAGCATCTCCCCTTGTTGAGGAGCCAATTCTAGACTGCAGCTGAGCAGATTGTCTAGTCTGCAGCTATACCATGGGGGGAGTGGGGTACGAACCGGAAGTCTCACATCCCTGCTTAGAAAAAAAATCCCAGGAGACAGTAACTCCTGATAGCCTCCCAGAAGGATGGAGCGGGGAATGGAGCTGGCCTTGTGGCAGCGCCTCCTAGGCCTCCACTCTCAGTTCCAGGAGGCTCAGTTGAGCTGTGTGGCCTGTGGCCTATGAGAGTATACCCCTAGGTAGAGCCATTCCCCTACAATTAGCCCAATGGTATCACCTCAGATGAGGTAAAAAAAAAAAATTTTTAATAGAAATACTAAGTTATGGTACAGTTGTGTAGAGCCGAAAAAGCAACTCCCCTGAAAGGGGACATTTTTCTGGGGCTGGGGATTTGCTGCAAGGTCAGCACCAACAGAGCAAGCCTGGGATTTGAAGGTTGCAACGAGGAGGGTGAGGGCAAGGGACCTGCAGGTGCAGCCGTAGGAGCCCTGGTGGAGGCAGGCATTGTGAAACTGATCCAGATGAGATAATGAGAGGGAAACTCACTGGGGCCAGGATGGTTTCCTCAGCCCCTGCCAGGCTTGAGTTGGTGGTGGCCCCTCCTTGCTGTCCTTCCATTAGGAGCCTCTGCCTTTGTTCATCTACCTGTTCTACCAGTCATACCCTGTAAGGAGCATGCCCTGGGGAAGCTGCAGATAGAGCTACCATTTGTCCTCCCTTCTGAGGACCAGGCCGTGACTCTGACTGACCGACTTTTCCCTGGGATTTGAGTAGGACCCACTGAATTCAGTGCTATAAGGGCCCAGAGGTCTGTTGACCCAGGAGGGAACTTCCTTTGTAGTGATGTCATCTCAGCCTCGGTTTTAATATATGTAAAATGAAAATAACAGTAACTCCTACATGTGTCATGAGAATCAAATGAGGCAATGCATGGCAAATTTGTGCAAACTACCAAGGAAGGACGCCCAGGGTCCCAGCAACCAGCAGCAGCTAAAGCAAGGGCGGGCAAACTCCTCCCACCAGCCAAATCTCTGAGCTAAGAGTGGTCTTGACATTTTTAAGTGGTTAGTGGTGGGGGAAATACCCAAAATAGTATGATTACGTGACAGATGAAAAGTTTGCGAAGTTCAGATTTCGGTGTCCTTAACGTTTTACTGGAATACAGCCATCTTGGTTCCACTGGTTGGCTTGACTCCCTGGGGGTTGGGGAAGTGAAACTTGAAAAGACAGATGAGCTGGCAAGAGTCTGGGTGAGAATTCCCAGACTTGAGTGTAGGTTTGGGAAACCCTTCAAAAGCACCAGCCCAAGAGCCTGGGGGTGGGGAGGAGGCCACACTTGTCAGAGTTCCGAAGGACTGACTTTGAATTTGCCCAAGAGGAGCCCCAGGTCTGGCCCAGGGTGGAGCCAGAGGCTGCCCACTTACAAATTTGGGGATTTTTCAGGCCAGTGGCCCCTTATTGCAGTGGTGCGTGACTCAGTTTTATTAGGTACTTGAATAAGTACTTTCAGTTTTATCAGGAATGCATTTGCTTTAAGGTATTCGAGAGAAAAAAATAAACTTAACTTGCCTATCCATTACTTCAAAGTTTAAAAAATGGGATGACTGAAAGACAATAGTTAAACTAGTGCTTATGAGTACAACAAATCTCAAAGGCAGCACATGAATGACTGAAGTTTGGGAATTCTGGAGTCTGCCCTTTGACCTCCCTGTATGAGGGAAGGGGTGAAAGAGAAATGTCACCAGTCTATTTGTAGGATGAGAGAGAACTGCATCCATTTGACCTTTGATGAGAGAATCGCCCCAGTGTTCCTAGAGGATGGGTGTGACCTGCCCCAGTCTGTCCTGGGATGAAAAAGAACTTTTTCCAGTCTGCCTGGAAGCTAAGAGAACTGCACCCCTCCCACTTCTTCCAGGAGCACTAAGTGTCAGGAATGCAGTGTCTGGAGATTTTGGCCACTCCCTAAATGCAGCCGCTCCCCAAATGCGCTGCCTCATCTTCAAAGTGCAGGGACAGCAGCTCTGAGATGAGGCCACAGGGCTCCAGGCATGTTCCTGGTCCTCACTGCAGTTTATGGGGGATCGGCTGGACACAAGTACAAGGCAGAGGACAGTTAGGGGCACAGGGGTCCCACTGAAGGCCAGCCCCATGCAGAGGATGCTCTGGGGTCCTCTGTCCCTCCCCCGTGGCTGGGGTGGGGAATTGCAGTGCTAGGACCACTGGCCCTTGGCAGGTCACACAAGAAGCTTTGCTCGTCTACACCCCAGTGTGGCCTTCACACTGCAAAGAAGGCTGTTGCCCCCACCCCAAAGGCCTGGGCATTAGGATCCTTTTTCATTTTTGTATTAATGTACAATGTACATACAGTATATTGCATCTAGTGTTCAGTTCTGACTTGAGAGACACACACAGCCAGGTAACCAAGATCACGTCAAAAAATCTTTCTTTAAAGTCCCACAAGTGACTCTAACGTGCTGCCAGGGTTGGAAGCCAACCCACGGAGTCTTGTCTCCTGCTTGTGGGTGGAGGGGAGCTTCCGAAGGAGGCCAGCGAAGAACCCTCCAAAGCGGGGAGGACCCAGCATCCGGCCCCTCGCCCCTGGCGTGCAAACGGGTCAGACCGTTAGGCACAGCCTCCTTGTGGGGCGCAGGGACAGGAAGCAGGGTTTAGAGCACCTCGAGGGGGAAGGAGTGGCAAGTGCGGAGGGCAGCCCCTCCCAGGACTAGAACCCACTTCCTACTTTACACCAGCACTGGAGGAGGCTGGTGGGGCAGGGCGGGGGCGGTGGGGCCTCCCCTAGCCTTCCCTCCCCCTCTCCTTCACTGTCCTTCCAGCAGGCACAGGAAGGTGAGGCAAGGTGTTTCCAGCCGGCAGGATGGAGGACGAGGAAGGCCCTGAGTATGGCAAACCTGACTTTGTGCTTTTGGACCAAGTGACCATGGAGGACTTCATGAGGAACCTGCAGCTCAGGTAGGCCCAGGGCAGGAGGCAGTGGCTCCCCTCCTCCAGGGTCTCCCACCTTGCGTCCTCGCAGAGACCTGAGGGAAAGAGGAAGGCACGCTGCTGTCCAAGGGAGGGGGCAGTGGCACACACCCACCCAGACCAGATGGGGCTGAAATGAGTGCCTCAAAGCACGGCCCCAGGGGACAGGAACAGACAAGGAGGCAACTGTCCCTGTCAGGGCTGGCAAGTCAGCACCGGAGCTGCCCACCACCTCAACCCACCCCTGCCTCCCACACAGTCCAGGCATCTTCTGCCCCTTCTTTCCTGCCCGACGGGGCCAGGGCATGACACTTCTTGGACAGATACATACCAGGCACTATCTTTCCAGGAGGGACCAGGGGCACCTCCCTCCAGCCACTTCCCAGCCAGTTGTTGATGCTCCCTCGATGCATCTCATCCATGGGGCCTGGCCTGAGCCCTGGGGACACTGAGATGAAGCAGTCAGGCTCCACCCTAGGGTCCAAACATTCCCACCAAGTTGAGGTGACATTCTCCTGGGGTACATGGAGTATCACAGGACACAGTTGGTAGAAGTGATATTGGAGCCCAATTTACCATCAAGGAGGGCAGGTGGAGGGCAGGGAGAAGCCCGGGAGGTAGGGGCATGGCACAGTAGGGTGGCCATACAGGCAGCTGGGCTTCCTGCCAGGACTCCCAGGGAGGGGCAGAAGGCCACTCGCTGTGTACTCCGGAAGCTCCCTGGGGAGAGCTTGGGGACCAGGATCCCCACTAAGCACCGAAGGCAAGAGACCACGAGCCTGGCTCAAAGAGGAGGGCTAGCCAGGACGTGAGCTAAGCACTTTGTGCACATTGTTCTACCTCATTCTTATAAAATGAGCTTATGAAACATTGTCCTCTCTATTTTGATGAGGAGAACACTGAGCCCTGGAGACGTGGGTGACTTGTGCCCTCATCCCCAGCTTGTAGGAGGATGGGAGCTAGGCCCAGGAAAACCCATGTCAGAGGTGGTGGAGAAAGAGGAACCTCAGGACAGGCCCACCCAGGACAGGCTGCCGGGAGACAGGGCCATCCAGGGAAGGGTGGGTACCACACACCAAGGGGAGATGGGTCTGAGGGGCAGGCCTGCCAGTCCTCCTCCCAGGGGCAGAAAGGTCAAGAGAAGGGCAGACATCCACCCCCACTGGGGACCAGGTTTGTGAAGGAAAGGGTCAAGAAGTCTGAGGCTGTGCCAGGGGAGAGGCAGCAGCCACTGGCCACAGGCTGGGGGGTCGGGGGTGTAAAGACAACGACATCAACTCCCTCCCTGTCATCTGGGTGGGGCTGGGTGGGGTCCCCTTTTGTCTCTGGGTTCCCGCCCAGGCCTTGAGACAGGAAACAGCCGAGGAGGCCCCTCCTTCCCCTCCCAGCCCAGTCACTTCTCAACCCCATCTCCCCATCTGCCCTGCGGGGTTCACCCCAGGAGCCAGCCCTGACTCACGGCACCCAGTGCAGTCTTGGGCAAGTCTGTTTCCTTTGCAAAATGAGTGGTCATGTTTCCAGTGACCTTGGGATCCCTGGGGAGACCACTGTGGACCCCAAACTCTATGCCGCAATGGAGACAGTCTCTGAGTGGCTCAGCTCACCCAGGATGGCACCAGGGAGACGCAAGGTCAACACCTGCCCCCTTCTTCCTTCTCCACTCTCAGCCCGTCAGGGTGGGAGCGCTGGCCTACTGGGGCCAGGCCCTGATATGGGCTCTGGCGAAAGGCCTGTGGGTGCCTGTAAGCCTGTGAGTGCTGAGGCCTACCCCTGCTGTGTCCAGGTTCGAGAAGGGCCGCATCTACACCTACATCGGTGAGGTGCTGGTGTCCGTGAACCCCTACCAGGAGCTGCCCCTGTATGGGCCTGAGGCCATCGCCAGGTACCAGGGCCGTGAGCTCTATGAGCGGCCACCCCATCTCTATGCTGTGGCCAACGCCGCCTACAAGGCAATGAAGCACCGGTCCAGGGACACCTGCATCGTCATCTCAGGTACCTGTCCCTGCCGCCGGGCCCCCACCCTCGGCATCTTCATTTGTGAACATTTGGGAGGGCCATTAGAGCATCTCCTGTGCCCTGTGTCCTGATGGGGGCCCTAGGACCCCATCTTGCCAGTCTTGGGGGTGTGAGTGGGCACAGGGAGCTGGGCTAAGAGAGCGAACCTGGCTGATTCTCTCAACTCTGGTCTTTCCGGCAGGGGAGAGTGGGGCAGGGAAGACAGAAGCCAGTAAGCACATCATGCAGTACATCGCTGCTGTCACCAATCCAAGCCAGAGGGCTGAGGTGGAGAGGTGAGTGGCAATGGGCAGCTCTGGGCCTCAGCATGGCAGGCCAGGGACCTCAGTGTGGCAGGAAGGGCTGGCTCTGGGGAGTGAGAGACGGCAACTGGAGTCTAGCTCAGGTCAAGTTCAGTGGGAACTTGGGAAGTTTCCAGATAATGCCAACACACCCGGAGGTGAGACAGGGTGACCCATGCCAAGGACCTCTCCTTGGGTGGGTGAGACCTAGCCAAGGTACTGGGCCTACCAGCTGGGAGGAGGCAGCAGCCACAGGTAGGATGAGGAGAAGTGCAGCAGGGCCCAGAGATGCTTGAAATGGCTCATGGACAGGGCAGCAGGCAGATTCCATGGAAACCTGGAGAAGCTGGCAGGCCCTGGCCAAGATGGCCAAGCATGCCAGGTGGCTGTGTGGGTGATGGCCAGGAGCCTTGAAACCAGGAAACCTGTCCCTTATGGAAGCAGCTTCCTCTGTCAGTGCCTGTCTCTTCCTATCAAGAGGCAGCGAGATGGGATTCAGGGGGGACAAGCAATGTCAGTTCCTGAGCACATATGGCCAGCACCACTGCCCACCCCTGCAGCTGGAGGTCTAAAGCCCAGTGGTCAGAACAGCCCCTCCTCCCCAGGCTGCAGCTGAGGCCTGGGAGGGGAAGAGGTGGCTGTGAGAAACAAGGACCTCAATGCTACACAGACCATGCTGAGCACAGCCAGCCCGGCAAGTGCATTTCCCAGCCTCTCAGAGGTGAAGTGACCGTCACACAACCTCAGAGGCAACACTGGGCGAGGCCAGGCCATTGGTTCCCTCTCAGCAAGTTCAGAGGAACTCATCCTGAGATGCTGTGATTTCTGTTGGGAAGACTCAGGGGCAGAGACAGCATTCCCCAGATGGGAAGTCTTTGCCTTAAGACCCAGCCCCTCTGCCCTGACAGGGTCAAGGACGTGCTGCTCAAGTCCACCTGTGTGCTGGAGGCCTTTGGCAATGCCCGCACCAACCGCAATCACAACTCCAGCCGCTTTGGCAAGTACATGGACATCAACTTTGACTTCAAGGGGGACCCGATCGGAGGACACATCCACAGCTACCTACTGGAGAAGGTGGGCAGGTGGGCTGAGGAGACCTCCATGGGGAGCCCTGGCCGAGACCCATCCCAGGCCTGGGAAGGTACCCATCCCGACGGTGCAGCTTAGGAGGGCTGGGCTGTCTCTCCCTGTGGCCCTTCTCTGGGCCTCAGTGTCCTCATAGTCAGGACTCTCTGACCCCCAGCCTGCCTTGCACCTGGGAATGTTCAGATGGGGTCCCCAGGGTCAGACTCCTTCCCAGGCCTGAGTCCATCTGCCCCTCTCTCCTCAGTCTCGGGTCCTCAAGCAGCACGTGGGTGAAAGAAACTTCCACGCCTTCTACCAAGTAAGCCCTGAGGGCAAGGGGAGGTGGAAAAATGGGGTGGGGAAAGGGAGGGCAGCAAGCTGGACCAGCTTGTGACCCTTCCATCACTACCCCAATTCCCCCTCTCTGCCCACTCAACCCCACCTAGCCCATCGTCCTCACTCCCCACCACACTCACCCCAACCAGTACCCCACACCCCACAAACAAGAGGGTGTGACTTGCAGGGAACAAAAGCAGGATGTCCCCTTTATCTGAGACACCTCCAGATGAGGGCTCTCTGGGACCCATAAGTGTCTCTGTGAACAATAAGCTCCCCACGAGGTGGGCTTCCCCTGGGATTACAGGCAGTGTCTCTAGTGGTATCAGAGCTCAACACTGAAGTGGTGCTCCTGGGGACACGGGCATTGACTCTGAGCACCTCTGTGAGATAGGCGCGCCCAGGGACTGTCTCCACAAGCTTTGACACCCCACTGAGGTGGGAGCTCCCTGGAAACAAACAGTGTCTCTGCAGTCTCAGAGCTTGACACTGAAGTGGAGCTCCCTGGCACGCCAGCGGTGTGTTTGCAAACTGTGGCCTGCCCACTGTGTCCTCTGGTTCACAGACAGTGTTTCCACAGACTCCGAACTCCCCCACTGAACTGGGAGCACCCTATGACTGGAGCAGTGTCTCTAGGGACTTGGAGCTCCCCACTGAGTTAGGAGTTCCCTGCAGCACAGACATGGTCCCCACCAACTCTCAGCTCCCCAGTGCAGTGGGAGCTCCCTGGAACACAGCAGTTTCTCCCTGGTACACAGGCGGTGTTTCCATGGATTCTGAGCTCTTTACTGAGGTGGGAGCTCCCTGAGACAAGCACAGTGTCTCACAGACTCTGTGCTCCCCATGAGACAGGAGCTCCCTGGGTAGCGGGCAGGGTCTCCAGGGTCTATGAACCGCCCGCTGAGGTGGGAGCCTCCTGGGATGCAAGGAGTGCCTTTAAGGACTCTGAGCTTCCATGGTGTGGTGCTCCCTGGGACACGGCAGTGTCTTCACGACTCTGACTTCCCACTGAAGTCACACTCTCTGGGACACAGCAGTGTCTGTAAGGACTCTGAACTCCACTGAGGTGGGAGCCCCCTGGGCTGTCTTTCCAGTGAGTCTGCACTGAGGTGGGAGCTCACTGGGAAACCAGTAGTGTCTCTGTGGACTCTGACCTTTATTTGAGGTAAAAGCTCCCTGAGACACTGGCAGTGTCTCCACAGACTCTGAGCCTCCCCCTGGTGGGAGCCCCTGGGAACACAGAGGGCGTCTCCACAGACTCTGAGCTCTCACTGAAATGAAGCTCCCTGGGACTCCGGCAGGATCTCCACAGACTCTTACCTCCCCACTGAAATGGGAGATTTTGGGACATGGGCAGGGTCTCCATGGACTCAGAGTTCCCCCATTGAAGGGGGAGTTCGGTGGCACATGGGCATTGTCTCTAATGACTCTGAGCTCCTGGCTGAGGGGATTGCTCCCTGGGACGTTGCCAGGGTCTCCACAGACTCTGAGCTCCCCATGAGGTGGGAGCTCCACAGGATTTGGGCAGGGTCTCCATGAACTATAAACTCTCCACTGAGGTGGGAGCTCCCTGGGACACAGAGAGTTTTTTTCAGACTCTGAACTCCCATGAAATGGAGCTCTTTGGAGCATGGACAGTGTCTTTAAGGACTCTGAGCTACCCACCGAGGTGGGAGCTCAGTGGGACATGTGAAGCAGTGTCTCCACGGACTCTGGGCTGCCCACTCAGGTGGGCTGTGTCTTGGACACAGGCAGTGTCTCTATCAACTTTGGGCTCTGCTCTGAGGTAAGAGCCCCCTGGGACAGGGGCACTATCTCCTTGGACTTTGAACTCCCACCAAAGTGGAGCTCACTGGGACAGTGGCAACGTCTCCACGGATTCTGAGCTCCCGCTGAAGTGGAGCTCCCTGGGAATCAGTCAGTGTCCAAGAACTCTGAGCTTCCCTGAGGTGGGAGCCCTCTGGAACACAAGGAGTGTCCACGCAGACTCTGAGTTTCCATGAAGTAGGGCTGTCTGGGACACTGGCGGTGTCTCTATGGTCTCTGAGCTCCTCACGGAGCTGGGAGCTCCCTCGGACATGGGCGATGTCTCCACAAACTCTCCATTCCCCTATGAGGTGGAAGCTCTCTGCGACATGACCATTGTCTCTGTGGAATCTGAGCTTCCCACTAGTGGGAGCCCCTTGGGACACAGGGCAGGGTCTCCACAGACTCTAAGCTCCCACTGAAGTGGAGCTCTCTGGAATAACAGCAGGATCTCCACAGACTCTTACCACCTCCAGTGAAGTGGGAACTTTTGGGACACAGGCAGTGTCTCCATGGACTCTGAGCTCCCTGCTGAGGTGGGAGTTCATGTGGCACCAGTTGTGTCTCCACAGACGCTGAGCTCCCTAGGACATGGGCTCTCCCTGGGTGGAGAGCAATGTCTCCACGGAACCTGTGCTCCCTACTGAGGTGGGAGCTTCCTGGGACAGGGGCAGGGTCTCCAGTAACTCTGAGCTCCCACTGAAGTGGAGCTCCCTAGGATTCTGCAGTTTGTCCACAAACTCTTACCTCCTCACTCAGTGGGAGGTTTTGGGACCCGGGTAGTGTCTCCACATACTCTGAGCTACCCACTGAGGTGGGATCCCCCTGGGTCGAGGGCAATGTCTCCACAGGGACTGAGCTCCCTACCAAGATGAGGTCTGGCACAAGAACAGTGACTTCATGGTGGAGTCATAGCTCCCACTGAAGTGGAGCTCCCTGACCCACTGAACAGCTGAATGGGGAGCTTGCTGGCACACAGAAACTGTTCACACTGTCTGACCTTCCCCCACGTTTGTTCGTTCAATACTGGAAGGAAGCGCAAGTCTGTTTGTTCTCCTGCCTGTGTGTGTGTACAGGGGGACATCCTGGGAGCTTATTTGTCTAAAGGATGCCTGTGTCCTCTAGTTGCTGAGAGGCAGTGAGGACAAGCAGCTGCATGAACTGCACTTGGAGAGAAACCCTGCTGTATACAATTTCACACACCAGGGAGCAGGACTCAACATGACTGTGCACAGTGTGAGTGTGAGGGGCACCAAGGGCTCAAACTGGGCTCAGTGTCAGGGCCTGAGTGTGGTGGTAGGGAATGGGCAGCACTCAGCACAGGCCAGGGTGAAGTGAACTGTTTGCGTGAGTGGGGAGGGTGCTCGGGGTGGAGTGAAAATGGCTGATGGAGGGGACAGAGTGCAGGGGTGAGCAGGTGCTTAGGCTGGAGTAATCAGGTTCAGGAAGGGGACAGGGGACAGGGGTGAGCAGGTGCCTAGGATGGAGGAATCAAGCCTCAAGGGAGACAGGTGTCCTGGGCCCAGTGTGGCTTTGGAGTGATGAATCCCTTCTACCCTAGGCCTTGGACAGTGATGAGCAGAGCCACCAGGCAGTGACCGAGGCCATGAGGGTCATCGGCTTCAGTCCTGAAGAGGTGGAGTCTGTGCATCGCATCCTGGCTGCCATATTGCACCTGGTGAGCCTGGCTCAGAAGCCTGGGAGGGCTACTTCCCCACAAGGGTTTCCTGGCTGGGAAGCACCCAGGGATGAGGAGGAGACTGGCTGGAGATGCCCCAGCAATGTGCTAGGCTGACTGCCTCTCCTGCAGAAGCTGAGCTGCTCGAGTGATGAGCTCAGTTGATACATGGTCCAGACCCCATTCTTAGGGCCAGGTCAGCCAGGCGCAGTAAAAGCTGAGCATCATGCAGACTGCCTCTTAGTGCAGTCATGAGCTGTGTGGCTTTGGTTGCATTTACTCAGTGCCTCTTGGCCTCAGTTCTCTCTAAGCGGCATGAGGAGTAAGTAGTGCAGGGCTCCGCTGGCTGTGGGAGGATGCGATGGGGTCATTCACATGTCATTTGGACTCGAGGCCTCGAGGCCTTGGCAGAGACTCTGGTGTGCCCATGCCCCCTTCCCCCAGTCTCTGGCTGTGTCTGTGCCCATGGTGAGCAGCTGACCATGCTGGTCTGAGAAGGAGCTGTACTCTACCGCATCCATGTCCCCTGCTTTCCTTCCTCCTTCTTGTCCAAAGTTGTCCAGGCTCTTTTGAGACATGGAGCCCGGACTGTTCATGGTTTTCCCATCACCAGGGAAACATCGAGTTTGTGGAGACGGAGGAGGGTGGGCTGCAGAAGGAGGGCCTGGCAGTGGCCGAGGAGGCACTGGTGGACCATGTGGCTGAGCTGACGGCCACACCCCGGGACCTCGTGCTCCGCTCCCTGCTGGCTCGCACAGTTGCCTCGGGAGGCAGGGAACTCATAGAGAAGGGCCACACTGCAGCTGAGGCCAGCTATGCCCGGGATGCCTGTGCCAAGGTACTTTGGGGGCAGGCACAGGGAGGGAAGCCCAGGAGGCCTTCATGGGGGAGGCCAGGCCAGAGGCAGCAGGAAGCAGGGTGTTCCTATCCCCCAGGCAGTGTACCAGCGGCTGTTTGAGTGGGTGGTGAACAGGATCAACAGTGTCATGGAACCCCGGGGCCGGGATCCTCGGCGTGATGGCAAGGACACAGTCATTGGCGTGCTGGACATCTATGGCTTCGAGGTGTTTCCCGTCAACAGGTGGGTGGCTGGCCAGCCACATCTCCACCTCTGACACCCAGCAGCTTTGCCCACTTAGTTCTGGAAAGCTCGGCTGGGGCTGGGCAGCAGGAATGTTGGGGTTTCTCCCGGCTGGTCCCTGGGCCCAAGGCTCATGCCTCCCAAACCTGCCTCACCTGCACCCTCTGACCATTGATGTCCTGATGGAAGGCAGAATTACGGGGCATGAGTAATTCCTGGTTGTGACTCCCAAGTCCACTCCAGAACGTGCATGCAGGAGGTGTGGGTGGGGTAAAGGAGTCCAGGGCAGGGATGCATAAGCCACAGGGAAGCCACACAGGGTGCTGGCACCAGAACCCTCAATGAACATTAGCAGAGATGTTCAGGGGAGCAGCCACCCATTACCATGCACTCCACAAGCAGCGACCTCCCCTCTGAAAGGCCCACCCCACCCCCAGTTTCGAGCAGTTCTGCATCAACTACTGCAACGAGAAGCTGCAGCAGCTATTCATCCAGCTCATCCTGAAGCAGGAACAGGAAGAGTACGAGCGCGAGGGCATCACCTGGCAGAGCGTGAGCACTGTGGCCTGGAGGGAGGCCAGGCAGTGGGGTGTGGAGGGGCCTCAGCCCATGGGGAGGGGCCCGGGCTGGCCTGACAGGTGGCTGAGTGTGGGGCGGAGGAGGGGAGGTGGCCTGAAAGACCTTGGGAGCTTCCTTGCTGGCTGCCTTTGCCCCAGGTTGAGTATTTCAACAACGCCACCATTGTGGATCTGGTGGAGCGGCCCCACCGTGGCATCCTGGCCGTGCTGGACGAGGCCTGCAGCTCTGCTGGCACCATCACTGACCGAATCTTCCTGCAGACCCTGGACATGCACCACCGCCATCACCTACACTACACCAGCCGCCAGGTGCCCCCGGCTGTCCCAGTGCCACCACAGTGGGCTGGTGGGACCTGCCCCACAGGCACCATGCTGCCCATGCCTCGTGGGGCCTGGTTGGGGACCCAGCTTTGGTGCCATTGTCGTCACTGTGGCAACCTTCTCTGCCCTGGAGGTGGGGAGGCAGGGCTATCCCTTCATACAGACCCTCCACATACCTTTTGTGCCTTGACCTCAGCCTGTCCCCATAGCTCTGCCCCACAGACAAGACCATGGAGTTTGGCCGAGACTTCCGGATCAAGCACTATGCAGGGGACGTCACGTAAGGGCCCCCTCCCACCCACATCCCTGGCTTTCCCACAGGCACCATGGCATGTGTCATGGGGCAGGAGCGCTTCAGGGGAGTGGCTCGGAGACAGGTGTTATGGCCACTTCTGCCACCCCCACCCCTTTAAGACACTGAAACATGCCGGACAGCAGATTCACAAGTGAAGAGCAGGAAACAGGGTTTGAGGATAGTGGTTAACCATGGCTGCATTCTTCTGGGAGCCTTTAAAAAATACCCACGTCTCATGTCTGGGCCCAACCCTATACCAGCATCTGTGGGGTGGGGGGCTTCAGGCTGGTGATGTGGGGGTGGGGAGGGAGTGGAAGGTGCAGGGGGGCCAAGATTCTGCATTTCTAACAAGCTCCCAGGTGAGGCCTCGCTACCATACTTGGACCACGCTCCCAGTGCCAAAGCCCAGGTGTCTTCAGGGGTTGTCATGATGGCTATTAACTTATGTGTTGCTTGCCGCATCCCAAAACGATTTAAGGTGACTCACATCAAGGTATAAGTGTTTCATGAGAACTTCTCAAGGAGAGGGAATAGAATAGATGATGACAACAAAGCAGCCCAATATCATCTACCTTTATCTGTTCGCAAAATCTACACCCATGAGGTCGCTCATGCCTGTAACCCCAGCACTTTGGGAGGCCAAAGTGGGTGGATCACCTGAGGCCAAGAGTTCGAGACCAGCCTGGCCAACATGGCAAAACCTCATCTGTACTAAAAATATAAAAATTATCCGGGCACGATGACGCGTGCCTGTAATGCCAGTTGCTCGGGAGGCTGAGGCACAAGAACTGCTTGAACCTGGGAGGTAGAGGTTGTGGCGAACTGAGATCGCACCACTGCACTCCAGCCTGGGCAAGAGAGTGAGACTATTTCTCAAAAAAAAAAAAAAAAAATCCATTCCCTGAGCCTTCATAGGTGCTGCAGTTGGAGCCAAGATTTGGCACTGACCTTTCTAGCAGTCCAAGAACTAGACAGTGATTCTGAGGCTCTCAGTGCCCACAGATCAAAATAGGCCCAGGACTCAGGAGTTCCTAGTCATAGTTGTAGTCGCTGATGTTTATCAAAATTCAGTAGGCACTGTTCTGAGCAACTGATGTACACTGAAGCACAGAGAGGTTGAGTGGCTTAGGCAAAGTCACACAGCATGCATGTGGTAGAAGCAGGACTCGGTGCTAGGACATTTGGCTTCAGAGCTGGGGGCTTAACCACTCGATTCATCTTCCAGGAGAGAAATGTCTCCTGAGGGAGGGAGTCTTACATGACGAAAGAGAAAGCAGGTGTGAGGGGGAAGGAGGAGAGGAGCCAAGGCAGAGGGAGGAAGAGAGACTGACCTATGGGAACAGAGGCAGATGGGAAGAGAGTGGGGGCTGCTGGGGTCATTAGCACTCTGGCCTGGCAGCCCCCGCCCCTGCTCCCTCACCAGCCCTGGCTTCTGGTAGGTACTCCGTGGAAGGCTTCATCGACAAGAACAGAGATTTCCTCTTCCAGGACTTCAAGCGGCTGCTGTACAACAGGTGAGCACGGCTTGCTGGGCACCATAGGGAGGGCCAGGGCCCTGGGGCCCCAGAGACTCTGGGGTCAGGCATTGACTAGCGTCAGGACGTGGGTGGGTGGGGCTGCTCTCCCAGAGGATGGCTGGGAATTCGGCCTGTGTCTGCAGCACGGACCCCACTCTACGGGCCATGTGGCCGGACGGGCAGCAGGACATCACAGAGGTGACCAAGCGCCCCCTGACGGCTGGCACACTCTTCAAGAACTCCATGGTGGCCCTGGTGGAGAACCTTGCCTCCAAGGTATGTTCCACCCCTCTCCCACTCTGGCTGTTCCGGATCCTTCTCTCTGTGCCCTCGGTGCCAAGTAGGGTCCCAACCACCTCTGTACATCATAGTGGTGGGGAGAGGGTTCTTGTCCTGTCTGTATGAGCCACATCTGCTCCAGCAGTGGACCCCACCCACTGCACAGGTGAGATGTGGGGCCTCAGGGGCTGGGCTGAGGCTTGATCAATCATGGGGAACCCAGGCTTCTCCTCGCCCCATTGTCTCTTGAACAGGGAGGGGTTTGGGGAGACCCTGCTGAGAGGCTGGCTTGGCCCAGCCCAGCTCTTGGCAAAAACCCAGGATTCTTCTGGCAGGTGGGGCCAGAGAGACAGGAAACTGGCACAAGCTTTCTTGGGGAGCTTTGGGTCAAAAGTCAGAAGAGGAACAGGTGAAGGGTCAGGGAGAGGACATGTTAGGGTGAGCTTAACTACAGAACATCCAGAGATGTCAGCCCCTTTTGGAAGGAGAGAAGGAAGGCAGATGGGGCGAGGCCTGCTCCTGCCCCTGCCACGCCCACCTCCCCACCCCCCGACCAGGGGCTGGAACCTGGCTCTGAACCTGGCCTTGCTGGCCTCTGCCCAGCACTTAGGGCTTCCAGGGCCCTTGTTCTGCTGATTTCCCTTCTTTGTTCCCAACTCTTCTCCTGGCCTGGGACCTTGAGGGGTTAGGAAGCCCCTGGTGTGGGGCAGGGTGCACAGTGCTGCTGGCGCAGACCCTCTCCAAGTCCCCTCTGTCCCTGCAGGAGCCCTTCTACGTCCGCTGCATCAAGCCCAATGAGGACAAGGTAGCTGGGAAGCTGGATGAGAACCACTGTCGCCACCAGGTCGCATACCTGGGGCTGCTGGAGAATGTGAGGGTCCGCAGGGCTGGCTTCGCTTCCCGCCAGCCCTACTCTCGATTCCTGCTCAGGTACTGGCACCTGACACCCATCACTCCATGGGCCATAGTCCCTGTGTGGAGTCCAAGGGGTAGGAGCAGAGGGTCCCCAAACAGCACGTCGCAAACATCGATACAAGCAGGAACCAGCACGCTGCTGGCCTCAAGACACCAAAATATCTGGGAAGACATGTGTGTGAGCACATGCATGTGGGGACATACAGGTGGGAACATGGGTATGAGGGCTGTGTGAGGACATGTATGTGAGGACATGTGTATGGGAAGACATATGTGCACAGGTGTCATAAGTGCTCCAGGAACACACTCTGTATCCCTGCCATCTCCCCAGGTGTGGGGTGGGCAGGGTGGGCTCCATCATCTCTCCCCCAGGCCTGGGCCACACTGCCCTGTCCTGTGGTGACAGGTACAAGATGACCTGTGAATACACATGGCCCAACCACCTGCTGGGCTCCGACAAGGCAGCCGTGAGCGCTCTCCTGGAGCAGCACGGGCTGCAGGGGGACGTGGCCTTTGGCCACAGCAAGCTGTTCATCCGCTCACCCCGGACACTGGTCACACTGGAGCAGAGCCGAGCCCGCCTCATCCCCATCATTGTGCTGCTATTGCAGAAGGTGAGGTGGGCGGGGCAGGAAGACATCCACTATGGAGGTGGGGAAAGCTTGTGTCCCAGGGGCCACAAACACACTTGTAAGTTTCACAGGAGTCTCTGCTTGATGGAGACAGGCCAGGGAGTGCTCAATAAATGCTCAGGGCCAGGTTTGGGTCTAAGGGTTAGGGCCTGATTGAATTTGACTGCGTATCCCATCCCACCTGGCCCACCCAGGCATGGCGGGGCACCTTGGCGAGGTGGCGCTGCCGGAGGCTGAGGGCTATCTACACCATCATGCGCTGGTTCCGGAGACACAAGGTGCGGGCTCACCTGGCTGAGCTGCAGCGGCGATTCCAGGCTGCAAGGCAGCCGCCACTCTACGGGCGTGACCTTGTGTGGCCGCTGCCCCCTGCTGTGCTGCAGCCCTTCCAGGACACCTGCCACGCACTCTTCTGCAGGTACTACTCTCAGCCCACCACACATTCCATTCAGCTGGCATCCACTGAATACCTTAACCCATCATCCCGGGCCTGCAGTGCCTGGATGGGAGATACACCAGCCCCCTTGATAGGTGGGAAGGTGGATGCTATGCCACATTAGCTGACTGCTCATGTCCCACAGTTGGTGCAGAGCCCTGACCATCTTGGGTACTGTGGTGGGCATTCAAGGTCCAGGGCTGCAGCCTGCAGGGGGAGGCCCATTAGGGCTGGGAAGTAAGGGGATTCTGCATCTGAGCGGGGTCTTGAGGGCTGAGTAGGAGTTCTCCAGAAGGAGGGGCACAGAGCATGCTCAGAACAGGAGGACACTGGGCGACTGCTGGTCCCTGGGTCACCTTCCAGGAACAAGCGTTAGGCACAAGGGGCCAAGGCCAGAGAGGCCGGCAGAGGTTGGGACATGAAAGGCAGGCAGCACCAGGCTGAGGGCTCAGCTTCCTCTGTGGAGAGGGGGCTCAGGGAGCACATGAACACATGGCCAGCATCTGTCTGACTACATGCCCTCTCCCAGGTGGCGGGCCCGGCAGCTGGTGAAGAACATCCCCCCTTCAGACATGCCCCAGATCAAGGCCAAGGTGGCCGCCATGGGGGCCCTGCAAGGGCTTCGTCAGGACTGGGGCTGCCGACGGGCCTGGGCCCGAGACTACCTGTCCTCTGTAAGTGCCAGGCGAGTCCAGGGCTGCCAGGGGGAAGTGGGCTGCCAAAGAGGGCTCTCGGCTAATGCTGTGACCAGGTCCCCTCAGATGTCCTCTCCCAGGCCTGGGGTTGTCTGTCCTGGTGGCCCTGTACCTCAGCCCCCACCAGAGCTCTGCAAGGTCTCATCCTGGGCTTCAGGAGCAGTGGCCTTCGGGGGTGGGTGTGGATGACAGGAGGGCCAGGCTCAGATGCAGCCTAGAAGTCAACACAAGAGGGCTCTGTGCCCTCAGGAAATCCAGGGCTGCTCAGCTCACGCACAAGTCTGTGTGACTCAGTTTCCCGAGATGAAGGATAGCTATGCTGATTCACAGACAGCTGCTATCAATTGAGTCTGGTCCCATGACTCAATCCCAAGCAGCGCCCCCTCCCCTCCATCTGTCCTCAGGCCACTGACAATCCCACAGCATCAAGCCTGTTTGCTCAGCGACTAAAGACACTTCAGGACAAAGATGGCTTCGGGGCTGTGCTCTTTTCAAGCCATGTCCGCAAGGTTAGACAAGGGACAAGGATGGCTTCAGGGCTGTGCTCTTTTTCTAGCCACGTCTGCAAGGTTAGAAGCTGGTGCAGAGTTTTGGGGGGGCACTTGGGAGAAAATGGAGGCAACCCCAGCCCAGGCCCAGCTGCTCCTGACACTCCCAAAACTGTCGCCAGCGGGGAGGGGAGGCAGTAGGGACTGCCGAAGCCTGGGGCCCTGGTGGGTGACAGGGCAGCACCAGCCTGGGTCCAGCCACCTCTCCCACAGGTGAACCGCTTCCACAAGATCCGGAACCGGGCCCTCCTGCTCACAGACCAGCACCTCTACAAGCTGGACCCTGACCGGCAGTACCGGGTGATGCGGGCCGTGCCCCTTGAGGCGGTGAGCAATGTGGGTGGGGAGTAGGGTGCAGCATCTGTGAGGGGCACTGCTGGGCTGCTCAGAGTCCTGCCTCAGTCTTCTCTCCCCTGTTTACCTGAGATGGCCCAGACCATCCTAAAACTCAGCGATGGTGGCACCCGTGCTGAAAATCCTGCAGTGGCTTCCCACGCCCACAGAGTGAAAGGTCCCATCCTGTGATCCCCACCAGCCCAGTCACCCCCCACCCCCACTCTCACACTCTAGCCAAGCCAAATGGTCCCCTCTTCCAACTTGTGCCCAACTGGGGTTCTCCCACCTGGGCATTCTGGGACCTGAGTACCCACCACAATGTTCTGGGCCTCCTGTGGGATACCGTCCCGGCCACTCCGGAACCTTCTGCCGAGCTCTGTGGCCTACTTGCTCCCTTCATTAGCAGCTGCTGTTCCCATAAATTCTCTTTCCCACAAGACGGGGGTAGGGATCAAGGCCAGGCTACCTCTGGGTCTCCCACAGTTTCAGGGGTCCCATGACTGTCCCAATAGAAAGGGCGGTGAGTGCCTTGCTGTGTAATGCCACAGCCCAAAGCCGGCGTGGTTGTTTAAATGCAGTGAAAGTGACCTAGAACTAAAAACGGCTCCTCCAGGCAGTAGCACATGCAAGGGCTTAGCATCCACAGGTGAGCAGTGGCGGCCCTGTTGGACAGCAAGGATCTAGAACCATCAGTCCTGGAGAAAATCGTATTGTGCAGCGTCCCGCCCAAGCTTCCCCCTGTCAGCAGGGCCCCGAGAGGGAGGAGGGGGCGGTGGGGGGCTGGTGGCCCTGGCGAGGGCGGCGCTCCCCGGGTGCGGTTGGGGGTTCGGCAGAGGCTTCCTGGGGAGGGGGTGAGTCCGGCTAGGCTGGGGTGCGGGTTGAGGCGGCTGCACTCTGACCCCGCGCTCCGCTCAGGTGACGGGGCTGAGCGTGACCAGCGGAGGAGACCAGCTGGTGGTGCTGCACGCCCGCGGCCAGGACGACCTCGTGGTGTGCCTGCACCGCTCCCGGCCGCCATTGGACAACCGCGTTGGGGAGCTGGTGGGCGTGCTGGCCGCACACTGCCAGGGGTGAGTGCAGGCTGGGCGGTAGCGGGCACGAAGCCCCGGCCGCGTGGCCGCCCTGACCCCTCCTCCTGCCGCAGGGAGGGCCGCACCCTGGAGGTTCGCGTCTCCGACTGCATCCCACTAAGCCATCGCGGGGTCCGGCGCCTCATCTCCGTGGAGCCCAGGCCGGAGCAGCCAGAGCCCGATTTCCGCTGCGCTCGCGGCTCCTTCACCCTGCTCTGGCCCAGCCGCTGAGCGCCCGCACCCGCCGCACCCCGAGGCCGCCAATTGTCCGCCCCGCCAGCGCTGCAAATAAACCTTCTGAGTCAGCCCTCCTGCTCGCCGCTCCCGCCTCACCCGCAGGGGCTCCGGCCGCCTCCTCGGTCAGGTCCACCTGCGCCCGGCTCACCCGCTGGGGACCCGACTGCAGGAGGCCAGGCGCCCCGGCTAGGGATAGGAGCCCGAGCTCTCGGAGTTAGCGCTATCCAGAGGAAGCAGTGCCCTTTGTGCCCCAGCCTGCCCCGTCCACGCAGTGGTCCCCTGCTCCTCTCCACAGGGCTCCTGGCCTTGTTCCTACCTGGCCACTGGCGAGGGCTTGGGGTTCATCTTCAGGCAGGGCTGGGGAGCACGCCTGGAGACAGAGCTGTCACGGGATGTGGTGCCAAGCCGCCGTGGCCCAGGGCTGACGCTATCCCAGCCGCGAGCTGTCCCTGTCCCTGCTGGATGTGGGTGTCTGAGGCGCTGGGACCGACCTCTGGAGCCTAGTAACTGAAGGACAGGCCCTGCGGCCAGAACTCCCAGCCTCCGGGAGCAGGGCCTGTGCCCTCGAAAGACCCACAGGGAGGCCTTGGGAGACCCCTGCAGCCCCCAGGCTGACCACCCCATCTCCAGGCCTACCCCAGCCTCAGCCTCCAGCAGCTCCGCCAGCCCCTCAGGGGCCCTCATGGCACCAGGCCCTCAGCCTCTCAGCCCTCTGCCTCCCTCAGCCCCTCTGCCTCCCTCAGCCCCCTCAGCCCTCAGCTCTCTCAGCCCCTCAGCACCCTCAATCCCCCTCACCCCTTAGCCCTCAGCCTCCTTCAGCCCCTCAGCCCCTTCAGCCTCTCAGCCCCTCAGCCCCTTCAACCCCTCAGCCCTCAGACCCCTCAGCCCTCAGCCCCTCAGCCTTCAACCCCTCAGCTCCTCAGCCCTCAGCTCCCTCAGCCCCTTCAGCCCCTTAGCCCGTCAGCCCCTTCAACCCCTCAGCCCTCAGCCCCTCAGCCTTCAACCCCTCAGCTCCTCAGCCCTCAGCTCCCTCAACCCCTCAGCCCTCAGCCCCCTCAGCCTCCTCAGCCCCTCAGCCCTCAGCCCTCAGTCCCTCAGGCCCTCAGCCCCTCAGCCCTCAGCCTCCTCAACCCCTCAGCCCCTCAGCCCTCAGCCCCCCGACCCCCAGCCCCCTCAACCCCCTCAACCACTCAGCCCCTCAGCCCTCTCAGCCCCCTCAGCCCCTCAGCCCTCAGCCCTTAACCCCCTCAGCCCTCAGCCCCCAGCCCCCTCAACCCCCTCAGTGCTCAGCCCCCTCAAACCCTCAGCCCCTCAGTCCTCAGTCCCCTCAACCCCTCATCCCCTCAGCCCCCTCAGCTCCCTCCTCAGCCCTTACCCCCCTCAGCCCTCAGCCCCCCAGCCCCCAGCCCCCTCAACCCCCTCAACCACTCAGCCCCTCAGCCCTCTCAGCCCCCTCAGCCCCTCAACCCTCAGCTCCCTCAGCCCTCAGCCCTTACCCCCCTCAGCCCTCAGCCCCCCAGCCCTCAGCCCCCTCAACCCCTCAGCGCCTCAGCCCTCTCAGCCCTCTCAGCCCTCTCAGCCCCCTCAGCCCCTCAGCCCTCTCAGCCCCCTCAGCCCCTCAGCTCTCAGCCTCTCATCTCTCAGCCTCCTTCAGCCCCTCAGCCTCCTCAACCCCTCAGCCCCTCAGCCCTCAGCCCCTTCAGCCCCCTCAACCCCCTCAGCCCTCAGCCTCCTTGAGCCCCTCTGCCCCCTCAGCCCCAGCCCCTCAGCCCTCAGCCCCTTGAGCCCCTCTGCCCCCTCAGCCCCTCAGCCCCTCAGCCCTCAGCCCCATCAGCCCCTCAGCCCTTAGCCCTCAGCCCCTCAGCCCTCAGCCCCCTCAGACCCCTCAATCCCCTCAGCCCTCAGCCCTTTAGCTCCTTCCTCTTTTCCATCAGTTGGTGTTCTCTGTGCCCCCAGAGCTGTGCTCTCCTTCTTATGGGGCAACCTAAATTCAGAGAGCACCCTGGCTTGGTTTGCCACTTTGTTGTGTGGGCAGGTTCACGTCTTCCACCAGGGCCTTTGGGTGGCATATGACAGTTTGGGACTGTCCAGTCTCTGTACTTTCTGGGGCCTCTCCTGTTGAATGGCTAGGCACCTGCAGGTGTAGGGGCTCAGGGTCACCTCCGGCCTGCAGGTCAATGTCTTGCTGCTCCTGTCCTGGGGAGGGCAGCTCTCTCCTAGCCCAACCCAAAAGCCCCCAGAAGCCTCCACACAGCCAGCTCCGGAGTCTGTCCTTGGCTTAGGTGGCTTCAGGACTGGGCCAGGCACCTCCCTCACAGGACAATCAGACATGAAGGGTACCTTTCAATCACACAATCCTACACAGTCCTAGACATTAGGTGGGTCCTCTGCCCTCTGCAGGTGACCTCATCAGAGAGCCCAGCAGCATCTGCCCATTTCCTGTCTACATTCTCCTCCCTAGTGCACTGGGAGTGGGAGGAGAGCCCAAAGCTCCCCCAGATCTTTAGGAAGCCCCACTGTCAGGCTGAGTGGAGGGCCTTAGTGACAAGTGATAACTTCAGGGAAGTCCAGAGTGGGAGACACATCTGGGGTCCAGCTTGCTGGTGGGCACTCCCTGCTCATGCCCACAGCCTCGAGGGGAAAAGGTCATAATTGACAGGTGGTTCCTGGGGTCCTGAGATCCAGCCCAAGGGATGGGACGACATGCTAGGAAGGGGAAAGTGACAGAAGGTTCATATGCATCACACACCACTTTGACAAACCCATACATAGCATTCACTATAGTGAATAGAAAAACTCACGAAGCACCATAGTTCCAGCACTTTGCAAATATCCCCCACCCAATACCTTTGAGGTGAGAGTTACCATCATTGCCTAGTTACTGGTGAGAAAACAGAGGTTCCATGACGTGCCTGAGGCACTGAGGGGGATGATGTCAGCACTTGTGGCCGCACGTGCAGGCACACGCCCTCCATGTCACACCAGTGCACTCACTTTGCAGATGAGGAGCGATGCCTGAGCACTGGGATGGCATCATTGGCTTGTGTTGGACAGTGCCTATATAGGAGTCCAGCTTCTACCCACTTGTTCCAGTCTATCCACATTTTCCACCAACAGAACGAGTTTACTAGAAACCTCTCCTCAAATTGGTACAAGGACTACATGACATGGCATGTGATGACACACACACAGAGGAGATCCTTTTTCCAGCATGCAGGAAGAGGAGATCCCATACATGGGCTTGGGGGTGGCTTCCCTCACTGCAGTGTCCGGTCCCCCAGCAGCTCTGGGAGCAGGAGTGACTATCTCCGTTTTGCAGATGAGGAAGCAGAACCATAAAGGTGACCTTTTTTCTTTTTCTTTTTTACATTTAAAGTTAAATTGGTCTCCCCTCAAAAAATGCTTAGACTTAATTATTTTAATTATCCTCACATATACTCCTCCGGCTTCTTTACTGAAGTGTAATTTACACACCATAAAACTTACCATTTGAAAACGTGCAATTCGGTAATCTTTAGTATATTCATAAGGTTGTGCAACCAACCAACACCATTATCTAATTTTAGAACATTTTCATCACCCCAAAACGAAACCCATACCCATCAGCAGTCACTCTTCGTTACCTGGTAGTAATTACCTACCCCTACCCTCAGCCCTTGGAAACCACTAATGTACTTTCTGTTTCTTCAGTTATGCCTATTTTGGATATTTAGTATAAATGGGATCATACAATATATGGCCTCATCTGTCTGGCTTCTTTCACTGAGCATAGTGTCTTCGAGGCTCAACCATATCGTAGCATCTGTCAGTACTTCACTCTTCTATGTACTACTAATATTGCACTGTATGGAGACACCACATTTTGTTTATCCATTCATCAGGTGATGGACATCTGGGTTGGCTATTATGAACAGTGGTGCTAGGAACATTTGTGTATAAGTTTTTGTGTGGACACATGTTTCCAATTCTCTTGGTATGTATCTAGGAGTGGAATCTCTGGGTCAAATGGTAATTCTTTTTTTATTTGTTTTTTGTTTTGTTTTGTTTTGTTTTGAGACGGAGTTTTGCTCTTGTTGCCCAGGCTGGAGTGCAATGGCGTGATCTCGGCTCACTGCAACCTCCACCTCCTGGGTTCAAGCGATTCTCCTGCCTCAGCCTCCCAAGTAGCTAGGATTACAGGGATGCGCCACCATGCCTGGCTAATTTTGTATTTTTAGCAGAGATGGGGTTTCTCCATGTTGGTCAGGCTGGTCTCAAACTCCCAACCTCAGGTGATCTGCCCACTTCGGCCTCCCAAAGTGCTGGGATTACAGGCGTGAGCCACTGGGCCCGGCCATCAAATGGTAATTCTATGTTTGACTTTCTGGGGAACCACCAGATAGTTTTTCAAAGTGGCTGCACCATTTTACATTCCCACAACTAATACATGGGGTTCCAACTTCTCTACATCTATGCCAATATGTTATTTTCTGAAGTTTTGGTGTTTTTTGTTTTTTGTTTTTTCTTGAGATGGAGTCTCGCTCTGAGGCCCAGGCTGGAGTGCAGTGGTGCGACCTCTGCTCACTGCAAGCTCTGCCTCCCAGGTTCATGCCATTCCCCTGCCTCAGTCTCCCGAGTAGCTGGGACTACAGGCGCCCGCCATCACGCCCAGCTAATTTTTTTTGTATTTTTATTAGAGACGGGGTTTCACCGTGTTAGCCAGGATGGTCTCAATCTCCTGACCTTGTGATCTGCCCACCTCGGCCTCCCAAAGTGCTGGGATTACAGGCGTGAGCCACCGTGTCCAGCCAAGTTTTGGTGTTTTTGTTTTGTTTTATTTTGTTTTTCTGAGACAGAATTTTGGTCTGTCGCCCAGGCTGGAGTGCAATGGCGCAGTATCAGCTCACTGCAACTTCTGCCTCCTGGGTTCAAGCGATCCTCCTGCCTCAGCCTCCCAAGTAGCTGGGATTACAGGTGCCCGCCACCATGCCTGGCTAATTTTTGTATTTTCAGTAGAGACAAGGGTTCACCATGTTGGCCGGGCTGGTCTCGAACTCCTGACCTCAGGTGATCCGCCTGCCTCAGGCTCCCAAAGTGTTTCTTTTTTTTTTTTTTTTTAATGGCCTTCCTAAAGGATGTGAAGTCTTACCTAATTGCAGTTTTGATGCACGTTTCCCTAATAATGAATTATGTTGGACAACTTTTCATGTGCTTATTGGCCATTCATATATTGTCTTTGAAGGAATGTTTATTCAAAATTCTTTTTTTTTTTTTTGAGATGGAGTCTCACTCTGTTGCCCAGGCTGGAGTGCAGTGGTGCGATCTTGGCTCACTGCAAGCTCCACCTCCCGGGTTCAGCCATTCTCCTGGCTCAGCCTCCCAAGTAGCTGGGACTACAGGCACCCACCACCACGCCCGGCTAATTTTTTGTACTTTTACTAGAGACGGGGTTTCACCGTGTTAGCCAGGATGGTCTCGATCTCCTGACCTCGTGATCCACCTGCCTCGGCCTCCCAAAGTGCTGGGATTACAGGCATGAGCCACCGCACCTGGCCAGTTTATTCAAAATTCCTTGCCCCCGCCCCACTTTTTCTTTTCTTTTCTTTTTCTTTTTTTTTTTTTTTTTTTTAGACAGAACCTTACTCTGTCACCCAGGCTGGAGTGCAGTGGTGTGATCTTGGCTCACTGCAATCTGTATCTCCCTGCAACCTCAGCCTCCCAGGTTCAAGCAATTCTCATGCCTCAGCCTCCCAAGTATCTGAGTCTACTGGTGTGTGCCACCACGTCCAGCTAATTTATATATTTTTTTGCAGAGACGTGGTCTCACCATGTTGGCCGGGCTGGTCTTGAACTCCTGGCCTCAAGCAATCCACCTGCCTCGGCCTCCCAAAATGCTGAGATTACAAGCATGAGCCACCACGCCTGGCCTCCCCCAACAACCCCCCCCCCTTTTTTTTTTTTTTAAATTCATGGACTGTAGGCCATTCTCCAGTGGTCACCAGGGTGCTCCTTTTCCATGCAGGGAAAGGCTTGCTCTAGCCTCTGTCTGCTGTGACCCCCTCTCTGCCTGGTTGGTGAGGAGGGGCAAGCGCTCTGGCCAGACAGCAGGTTCTACAGCCATGTGGGTGCGTAAGCACCGCAGGTGGGCATTGACAAACTCATCCTCTCCAAAAACTGCTCCTGAGCCCCAGAAGGGTCAGAGCTTTGCCCGCAAGCCCCCCTCCCCTAGAATGCAGCCATGTCTTCTGGAAGCTCTGTCCTGGCCTAAAGTGATGCTCAGCCCCCGGAGCTCCTGAAGAACAGATGGAGCAGTAACCCCTGGCTTGCTGTCACTCTGCTGCAGGGTCACAAGATACTTGAGCTGGAGGCCACAGAGAGCACTGTGACACACTGTCCCTCCCAGGAGCCCAGACCCCACCTTGATGCGTGAGACGGATCTAGGGAAGATGCTGGGAGGGGCTGGAGAGAGGCGCTGCAGGCCAGGGTAATCAGAAACAAAACTGTCGTAGAATCCGTTCTCTGTCTGTGTAGGTAGAAAAAAAAAGATGGAATATAATATTGAGAGTGCTTGTGTCCTGCTGGTGGGATTGCAGGGAGTTTCTACCCTGTTTTTGCAGGTATTTTCCTATTTTCCCCCGAATTGCTACAATGAATGCTGCCAAGTCATGCCAGTTTATAGGTGGCCGGGTACAGAGTGGCTGTAGGCCAGGGGTTGTCTGTGCTCCCATGGTTCCCCCATGTGCTGAGCTCTCAGCAGGAGGGCAGTATTTCATCAGGGGTTGAGGCCAGCTCCATCTTGGACTAAAATAAGCAGCCTTGGACCAAGGCCACCCAGGACCAAGATAAGCAGCAGGGTGGGGGTAGGCAGCTTCCTGTTGACCCCTACCTGCCCCTTAAGCTAGCCAAAACAGTTGCCTCCATCCCTGTCAGTTGGGAGATGGTACTTTTTGAGGCTGGACCTGGGAAATTCAACCTGGCTTTGGTCAACATGCATATAATGGGGTGGGAATAGGCCTCATCTGTGGGGTGAGGCCTCCACCTCCAGCACCTGGTAGAGAAGTCCAAGGGTACTGGCTCCCACAGAGCAGGGGCTGGGAGAAGTCCTGAGACTGAGAGGCCTGCACAAATCACTTTAGTAACACCCAATGCAACCAAGATATGCTCTTGCTTTTACTTTTGCTTGGAGAAAAAAATCCTTACAGGCTACAAAAGGTCAGAATATTCTAGAAAGCAAATCTGAAGGAACATGACCATCTGTTCAGTTTAAATCTTCACTGAGCTGAGCAAACAGAAGAATAATCCTGCAGATGGAGAAATGCTGCACATCACAAGGTCCGTATCATAGCAGTGTGAGGTTAGCTTCCCCAGGTCCAGTTCCCATACACCATCCATTACTCTGCTCTGTTTATCAGAAAAATGTGCCACCAAGCAATCAATACATTTTCCAAGTGAACAAAACAGGACAGAAACCTCCCAGCTCTTCCTTAGCAATAAGCCATGCTGAGTGTTCCTCCCCACACAGGGCTGACCTCACCACACTGCTGTGACCCCAGCCTGAGCAGAGGGAGACAGAGCAGAAAGGAATTGACCACAGCTGCTGCAAGGACAGGCTGAGTGTGGAGGTGAGAGCGCAGAGCCAGCAAGCAGCCTCTGAGTGTGAAAACCCATTAATCTCATGAATGAGGCTGGTGACAAGCCACATGGGTGGATGGGACAGGACCAAGTGTGGAGTAAGAGGCTGAGCACCAGAGAATGGCGCAGAGGCTTGGGAAGGCCAGGCTAGTCTAGGTGATTGTGACCACCCAGCTGTTCCGGGCTTGTCTGGAAAAAATGTGTTCTTAGGAAAGTGATAGTGCCATGGTTTGACTGTATCCCTTCTGAAATTCAGGTGTTGCCAATGTGCTTGTCCTAAGAGGTGAGGCGTTTAAGAGGTTGGCCGGGCACAGTGGATCTGTAATCCCAGCACTTTGAGAGGCCAAGGCAGGGGGATTACTTGAGGCAAGGAGTTCGAGACCAGCCTGGCCAACAAGGAGAAAATCTCTACTAAAAATACAAAAAATTAGCTGGGTGTGGTGGTGGGTACCTGTAATCCCAGCTACTTGGGAGGCTGAGGCAGGAGAATCACTTGAATCCAGGAGGCGGAGGCTACAGTGAGCCAAGATCACACCATTTCACTCTAGCCTGGGCAACAAGAGCAAAACTCTGTCTCAAAAAAAAAAAAAAAAGAGAGATGATTATGTGGACTTCTTCGGTAGTAATGGGATTAAGACCCTTACAAAAGAGGCTTCATGCAGCATTTGGCTGGTTTGCTCTCTTGACCTTCTACCTTTTGCCATGAGATGACACAGCAAGAAAGCCCCTTACCACATGCTGGTAACTTGATCTTGGACTTCCTAGCCTCCAGAACTGTGAGAAGTAAATTTCTTTTCATTATTAGTTACCCAGCCTGTGGTATTCCGTCATAGCAACACAAACAGACTAAGGCAGAAATTGATACCAGAAGTGGGGTGGTACCAAGAGCGGGAGGCTGAGGCAGGTGGATCACTTGAGGTCAGGAGTTTGAGACCAGCCTGGCCAACATGGCAAAACCGTGTCTCTACTAAAAATACAAAAATTAGCCAGGCGTGGTGGTGTGCACCTGTAGTCCCAGCTACTCAGGAGGCTGAGGCAGAAGAATCACTTGAACCCAGGAGGCGGAGGCTGCAGTGAGCTGAGAGCATGCCACTGCACCCCAGCCTGGGTGACAGAGCGAGACTCCATCTCAAAAAACAATTTTTTTTTAATAAAAAAATTTTTTAAAATTAGAGGAAAGGCCATCCTTGTTATACAATTGCTAAGAACTTTGCAGAACTGTGTTTGTGTCCTAGGACTTAATGTATGGAACGCAGAACTTGAGAGCTATGAACTAGAGTATTTGGCAGAATAAATCTCTAGGCAGCAAAATGTTTAGGATGGTGCATGGCTTCTCTTACCTGCTTATGGTAAAGTGAGATGCGAGAAAGACAGAGAAAGATGAAAGACAGAGTTTTTAATTAAAAGGGAAGTAGAATGTAAAGATTTGGAAAATTCCCAGCCTGGTCAGAATAGAAAGAATAAAAAAGTGTGTTTAAGAAAGAAAACTAAGGGTGTGGCCAAACAACATTTAATCGGGAGATTATGGCTAGAAGGAAGCCAGGTACTATTCATCCAGACAATGGGAGAGTGACTTTGAAGGCATTCCAGATATCTTCAGGGCTGCTATACCCATCACAGGCTTAGAGTGATAAGGCCTTGAGGGCAGAAGAGTTTCAAAGGAGGGGTCCAAGATGCCCAAGGGACCTTGGGGCTTACTGTCCAGGGCCACCTCAGGTCTCTGTTCCCCACTCTCGCACAGCAGTCCTTGGCCACCCCAGCTGTGGCTCAGGTGGGCTCGGGTGTGGCTGAGTTGCCATACCACAAGTGGGCTGCCCACTCAAGAGGACACAAGCAGTGAGCCTTGGTGGCATCAACATAGTGCTAACTCTGCAGGTGCACAGAGTGCACAAGCTGTAGAAGCATAGCTACCTCCACCTACATTCCAAAAGATGTCTCAAACAGCCTCAGGGTCCAGGTAGTGACTTGCTGCAGGGGGAGAGCCACAAATGAGAGCATCCACTAGGGCAATGCTTAATGGAGCCATGGGAGTGGGGCTGCCCCCAAGACCTCAGACCTGTAAAGTCACCAGCGGGCATGAAAATTCAATGCATGAAACTTGAGCGTAGTCTGTGGCCAACAAAGCCATGGAGTCAGGGCTGCCTAAGGCCTTGGGAGCCCAACCCCTGCCCTACTCTGTTCAGATGGCAGGACATGAAGTCAAAGAAGATTGTTCTTCTTTTTTAATTTTTAAAAAATATTTTTAAATTATACATTTATTTTTTACTTAAAATTTACGTATTTATTTATTTTAAAAAAATGTTTTAAACAGAGTTTCCCCTCTGTCACCCAGGCTGGAGTGCAGTGGCGCCATCTCGGCTCACTGCAACCTCCACCTGCTGGGCTCAAGCGATTCTCCTGCCTCAGCCTCCCGAGTAGCTGGGATTGCAGGCACCTGCCACTATGGCTGGCTAATTTTGTTTTCTTTTGTTTTGTTTTAAGACAGAGTTTTGCTCTTGTTGCCCAGGCTGGGATGCAATGTGCGATCTCAGCTCACCGCAACCTCCGCCTCCCGGGTTCAAGCGATTCTCCTGCCTCAGCCTTCTGAGTAGCTGGGATTACAGGCATGCACCACCATGCCCTGCTAATTTTATATTTTTAGTAGAGACGGGGTTTCTCCATGTTGGTCAGGCTGGGCTCGAACTCCCAACCTCAGGTGATCTGCCCACCTTGGCCTCCCAAAGTGCTAGGATTACAGGTGTGAGTCACTGCACCCGACCTATTTATTTTTAAAGTAGAGGTGGGTTCTTGCTGTGTTGTCCAGGCTGGTCTTGAACTCCTGGACTCAAGCAATCCTCCCACCTTGGCCTCCAAAGTGCTGGGATTACAGGGGTGAGCTGTCACACCTAGCCAAATATTATTAAGTCTTAAGATTTAATGTTATTTATTCTGTTGGGTTTTGGACTTACTTGGGACCTGTTACTCCTTCCTTCTTTCCTATTGCACCCTTTTGGAATGAGAATGTTTATGCTATGCCTGTTCCTCTATTGTATTTTGGAAACAAGTACTTGTTTGATTCCACAGATTCACAGCTGGAGAACAATTTGCCTCAGGAAGAATCACACCTTGAGTCTCACTCATATTTGATTTACCTGAGACTTTTGATTTTAGACTTTTGAGTTGATTCCGGAAGGAGTTAAGACTTTTGGGGCTATTGGAATGAAATGAATGCATTTTGTATGTGAGAAGGACATAAGTTTTGGGGAGGGTATGGAGCAGAACGCTATGGTTTGGATGTATCCTCTCCAAAATTCAGATGTTACCAGTGTGCTGACATTAAGAGATGGGACCTTTAAGAGGTGATTACGCCATGAGGGCTCCTTCCTAATAAGGAATGAATACATAAATGGGATAAATAAATTAATGAGATTAAGGCTCTTAAAAAAGAGCCTTCATGCTGCACTTGGCTAGCTTGCTGTCTTGCCTTTCTGCCTTCTGCCATGAGATGACACAGCAGAGGGCCCTCACCCGATGGTGGCAACTTGATCTTGGACTTCCCAGTCTTCAGAACTGTGACAAATAAATTTCTTTTCTTTATAAATTATTTAGTCTGTGGTATTCTTTTTCAAATTGACATATCATAGTTGTACATATTTGGAGGGTACGTATGATATTTCGATACATGTATATAATTGTTTTTTTGAGATGGAGTCTCACTCTGTCACCCAAGCTGGAATGCAGTGGTGCTATCTTGGCTCACTGCAGCTTCTGCCCCCCTAGCTCAGGCGATTCTCCTGCCTCAGCCTCCTGAGTAGCTGGGATTACAGGTGCCCACCACCATGCTTGGCTAATTTTTGTATTTTCAGTAGAGATGGGGTTTCACCATGTTGGCCAGGCTAGACTCAAACTCCTGACTTCAAGTGATCCACCTGCCTCTACCTCCCAAAGTGCTGAGATTACAGGCGTGAGCCACCACATCCAGGCAAGTATACAATATTAATCATCAAATCAGGGTAATTGGGATATTCTTCACCTCAAACATTTATCTTTTCTTTGTGTTTGGAAGTCTGTGATATTCTTTTATAGCAGCACAAATGGACTAAGACAGAAGCTCTTCACAGATCTTAAAAAGAGGAGTTAAAAATAAAAATTTGGCAGTAGCCTCTATAGAATACAGTATGTCAGTTCCTCAAAAAATTTTTTAAAAATTCTCATATGATCCAGCAATCCCAATTCTGGGTATATGTATAAAAGAGTTGAAAGGGATCTTGAGGAGACATTTGTACATCCATACGTATAGCAGCATTATTCACAATAGTTAAAAAGTGGAAGCAAGCCAAGTGTCCATTGATGGATGAATGGACCAACAAAATGTGGTATATACACGCAGTGGAATATTATTCAGCCTTAAAAAGGATGAATATTCTGACACATGCTACAATATGGATGAACCCTGAGGACATTATGCTAAGTGAAATAAGCCAGTCACAAAAAGAAATCCTGTCTGATTCCACTTATATGAGGAACCTGGAGTCATCAAATTAATACAGACAGAAAGTAGAATGGTGGCTGCCAGGGGCTGGGGGAAGGGAAATGGGGAGTTAGTGTTTAATGGGGACAGAAATTCAGTTTGGGAAGATGAAAAAGTTCTGGAGATGGATGTAGTGATTGCACATCAATGTGAATGTACTTAACACCACTGAACTGTGCACTTGAAAATTGTTAAGATGCTAATTTTTTTTTGAGACAGGGCTTGTCCTGTTGCCCAGGCTGGAGTGCAGTGACAGAATCATAGCTTATTGTAACCTTGAATTTCCAGGCTCATGTGATCTTCCTGCCTCAGCCTTCTCAGTAGCTGGGAGTACAGATGAGCACCACCACACCTGGCTAATTTTTAAATTTTTTGTGGAGATGGGGTCTCGCTATGTTGCCCAGGCTTGCCTTGAACTCCTGGTCTCAAGAGATCCTCCTCCTCAGCCTCCCAAAGTGCTGGGATTACAGGTGTGAGCCACAGTGCCAATTACTAGCTTCCTAGATTGTCACTAGAGATAGCACCTGGCTTCCTGCAAGTTTGACTTATAGCAGGTTGGCACCCCAGGCTGGTTACTGTAGATAAAAGAGGTTGTGGCTGGGCTCGGTGCCTCACGCCTGCAATCCCAGAACTTTGGGAGGTTGAGGCAGGTGGATCACTTGCACCCAGGAGTTCAAGACCAGTCTGGCCAACATGGTGAAACCCCATCTCTACTAAAAATACAAAAATTAGCCGGGCATGGTGGCGGACGCCTGTAATCCCAGATACTCAGGAGGCTGAGGCAGGAGAATTGATTGAACCCGGGAGGCGGAGGTTGCAGTGAGCCGAGATCGCGCCACTGAACTCCAGCCTGGGCAACAGAGTAAGACTCTGTCTCAGAAAAAAAAAGAAAATGTTGTTTTCCTGGGTAGGTGGCTGCAGGCTGTACTTCAGAGTTCTAGTTGTACAAATGGGCTGGTTGTCCATTTTGTATACAACTCCACACTCACAATACATTGGTGATTTGCATTATACATTTGTCTGATAGGTTTGGGTTAGTATGAGTTACTCCCCCAAAGTCTGACCAACTCTGCAAATACTCAGGACAAGTTCCAGAAATGACAAGAAACAGCCTAGGATCTGGTAATGAGATCCAGGTGTCAGAGAAGGGGCCTTATTGGAATAGACACCAATCTCTCTGAAAACCGTCACATGATTTCTCTTTAGAATTTTAATATTCATAGCAAATTAGGGGGAAATGTGCCTGTCAGATGACACAGGTCTTTGAATCTGATTAGACAGTAAAATATAAAAACAGTGGCCGGGTGCAGTGGCTCACTCCTGTAATCCCAGCACTTTGGGAGGCCAAGGAGGGCAGATCACGGGGTCAGCTGTTCAAGACCATCCTGGCCAACATGGTGAAACCCTGTCTCTACTAAAAATACAAAAAATACCTGGGTGTGGTGCCGGGCACCTGTAATCTCAGCTATTCAGGAAGCTGAGGCAGGAGAATCATTTGAACCAGGGAGCTGGAGCTTGTAGTGAGCCGAGATCACACCATTGCCCTCCAGCCTGGGTGACAGGGCGAGACTCTGTCTCAAAAAAAGAAAAAAAAAACAGTGACAGATTTCGAATTGGATTATTTATTCAAATTAGAGCTCTGTTTCTTGTTTTGGGGTTAGTATTAGGTTTCAGGATAAATTTAGTGCTAGAGTTGGCACCGGGCTTAGGGTTATTAAAATGAGCATTAGGACTAGAGTTGTTTTTAGTTGACGAGTTGGGGTTAGAATTAGAATTAGAGTAAGGGTTTACATAGGAGTTTTGTTAATCCAGGGTTTGCTTAATGATAGAGTTAATATGAGGGTAAAGATTAGTGCTGAGGTTTAGTGATACTATTAACAGTTAAATTGAAGGTTAACGACAGTGTTGGAGTTAGGATTAGAGTTGGCAATTTGATGAAGTTCATGACTATAATAAGGTAATATTTGGGGTTAGTTCAAATATTAGAGTTAGAATTAGTATTGGGTTAGGGCTAAATTTGGTGTTAGAGTTAAATTTGGATTAGTTTTGGCAATATGATTATATTTATGATTATGGTTAGGCTTAATATTTGGTTGGTATGAGGATTACCTTTAGACTTAGGGTTGGAGTTAAGGATATCGTTAGTGTTTAGGTTAATGGGGTAGAGTTGAGGTAAAGTTGATTCTCAGAGCTGGAGTTAGTTAGGGTTACAGTTAGTTTAGGGTTAGATTTAAGGTTAGGGTTAGTTTTGGGTTTGAAGTTCAGGTTAGGATTAAATTACATTTGGGTTAGGCTTAGTGTTAGGGTTTAGAATTAATGCTAATTTGGGGATTGGGTGTGGTTAGAGTATTGTTAGTGACAGATTATGTTAAATTCAGAATTAGGATTAGAGTGTGGATGTGGGTTATTGTTATAATTAGGATAAAGTTTATTAGTAGAGCTATTTGTTGTTAGGGTCAGGAGTTAGGCTTAGAGAGAGCTCTTGGATTAAGGTTTATATTCTGTTTTGGTAAGGTTATGTTTTATTTAATATAGGTGGTAACTTTGGGGTTTGACTAGGGTTAGGTTTAAGGTAAAAGTTAGATTAGGCTTGAGTCAGGCTTAATGTTATGGTTAGATTTATGATTAGGGATAGAAATAGGGTTAGGATTAAAATCAATGACAGACTTAGCTTTTGGGTTAATGCTAGTTAGGGTCTTGTTAGGCTAGAATTACAGTGAAAGTTAGGTTTAGGATTAAAATTGTGTTTGGAGAGTCAATGATAAAGTTACTGAGACAAAAGAATTCATGAACATAACTGGGATATAAAATTAACACACAGTTCAGTACCATAAAACAGAGTGGAAAACATTAAAAATAAATAAATACATAAAATTGACATACAGGAATCAATAATGCCCTACATATACACAAATCTCAACCAGTCAGAGTATACAGTGGTAGCAAACACTGTATATGTAACAGCCCAAAAAGGTCAAATACTTAGGAATAAACCTAAAATGTGCAAAACCTGGCTGGGTGCAGTGGCTCACGCCTGTAATCCCAGCACTTTGGGAGGTTGAGGCCAGCAGATCACTTGAGGTCAGGAGTTTGAGATCAGCCTGGCCAACATGGCGAAACCCGTCCCTACTAAAAATACAAAAATTGGCCTGGTGTGGTAGCGGGCACCTGTAATCCCAGCTACTCAGGAGGCTGAGGCAGGAGAATCACTTGAACCTGGGAGGTGGAGATTGCAGTGAGCCAAGATTGTACCACTGCACTCCAGCCTGGGTGACACAGCAAGACTCCATCTCAAAAAATAAATAAATAAAAATAAAATAAAATGGGCGAAACCTATATAAGCCTGTAAGATACAAGGCTAAGTATGAATAAATGGAAGACATTTGTCCCTTGTTCTTGGACAGAAAAGTCAGTATCATTATGATGTCAGTTTTCTCTAAGCAAATTTACAGATTTAACACAATTCCAATAAAAACACCAATTATGAATATAAACAAGTTATTTATTTATTTATTTATTTTTGAGACAGAGTCTTCCTCTGTTACCAGGCTGGAGTGCAGTGGCATGATCTTGGCTCACTGTAACCTCCGCCTCCCGGGTTCAAGCCATTCTCCTGCCTCAGCCTCCCAAGTAGCTGGGATTACAGGCACCCACCACCACGCCCAGCTAATTTTTGTATTTTTAGTAAAGACAGGATTTCACCATGTTGGCCAGATGGTCTCGATCTCCTGACCTTGTGATCCACCTGCCTCGGCCTCCCAAAGTGCTGGGATTACAGGTGTGAGCCACCGTGCCCGGCCCCGAATATAAACAAGTTATTTTAAAGTTCATATAGAAAAATTAGAAGGAAACAATAGCCAGGAAACCACTGAAAAAGAGAAGCTACAAGAGCCAGCTAGCCACACCAAACATTAAAACATGCTACAAAGGCCTTTAAAATGAAGAGTATGGTACTAGAATGATTACCAGTGGAATAGAAAAGAAAGTAGAGAGCCGGGCGCGGTGGCTCATGCCTGTAATCCCAGCACTTTGGGAGGCCAAGGCGGGTAGATCACTTGATGCTTGGAGTTTGAGACCAGCCTGGCCAACATGGTGAAACTCTCTTCTCTACTAAAAATACCAAGATTAGCTGGGTGTGGTGGCGCGCACCTATGGTCCCAGCTACTCAGGAGGCTGAGACAGGAGAATCACTTGAACCCAGGAGGCAGAGGTTGTAGTGAGCAGAGGTTGCACCACTGCACTCCAGCCTGGGTGACAGAGTGAGACTCTGTCTTGAAAAAAAAGAAAGTACAGGAACAGACCCAAATTCACATGAAAATTTAGTACCTGATCATAATGGTGTCTCAAACTGCTGGATCAAAAACTTTTTCCTCCATCATCTTATTATGAACATTCTCAAACACACAGAAAAGTTGAAAAGACTTATATTTTATATTCTACTTGCCTTATCACATATGTATCCATTTATCCTCTCTACTAGCCATCTTGCTTTTGTTTTCTGGGGCATTTCAAATTAAGTTGCAGGCAACAGTATACTTCCCGTATTCAGATACTTCTGTTTGCACATTATTAACTGAAGTTTGTTATTTGTTTGTGGCTCTTGTTTTTCTTTTGAGGTACAATTTACATATAACATAGTACACAAATTTTAAGTGTACCATTTGATTATGTTTTTTCCCCACTTTTTATTTGATGACAAGTGTGTATACTTTTGTAACCTAACCCCTAGCAAGGGGGTTAGAGAGCATTCCCAAACCAAACGTGCCTGCCCCTTCACCAGGCAACCACTGTTCTATTTTTTTTTCCACCATAGATTGATTATTTTTGGCCATTCTAGATGCCACACATATGGAATCACACATTAAGTACTCTTTTCTGAGGTTTCTTTCATTCAGCATATTTCTGAGGTTAAGCATGTTTATAAGTTGTTTATTCATATTTCTTGCTGAGTGATATTTCACTATAGGGATGAACCACAGAGTGTTTATCTATTCTCTGGCTACATGAACTGCTTCCAGTGTTTGGTGATTATGAATAAAGCTGCTATGAAAATTCTCATTTTAATTAAACTTTTTATTTTGAGATAAAAGGAGATTCCCAATCAGTTGTAAGAAATAATACAGCAATCTCTTGTACACTTTGCCCAGTTTCCCCCAAGGGTAACATTTGCAAAAATATAGTCTAACATCATGACCAGTATATCCATATGGATAGAATCCATTGATCATATTCAGATTTTCCTCATTTTATTTCTGCATTGTGTGCGTGTGTCTGTGTGTGTGTTAAGTTCTATACGATTTTATCACCTGTATAAGTCCATGTATTCATCATCATGGTCAAGATACCGAAAAGTTCCCTCACCATAAAGATCCCTCGTGTTGCCCATTTATATGCACATCCACCTCCCTCCCACCCCCATTCCTCCTCCCAGTCCCTATTCGCTGGAAACCACTAATCTGTATCCCATATCCTGTAGGGGCTATGATTGCCTGGAGAGGGCAACAGGAGCTGTTCTTGTGGAAATGGACATTCTGTACCTTGACTGCGTCACTATAGTGTCCTGGTGTGATGCTGTACTCTCACTCTGCAAGATGTTAACCATTGGGCTGGGCGTGGTGGCTCACGCCCCAGCACTTTGGGAATGCCAAAGCGGGTGGATCACTTGAGGTCAGGAATTCCAGACCAGCCTGGCCAACATAGTGAAACCCTGTCTCTACTAAAAATACAACAATTAGCCAGATGTGTTGACATGCACCTGTAATCCCAGCGACTCGGGAGGATGAGGCACAAGAGTCGCTTGAACCTGGGAGGTGGAGGTTGCAGTGAGCAAAGATCATGCCACTGCACTCCAGCCTGGGTGACAGAGTGAGACTCCATCTCAAAAAGTAAAAAGTTACCAATGCCAGAAATAGAGTAAAGGGGACATAGGATCTCTCTGTGTTATTTCTTACAATTACATGTGAATCTACAATTATTTCAAAATAAAAAGTTTAATTTAAAAAATTCTTTTTGAGACAGGGTCTCGCTCTGTCACCGAGGCTAGAGTGCAGTGGCATGATGGGCTCAAGCAATCCTTCCACCCCTGCCTCTCGAGTAGCTGGGACTGGGACCACAGGCACGCGTCACCATGCCTGGCTAATTTTTAAATATTTTTGTAGAGGTGGGGTCTCCCTATGTTGCCCAGGCTGGTCTCAACCTTCTAGGGTCAAACAATTCTCCCACCTTGGCCTCCCAAATTGCTAGGATTACAGACATGAGCCACTATGCCCACCCTTAATTTAAAAATTTAAAAGGAGGGCTAGGAATCGTGGCTCAGGCCTGTAATCCCAGTACTTTAGGAAGCCAAGGCGGGAGGATAACTTGAGCCCAGGAGTTCAAGACCAGCTTGGGCAACACAGGGAGATCCTGCCTCTACAAAAAATTTAAAAATTAGCCAGGTGTGGTGGTGCATGCCTGTGGTCCCAGCTACTCAGGAGTCTGAGGTGGGAGGATTGTTTGAGCCCAGGAGGTTGAGGCTGCAGTAAGTTGTGATCACACCACTGCACTCCAGCCTGGGCAACAGAGTGAGACCCTGTCTCAAAAAAAAAAAAAGAAAAAATTAGGTGAAAATAAGACCAACAATCTGATAGAAAAATGAGCAAAAGCTATAAACAGACAATTCACACATACATAAAAAGACATAAATATGTGAAAAGATGTTCAATGTCACTCAAAATTAAATAACTGCAAATGAAAACTACATTCACACATCAGATTAAAAATTGTAAAAATATGACAGCACACTCTGTTGGTGAGGCTGTTGGGAAAGAAGCACTCTCATATGTTGGTGGTGAGAATACAATTTTTTTTTTTTTTTTTTTAGCAAGATCTTGCTCTGTCACTCAGGCTGGAGTGTAGTGGTGGGACCATAGCTCATGGCAGCCTCAAACACCTGGACTGAAGCAACCTTCCAGCCTCAGCCTTGGAAAGTACTGAGATTACAGGAATGAGCTACAGTGGCAAGCTGATATTTTGTTAATAGATTTTCTGTTTTAAGTTTATAGAAAAATTGAACAGGTAGTACAGATTTCCCATGTATTCCCTCTCCCTACTACACATATGGCTTCCTATTGTTAACATCTTGCATTAGTGTGCTACATTTGTTACAACTGATAAACCAATATTGATACATTATTGACTAAAGTTCACAATTTACCTTAAGGTTCACTCTTTGTGTTGTATGGTTCTATGGGTTTTAACAAATACATAATGTCATGTACCTACCATTACAGTGTCATACAGAATAGTTTGACTTCCCTAAAAATCCCTTTTACTCCACCTATTCATCCCTCCCCTCTTCTTTCCAAACCCCTAGCAACCACTGACTAATCTTTTTACTATGTCCATAATTTTACCTTTTCCAGAATGTCATATTGTTGGAATAATACAATATGTAGCCTTTTCAGACTGGTTTCTTTCAATTACCAAAATGCATTTAAGTTTCCTCCATGTCTTTTCATGGCTTTGTGTTATTTCTTATAATTACATGTGAATCTACAATTATTTCAAAATAAAAAGTTAGCCGAGCACGGTGGCTCACGCCTGTAATCCCAGCACTTTGGGAGGCCGAGGTGGGCAGATCACGAGGTCAGGAGATTGAGACCATCCTGGCTAACACGGTGAAACCCCATCTCTACTAAAAATACAAAAAATTAGCCGGACGTGGTAGCAGGCGCCTGTAGTCCCAGCTACTCAGGAGGCTGAGGCAGGAGAATGGCGTGAACCCGGGAGGCAGAGCTTGCAGTGAGCCAAGATCGCACCACTGCACTCCAGCCTGAGTGACAGAGCAAGACTCTGCCTCAAAAAAACAAAAACAAAAATAAATAAAAATAAAAAAATAAAAAGTTAAAAAAAAATTTTGAGACAGGTTCTTGCTCTGTCACCCAGGCTGGAGTGTAGTGGCGTGATCACCCAGGTTCTTGGGTGATCAAGAGCTTGATCATGGATCTTGATTAAGAGCCATGGCTTGGTGGCTCTTCTTTTTCTTTAATTGTTGAATAATGTTTCATTTTATGGCTGTATCGCAGTTTGTTTATTCATTCACCTGCTGAAGAATAACTTGGTTACTTGCAGGCTTTGGCAACTATGAATAAAGCTGCCATGAGCATTTGTGTGCAGGTTTTTTGTGTCTGGACATAGTTTTCAATTCATTTGGGTAAATACCGAGGAACGCAATTGCTGAAACATATGGTAAGAATATGTTTAGATTTTAAAGAAACTGCCAAACTGTCTTCCATGTGGCTGTCCCCATTTCACATTCCCACTAGCAATGAATGAGAGTTATTGATGCTACACATCCTCGCCATCATTTGGTATTGTCAGTGTTTTGGATTTTGCCCATTTTAACAGGGGTGAAGTGGTATATCATTGCTGTTTCAATTTGCATCTCCTTAATGGTATATCATGTTAAGCATCTTTTCATATGCTTACTTGACATCTGTATATCTTCTTGGTGAGGTGTCCTGATCTTTTGCCTTTTTTTTTTTTGAGACAGAGTTTTGCTCTTGTTGCCCAGGCTGGAGTGCAATGGCGGGATCTCGGCTCACCGCAACCTCCGCCTCCCAGGTTCAAGTGATTCTCCTGCTCGGCCTCCTGAGTAGCTGGGATTACAGGCATGCACCACCATACCCGGCTAATTTTGTATTTTTAGTAGAGATGGATTTTCTCCATGTTGGTCAGGCTGGTCTCAAACTCCCGACCTCAGGTAATCCGCCGGCCTCGGCGTCCCAAAGTGCTGGGATTACAGGCGTGAGTCACCGTGCCCAGCCTATTATGTTATATTTCTATATTATATTTTATTTCTATAGAAGTTCTTTCTATATTTTGGATACAAGCCTTCTATCAAATATGTGTTTTGCAAATATTTTCTCCCAGTGTGTTGCTTGTCTTTTCATTCTCTTAATAATGTCTTTCACACAGCAAATATTTTTAGTTTTAATGAAGTCCAGCTTATTAATTATTTCTTCCATGGTTCATACTTTTGGTGTTATATCTAAAGAATCATTACCATACCTAAAGTCATATAGGTTTTCTCCCATGTTATCATCTAGGAGTTTTATAGTTTTGTGTTTTATATTTAGGTCTATGATTCATTTTGAGTTCATTTTTGTGAAAAGTATAAGATATCTGTCTATCTGTCTAGATTCTTTTTTTTTTTTTGGCATATGAATGTCCAATTGTTCTAACACCATTTGTTTTTGTTTGTTTGTTTGTTTGTTTTTTGAAACAGAGTCTCACTCTGTCACCCAGGCTGGAGTGCAGTGGCACAATCTTGGCTCACTGCAACCTCAGCCTCCCAGTTTCAAGTGGTTCTCCTACCTTAGCCTCTTGCTGGGATTACAAGTGCTCGCCACCACGCCCAGCTAATTTTTACATTTTTAGTAGAGACAGAGTTTTGCTATGTTGGCCAGTCTGGTCTCAAACTCCTGACCTCAAGGGACCCCCCTGCCTCGGCCTCCCAAAGTGCTGGGATTACAGGGGTGAGCCACCGTGCCCCAACACCAGTTGTTTAAAAGACCATCTTTGCTCCATTATATTGTCTTTGCTCCTGTGTCAAAGATCAGTTGACTATATTTGTGTGGGTCTATTTCTGGGCTCTATATTCTGTTCCATTGATCTATTGTCTATTCTTTCACCAATACTTTAGCTTTATAGTAAGTCTCTTTTTTTTGAGACAGTCTTGCTGTGTCACCCAGGCTGGAGTATGGTGGCACGATCTTGGCTCACTGCAACCTCTGCCTCCCAGGTTCAAGCGATTCTTCTGCCTCAGCCTCCAGAGTAACTGAGATTACAGGCATCTGCCACCACGCCCAGCTAATCTTTTGTATTTTTAGTAGATACAGAGTTTCACCATGTTGGCCAGGCTGGTCTCGAACTCCTGACCTCAGGTGATCCATCTGCCTTGGCCTCCCAAAGTGCCACCGCACTTTACAGGCATGAGCACAGGATTACAGGATTACAGGCATGAGCCACTGCGCCCCACCTAGCTTTATAGTAAGTCTTGAAGTCAGGTAGTATCGGTTTTCTGACTGTGCTCATCTTTTTCAATACTGTGTTGGCTATCCTGGGTCTTTTGCCTTTCTGCATAAAGTTTATAATTTGTTTATATCTAAAAAGTAACTTGCTGGGATTTTGATTTGGATTTCATTAAATATATAGATCTAATTGGGAAGGACTGACATCCTGACAATAGTGACTCTTTCTGTCCATGAACATGGGGTATCTCTCCATTTATCTAGTTCTTTGATTTCTTTCATCAGAGTTATATGGTTTTTCTCATATAGAACTTGTACATATTTCTTAGATTTATACCTATTTCCCCTCCCCCCCCCCTTTTTTTTGGTGCTAATATGAATGCTGTCTTTTTAATTTAAAATTTCAGGCCAAGTGCAGTGGCTCACACCTGTAATCCCAGTGCTTTGGAAGGCCTAGTTGGGATGCTTGCTTGAGGCCAGGAGTTCAAGATCAGCCTGGGCAAATAGCGAGACCCTGTCTCTACAGAAAAAATTAAAACTTAGTTGGGCATGGTGGCATCCACCTGTAGTCCTAGCTACTTGGGAGACTGAGGGGAGGACTGGTTGAGCCAGGGAGTTTGAGGTGACAGTGAGCTATGATCACACCACTGCATTCCAGCCTGGGCAACAACAAAGTAAGACCCTGTCTCTTAAAAAATTCAATTGTTCATTACTGGTATATAACAAAGCAATTTGACTTTTATAGATTAACCTGGTATCCTACAACCTTGCTATAATTGTTTATTAGCTTCAGGAGGTTTTGTTTTTGTTTTTGTTATTCACTACATAGACAATCATGCCATCTTTAAAAAGTTTTATCTCTTTTTTAGTTTTTATTATTTATTTATTTTGAGATGGAGTCTTGCTCTGTTGCCCAGGCTGGAGTGCAGTGGCACAATCTCAGCTCACTACAACCTCCACCTGCCAGGTTTAGGCGATCCTCCCACCTCAGCCTCTGGAGTAGCTGAGATTACAGGCGCCCGCCACCACGCCTGGCTCATTTTTGTGTTTTTAATAGAGATGGGGTTTCACCATGTTGGCCAGGCTGGTCTTGAACTCCTCACCTCAGGTGATCTGCTCACCTTGGCCTCCCAAATTGCTGGGATTACAGGCGTGAGCCATTGCACCCGGCCTTATTTCTTTTTTAAAAAGTCATCCTGGCTGGGCACGGTGGCTCATGCCTGTAATTCCCAGGACTTTGAGAGGCTGAGGTGGATGGATCACGAGATCAGGAGTTCAAGACCAGCCTGGCCAACATAGTGAAACCCCATCTCTACTAAAAATACAAAAAAAAATTAGCAGGGCATGGTGGTGGGCACCTGTGGTCCCAGCTACTTGGGAGACTTAGGCAGGAGAATCGCTTGAATCCGCGAGCCAGAGGTTGTGGTGAGCTGGGATCACACCACTGCACTCCAGCCTGGGTGACACAGCAAGACGCTCAAAAAAAAAAAGTCACCCTGTATACCTTTTGTTTTCTTTCCTTATCTTATTGCATTAGCCAGGTTGCCCAGTACAATGTTGAAAAAGAGTGGTGAGAGGGAACATCCTTGCTTTGTTCCTGATCTTAGTGGGAAAGCTTCAAGTTCCTCATCATTAAATATGGACAATACTCATTTCTATTTCTGCCATCCATTGGGTCTACAGATATCATTAAGTTTAAAACGTGACACAAACCACAGCTTGTGTTGATTAATTCCCCTGAACATTACACATTTCTTATATACTAGATTCTTTCCAACAAATGCATTGTATTTTTAAATTTTGTGTCTTCAAAAGGTCAAATTGATCTTTCTATTTCTTTTGTCACATGAATGTACATGCACAAATATATACGTGCAACATGTATATATGATCATATAGACATATATAGCAACATAGATACAGATGTTACATACATATAACCAGTTTAGCTGAAGAGCTCTAGCTCATCGGCCCCTAATGCAGAGTTTCTGGCAAGTAACTAAGTATGTCTATTCCTGACATCTATGAACAATTTGGGAAATTACCGAAGGTGGGTTTGCAGAACACTGGGCCCACTACAGCACCACCTTCCTCAACCTCCACCTGCTCCTCTCTGATTTGTGGTCCACAGAGGTTTCTCTGGGTCTTTGCTCATTCCCCTTTCCCCAGAGCACAGCTGTCTTGCAAGCACCTCTGGAAACACCTAGGAGAGAGAGTCACAGCCCATTTCTGTGGACATGCCCCAGGGTCACCTTTCTTCAATGGGTCCCACTTTGTGACGTGGCTCAGATTCAGGAGTGGAGAAAGAAGTCTCCAGTTTCCATTTTAGTAACTCAGAGCAGGGTAAGAGGTTTTGTTTTTACAGTGTAGATAAGACCCTGGTAGGCTGCCCAACTCACTCAGTCCTAGGATTGATACCATAATTATTTTAGTCATTGTTCTAATGGCTTCTAATAATGCTTTTATTGGTACAATACCTGCTAAGAAATTTATAGCAGATGGTATCATTAGGTAATGGGAACACACATATCTATAAGTCATGGCCATTGCTTTTTGGTCATTTTCACTAATCCAGACAATTAAGAAAATCCACTTTTATACTTATTCAGAGGTCCCCACTTCTGCTCCCACTGCCGTTCAGCTCAGACTTGTGTCTTGGAGAAGAGTTAATGTGCATGTGTCTGTGAGGGGTGATATGCCATCTCATCCCCTCTATCTTTTTTCCAATGTCTTACCCCCTCAGGGTCTCTCATCCACCTGGGGCCCAGCAATGTTGTGGCTGAAGAGGGGATGATTCTGGTTCCTGCCCAGTTGTGCCCCATCTGTCACTGACGCTGTTAGAGGGTGGGAGATGCAGCAGTCTCAGCTGGCAGGGGGCTTGCTATGTGACCATGCACAGTTTTATTTGGGGGGCTGACCTCTCTCATGTGGAGGACGCCCTTCACCAGAATAGAGCAGCCACGGCCCATGGGCCCCTTGAGACGTGTGTGCCTCCACCTCTTTTCTGTTTGGGGAGCCCTTTGCTCAGCCTGGAGGCCCTCCATGGGGCAGCAGGTCCTCTGCTCCACTGGCTACACCCTATGCTCCATCATTTTAGGCCAGAGAAACACCAGGGCCTCTCCTGTGCCCAGTGAGAAATGCAAGACTCAAATCGGAGTAAGTCCTTGTCTCTAGGGAACAGTACTTCCCATTCTCTTTGCACTCTGCCTCGATTCTTACCCTGCTCCTGCCTTCAGAAGTCTCCAGATGATCAATGCCTGTAAGTCTCACCCTCCTGACTTCATGGGACAGGTGTGCAGGGGAGGGCTGGGAGAAGGGCATTATTCTCAAGCTTCTAGAAAGTCTTTTCTTTGACTCTACTCTCACAGGAGCCTTCTTATAGAATGTAGTTACAAATCTCAAATCGATTTTGGAATTTCTAAAATATGGAGACAGCCTGGAGTATTGACATGGCATTCATGAATGTGCTGGGGAGACTGCCAAGCACCAGCCCAGAGAAAACAGCCTTCAGAATTTCAACTTATTTTGTCACATGTAATTTTATAACACAACCACAAAGTTTCCTTGGCTATTCAAAGAATCAATTCAGTAATTTTTTTTTACATTTATTTATTTTTCTATTTGCAAGACAGTTGTCTGTTAAGAGATGACGCTCACAAAACTTTTAAACTATGATAGATTTCAGTAAAATCACTGAATACTAAAATATAATAAAACATTAGGGCCAGGCACAGTGTCTTACGCCTGTAATCCCAGCTACTCAGGAGGCTGAGGCAGAAGAATCACTTGAACCCAGGAGGCAGAGTTTGCAGTGAGCTGAGATTGCACCATTGCACTCCAGCCTGGGGAACAAGAGCGAGTCCTCATCTCAAAAAAAAAAATTAGACTACAAAAAGCAATCAAACTCGATGCTCCCAGATAGCCTGCTCTCTGACAGTGAGTGAAGGAGCCCAGAATGTCTCCTCTAAGCTGCAGACCCCACAGTTTACTCTTTCCAAGCAATGAGCTTATTGGAGCTTATTTGAAATAAAAGGCTGCTGCATGTTCCTGTGGTCACCCACAATTCTCAGAATGACTGCCAGGTCATGGTGCAGCCATGACAGTGCTGTGACCCTGACTCTGTTCTGTGAGGTTGCATGAGGGACACCAGGTCAGTCACAGGCTGCCAGACCCAAGAACAGGGGACGAGCGGTCCTGGGCCGTCTCTCTACAAGGGCTGCTGTGCCAGTGTCAAACCTGAGAATTCCTAAAGCTTCAAAGAGGGCTACGAAGCACAGATGCCAGCCCCAGGACTTACAAGAAAGTATAACCTCTTTTCTAAAACGGTTCCCCCCAAATAAACAGGGAAGAAGCCAATCCAACAAAAGCATCCATTCTAAAGACTCACCTTGGGAGAACGATATCATGGGAGTAAAAGCAGTTATCGCCATTCCTTAACTCACGCCCCTGTTTCTACACACATCACGTTTGAGATCACAGTCATTGATAATTGTCATCTTATCAATAAAAGCATAACACAATTAACAACTATTTCATGTAACAGTTACTGGCTTGACACTAGGCCCAGGTGTAGACAGAGAGATATCTATTTGCATGTACCTGTGATCACCTCCATCAGAGATAGTTCACTGTCATGGACAGCAGCCTTCTTGGTGTCATGAATTTCTTGGCGAATTGGCTGAGTTCAAATGTGGATCTTATGTTTCCCTCTCTCTGTGCCCTGCCAGAACTCTGTGGGAGGGGTCTGTGGTCAGTATCCTCTTTGCTTCCTTCCTTCCCTGCCCCTTAGGGAGTTGATGGCAGGCTTTCTTGCTCAATCAGGCCACTGCCATCACCCAGTTTAGCTCACCACCTGCAGACTCAGAGGGGACAGTGGAGGCTGCAATGTTGCTGCAACCAAAGGACCTGCGCCAAGGATACCCCCACAGCGGTAGTGGGATCCCCACTTACTGGAGCATCTCCCGTGAAGGCACACAGACCCAAGCATCAACCATCCTCAGCACCAGCCCAGGGTGGGTGAGCACTGGTGGGTCCATCTTCCTAGCTCCTTGGGGACAGGGGTCTCCATGGAGTGTCCCTGCCATTCAACATCCCTGTCCACTCTCCTCAGCCCCCTCCATGCCCCAGACCCTTTCATCTCACATTAAGACCCCCTCCCAGGGAAAGATATGTCATTTTCTCTCCTAACAGGTACCCCAATTTTAGGAGTGGTTTTCCTGGTGGCTCCCTGCTCCCTTGCCCTCAGAGAATGCCCATTTCCTAACCACTAGGCTTCTTCCATGGTCAGCCTGTCTCATGTCCCTTGCCTGTCATTATAGAGAGGAGGATGACTCCTTCTTGGCTCTGGTTGGCTGCAATGGTGGCTCCCAGTAGGTCCTGGAGGGAGGTGGCCAATCCCAGGGGTAGTTTTAAACGTGGAATGTGTTTTTTCCTTTGGGCTCTGATTGGGAACAAGGGAGTGTCTGCTGGGCAGCTTCAAAGCATTCTCTTTAGCCAGTGCCTCCCAGGGTGTCCTTCAACCTTATCTCTCCTCCATCACCTCCTCATTTCTCCCTCCCCTTCTCCCTGAGTGCTGACCTTCCCCAGCAGACCCTATGCCCATGGCACCCACCCCAGGGAGGTGCAACTCAAAAAACATCCTCCTCAGTGATGATTTCCTCCAGCATTTTATTATGAAAATGTTCAGGCCGGGCATGTGGCTCCCACCTGTAATCCCTGCACTGTGGGAGGCTGAGGCAGGCAGATCAACAGAGGTCAGGAGTTTGAGACCAGCCTGGCCAACATGGCGAAACCCTATCTCTACTAAAAATACAAAAATTAGCCGGATATGGTAGCACGTGCCTGTAATCCAGCTTCTCAAGAAGGCTGAGATAGGAGAATCACTCTAACCTGGGAAGCAGAAGTTGCAGTGAGCCGAGATTGCGCCACTGCACTTCAGCCTGGGAGACAGAGCAAGATTCCATCTCAAAACAAAACAAAACAAACAAAAAACAAAAAAAAATGTTCAAACCTACAGAAAAGCTGATAGATTTTTGCAGTGAATGCCCTTAGACCTCCCACTTCAAGTCCACCAGCAACACTGCTATCTATCCATCATTCTCTCCAGTCATAAATTCATCATTTTTTCTCTTGATGTATGTTAAAGTAAATGTAGATTACAGTGCACTTTCCCCCAAATACCTCAGCACTCATATCATTAACTAGAATTTAGTGTTTACAGATTTTTATTTCAATAAAAAATATGCAGGGCCGGGGACGGTGGCGCTCGCCTGTTAATTCCAGCACTTTGGGAGGCTGAGGCAGGAGGATTGCTTGATGCCAGGAATTTAAGACCAGCCTGGGCAACCCCATCTCTATAAAAATAAAAAGAAATTAGCCGGGTATGGTGGTGCACACGCGTAGTTCCAGATACTCAGAAGGCTGAGGCAGGAGGATTGCTTGAGGCTAGGCGTTCAAGGCTGCAGTGAGCTACGATGGTGCCACCGCACTCCAACCTGGGCAACAGAGTGAAACGTTGTCTCAAAAGAAAGAAAGAAAGAAAGAAAAGGCTGGGCATGGTGGCTCATGCCTGTAATCCCAGCAGTTTGGGAGGCCAAGGCAGGCAGCCTTGGATTGGGAAAGGGTTCACTGCAGCCTTGACCTCCCAAAGTGCTGGGATTACAGGCATGAGCCACCGTGGCAAATGTTTTCTGCCATTTTTTAATATTCATCAATGTTGTGGTCTCGAACTCCTGACCTCAGGTGATCCGCCCACCTCAGCCTCCCAAAGTGCAAGATCACAGGCCCAAGCCACCGTGGCAAATGTTTTCTGTATCAGCGTTTCTTCTTTTTCATTGTCCAAAACTAGTTCGTTGTATGGATGGATCACAATTCACCTGTTGATGGAAATTTATTTGAGTTGTTACCTGTTTTTGGCTACTGTGAATAAAGCTGTGAGGCATTCTCAGTACATCAGTTTGTGTAGATGAGTTTTCTTTTTTCTCAGGAGAGGAATTGCAGACCCATGGGGTAAGTCTGTATTGTTTGATAAGAAGCTGCCGGACATCTTCCCACAGTGGTCTCTACTGGTCCCACAACTCGAGAGTCGGTGGGCCCACTCCCTTGCCACTTTTGGTCTCTTGGTTATCCATGATTTTTGTTGTTATTTTTCTGATGGGCTTGATCAAATCTCGCTCATTTTTCAGTTGGTCTGCTTGGCTTTTTATTATTTAAATGTGGGATTATTTACATACCCTGGTTACCAGTCCTTTGTCAGACACATGTTCTGCAAATATTTTCCTTTAAGCTATGGTTCAGTGAGGAGAGGTTTTAATTTATTATTATTTTGGCAGTGCTGGAGTCAGCCTCATGAAGTAGGGGGTTTCTTCTTGGCATCCAAGAGCTTTTAATTTTTAATAGGCTCTAATTCACCACTTTTTCTTTTTCTTTTTTTTTTTTTTTTGAGACAGAGTCTCGCTCTGTTGCCAGGCTGGAATGCAGTGCCATGATCTCAGCTTAGTGCAACCTTCACCTCCCGGGTTCAAGCAATTCTCCTGCCTCAGCCCCCCAAGTAGCTGGGATTACAGACATGTACCATCGCACCCAGCTAATTTTTGTATTTTTAGTAGAGACAGGGTTTTACCATGTTGGCCAGGCTGGTCTTGCATTCCTGACCTCAGGTGATCCACCCACCTCAACCTCCTAAAATGCTAGGATTACAGGCGTGAACCACCGTGCCTGGCCTAATTCATCACTTTTTTTTCTTTCATGGGTATTGCTTTCTGTGACCTAACTAGGAAAATTTTGCTACCCTCAACTCATAAAAATACTCACCTCTGTTATCTTCTAAAAGCATTACGGTTTTAGAGTTTCTATTTAGATCTATGATCCATCTCAAATTAGTTTTTGTAAATGGTGTGAGGTGAGTATAAATGTTCAATTTTTCCCAGGTAGACTTCTAATTATTTCAGCATGATTTGTTTAAAACATCTTCTTTCCTTGCCAGGCGTGGTGGCTCACGCCTGTAATCCCAGCACTTTGGGAGGCCCTGGCGGGTGGATCACGAGGTCAGGAGATCGAGACCATCCTGGCTAACACAGTGAAACCCCATCTCTACTAAAAATACAAAAAATTAGTCTGGCGTGATGGCGGGCGCCTGTAGTCCCAGCTACTCGGGAGGCTGAGGCAGGAGAATGGCGTGAACCCGGGAGGTGGAGCTTGCAGTGAGCCGAGATTGCGCCACTGCACTCCAGCCTGGGCGGCAGAGCGAGACTCCGTCTCAAAAAAATAAATAAATAAATAAAAATAAAACATCTTCTTTCCTCTATAAATTGCATTCAATTTTTTTTTTTTTTTTTTTTTTTTTGAGGCAGCCTCTCCCTCTGTCTCCCAGGCTGGAGTGCAGTGGCGTGATCTTGGCTCACTGCAATCTCCACCTCCTGTGTTCAAGTGATTCTCCTGCCTCAGCCTCCCGAGTAGCTGGGATTACAGGCGCGTGACACCACGCCTGGCTAATTTTTGTATTTTTAATAGAGACGGGGTTTCACCATGTTGGTCAAGCTGGTCTCGAACTTCTGACCTCATGATCCGCCCACCTCAGCCTCCTCAAGTGCTGGTATCACAGGCTTGAGCCACCGCCCCCATCCTATCCTATTTTCATCTATAGTGTTTTAAGTGTAACTGTATCTGTATATCTATAGATATATGTTTCGTGGTTGCTCTGCATATTATAATATACATATATAACTTACCACTGTTTACTTTTTACAACACTTTGAGTAAGATAATAGTGAACTTTTGGTTATTTCTCTTAGGTTTTTCTGGTATAAAGCCTTGTCTGTTGTAAATAGTACTGTATTTATCTTCTTCATGATTTTAATACCTCTCTTTTATCTCTCTCCTGTGTTTTTACTCTCAAGATTTTTAGAATACTTCCAGTAGGAAAAAGCGTAATAACCTGGCCAATGAGAACCATTATCTCCTTCTTGAATTTAAGGGGATTAACATATAATAGTATTCTAAAATCCTTGGGAAGAAATGAACGTATAGTAATAGCCAGGGAACTACAAAGTCAAAAGATAAATTAAGGGACAAGCCCTATTGATGTTAACACATTGCTGTAATTTTGAGGTATCTTGATACTGAATATGAAGAATAAATCCAAATATGAAGGGCAGATTAATGAAACATATCAGGAAGCTGACAGGCAGAATTCCGTTATAACATCTGACATATGATAAATATGGCTACAAATAATTGCTGCTTTCTCAGTAAATGTTATTGAGCCAAATTGCTAGGCATCTGAGAAAATGTTTCTACTTCACACCACATACCAAAATTAATCTAGGTTGATTAAAATTTTTAATGTAAAAGAAAACAGTTGGCAGGGCACAGTGGCTCGTCTCTACTAAAAATACAAAAATTAGCCGGGCTTGGTGGCAATGCCTGTAATCCCAGCTACTCAAGAGGCTGAGGCAGGAGAATTGCTTGAAGCCAGGAGGCGGAAGTTGTGTTTAGCCAAGATCGGCTCATCGCACTCCAGCCTGGGCAACAAGGGCAAAACTCCGTCTCAAAAAAAAAAAAAGAAAAAGAAAAAGAAAACAGTTAAATAATAGATATCTAAAACATCTTTATAAATGGAAGTTTTTTTAAGCATAGAGCAGGGCATAAAATAGAAAAATGCATGTGTGTGTGTGTATGTGTGTATTGTGTGTATATGCATAAACTAAAAAGTAAAATTCTCCCTGACTGCAGTGGCTGACACCTGTAATCCCAGCACTCTGGGAGGCCAAAGTGGGTGGATCACCTGAGGTCAGGAGTTCGAGATCAGCCTGGCCAACGTGGTGAAACCCCATCTCTACTAAAAATACAAAATTTAGCTAGGTGTGGTGGTGCACTCCTATAATCTCAGCTACTCGGGAGGCTGAAGCAGGAGAATCACTTGAACCCAGAAGGTGGAGGTTGCAGTGAGCCAGGATTGTGCTACTGTACTCCAGCCTGGGTGACAGAGCAAGACTCCAACTCAAAAAAAAAAAAAAGTAAAATTCTCTCATCAAAAAAAAAAAAAAAACCATAAGTGAAATTATATAGCAAATGACAAAATGAAACATTGTAACATATACAGGAAGTTTTTTATATTTATATATAGTGTGTTCTTAAAAATTATTATCACTGGCAGACATCTGGAAAACTGAATAAAGAACACATGTAATACATTCACAAAGAAGAAATATGAATGGTCAATAAATTCATGAAAAAATAGCAAATATGGAATGTAATAAGACATGAAAATGAAAATGTGAAACACCACTTTAACATAACTTAAGATAAGCACTGACAGTTCCTAGGAAAATTAAAAATAGCACATCTCAGCCAAGTGCAGTGGCTCACGCCTGTAATCCCAGAACTTTGGGATGACGAGGTAACAGGATCTCTTGAGGCCAGGAGTTCAAGACCAGCCTGAGCAACATAACAAGACCCCATCTCTACAAAAATATAATTTAAAAAATTAGCCAGGCGTGACGGCACACACCTTCAGTCCCAGCCACTTGGGAGGCTGAGGCGGAAGGATTACTTGGGCCCAGGAGGTCAAGGCTTCAGTGACCTATGATCCTACCACTGCACTCCAGCCTGGGTGACAAAGTGAGACCTTGTCTCGAAGGAAGGAAGGAAAGGAAGGAAAGGAAGAAAGAAGAAAGGAAGGAAGGAAGGAAGAAAGAAGAAAGAAGAAAGAAAGAAAGAAAAAGAAAGAAAGAAAGAAAGAAAGAAAGAAAGAAAGAAAGGAAGGTAATAACAACATATTTATAGCAATATTGACCTAGCAGAAATATCAAGTGCTGTGGTCTGAATGTTCATGTTCTCCTAAACTTTGTATATTGAAATCTTCGCCCCTAGTGTGATAGTATTAGGAGGTGTGGCCTTTGGGAAGTGATTAGGTCATGAGGGTGGAGCCTTCATACATCGGATTAGTGCCCTTATATGAGAGACCCCAGTGAGACTCCTCATCCCTTCCACCATGTGAGGACACAGCCAGATGCCATCTATGAAGCAAAGAGCAAGCTCTTGCCAGACACCAAATCTGCCAGTGCTTTGATTATGATCTTCCAGCCTCCAGAACTGTGAGAGATCAATTTCTATTGTTTGTATGCCACCCAGTTTATGGTCTTTTGTTATAGCAGACCAAGTAGACCAAGACATCAAGACACTATCGTACAGATGGTCCCTGACTTCTGATGGTTTGACTTAATGATTTTTCAAATTTACAATGGTACAACCACAAGGTTTCAGATTTTAAGCACTAGTGATTCTCTGACCAAAGACTCTCTGGGCTACTTTTCTTTCTTCTTCTTCTTCTCCTTCTTCTCCTTCTCCTTCTTCTTCTTCTTTTTTAATTTAAGAGATGGGGGTCTCACTCTGTCACCCATAATCATTCCAGGCTGGAATGCAGTGGCGTGATCATAGCTCACTGCAGCCTCAAACTCCTAGGCTCAAGCGATCATCCCGGTCAGCCTCCCGAGTAGCTGGGACTACAGCGCAGACCATCATGCCTTACTGGGCTGCATTTTCAATTTAATGATATTTTCAATTTAGGATGGATTTCTTGGGGCATAACCCCCATTGTAAGTCGAGGAGCATCTGTATTTAAATGTAAGACCTTGGAAAATTTCAAAATGTTTAAAAATGAATTTAATAAATTATGGCTGATCATACAAAGGAACATATGCTATCATTAAGATTGTTGAAATAATATTTAATGACAGAACTATGTTCACTCAAGCAAAATGAAATAAGTAATTATTTTTAAATTATAGCTTAGTAACAGTCTTGAAAATGTAAATGCAGGTATGTGTATGAGAGGGTAAAGAACAGGGTAGAAATGCTTTCAACTGCAAATAGTGGCTGTCGTTTTGGGTGATGTCATTTGTGTTTATTTCTTTTTCCTCACCTCTATCTTCTGAAGTTTCTACTCTGGAACACATTGTATGTTGCAAGAAGAAAAAATTATTTTGTGCTCACATGATATTCTTGCTAAGAACTACTTGATTGAGCCTGGGGGTCTCTGTATGGAAAGGCAGTCTTGCCTAGCTCATGTCTCTGTCTCTAAGGAGAGTAGACTGTGTGCTGCAGAGAGTAGGGGCAATGTTGGGGTTCCACAGCCCCAGCCAGAGTCTGCTCCTTCTGCTGGGGATCCCCCTGTCCAAGTCTCTGCTGTCTTTTGCACAGTGGGGCTAGCACTTGCTCACTTACTCTTAGGGGCAACTCTAAGGTTGGTGTGACATCCATAGACAAGGATCAGCCATGTGTCTTTTACTATTATGCATACAGTGACAATTTTTTTTTTTTTTTTTGAGACGGAGTCTCGCTGTCGCCCAGGCTGGAGTGTAGTGGCATGATCTCGGCTCACTGCAGGCTCCACCACCCAGGGTTCACACCATTCTCCTGCCTCAGCTTCCCAAGTAGCTGGGACTACAGGCGCCCGCCACCTCGCCCGGCTAATTTTTTGTATTTTTAGTAGAGACGGGGTTTCACTGTGTTAGCCAGGATGGTCTCGATCTCCTGACCTCGTGATCCGCCCGCCTCGGCCTCCCAAAGTGCCGGGATTACAGGCGTGAGCCACCGCGCCCGGCCGCATACAGTGACTATTTTATTATTGTTGTTCCTTTAGTTTCTCAGTGTCTTTTCCTCATGGTATCTTCAAAAAGCTACCCTCTGTGTCAAGCCTCTCTCTGCTCTCTGGGAAACTCTTACACTGTAGAGAAGCTTCAAATATTATGAGAAAGGAGGAGCACTTGGCCCTCCGTGGTCTATCTGGTTTGATGCCCTTCATGGGAAAGCTGGTTTTTCTGCGTTTTCCCAGCCCGTGACCCAAACACCAGTCCAGCCTGTCTCAATCTCCCCAGCCCATTTTTCTTTTTCTTTTTTAATATTAGGTTTAACAAATACAAAGAATATAGAATTCTTTTTTTGTAAACAGCTTCATCCTTCCAAAAATACCCAGCGAAAGCTCTTCTAAAATATTCATCATTTCAGGCCAGGCGCGGTGGCTCACGCTTGTAATCCCAGCACTGGGGGAGGCTGAGGCAGGTGGATCATCTGAGGTCAGGAATTTGTGACCAGCCTGACCAATATGGTGAAACCCTGTCTCTACCAAAAATACAAATATAATATCAGCTGGGCATGGTGGCATGCGCCTGTAGTCCCAGCTACTTGGGAGGCTGACACAGGAGAATCGCTTGAACCCGGGAGGTGGAAGTTGCAGTGAGCCGACATCATGCCACTGCACTCCAGCCTGGGCAACAGAGACTCCGTCTCAAAATAAAATAAAATACTCATCATTTCAGTGGTGAACCAGAGTACAAACCCATCTTTACCTCTGGTCATTAAAAAAGTTAACATTTCTATGTCTAGCAAGGGCTATCTTGCCATGGAGAGAATATAACTGAATCAGGCCAATCTGGTTCGACTTTTATGCAACAAAGTTGTGAGTTGTTTTTTAGCTGCCATGGACCCCCAGGTTGAAGGTCATGTAAACTGAGCACACCTAGATGAGTCAAGTGTACGACCACAGGGGCAACCTAAACACTCAGACCAAGGAGTGGGACTGAATTAAGGGCAGACACCACGTGGCAGGATTCAGGATCCAATCAGATGGAGTTGTGGTATCACTCCATGGCAGGATCCAGTCAGACCATGCCTTCTGGCATCACCTCACTGCAAGATCCAGTCAGATCACACTTCATTACTTTACGCTAATAAAACCCTACCTAGCCTCCAACTCCTTTTCTCAAAAGCCAAGGCCTTGATATTGGCTTGTATGCACATGGGACTGCAAGCCCATTGACCGCTTGGTAACAAGAGGAGGAAGGATAGTTTGCCGTGCTCTGACACTGCTTCAGCACCTTTTTCTTTCTCGCTCTGAAATAGATCTTCCACTTATGGAGAATGGGCCCTTTCCTACCACCCTAGAAGCTGGGAATGGGTGAGTCTGCACTCTGTTACTAAGACATTCAAATGTGTGACCTTAGCTGACAATCACTCTATCCCTACAAGGTAGGGCATGGTATCCTTACTCTCATTTTATAGATGGAGAAACAGAAATCAGTGATATATTTCCATCTAGGTTCTTGAATGATCACTTGGAGCAAATCTTGCCAGTGCTAATCATCAGAAACCTTACCTTTTCTTTGTAGGAGCAAAAAAGGACTCCTGTTCTGATGAGGTAGTATTCCTTCTAGAGTCAGTCATAGCAGGTGGCATTTTCCTAACTAATACACTAAAGATGATTGAGAACAGGCGACATAAGTAAATGAGGATCCAGGTGAAACTGTGAAGGAATATTACTTGTTTTCAAAGTATATTTTAAACACATATACCTTCTGTATTGGCAGGTGTGTGGGAAAGCAGACTCTCTGAGGCATGGCTGGTGTGAGTATAAATTGATTTAGTCTTTTTCTGAAGGTAACGAACAACATCTATAAAAATCAAGAATTCCCATAGCCTGATTCATCAGCTACTCTTTAGCAATTTACTTTGTAGTCATTCTCTAGAAGTATTCTGGAAAGACATGTTTAAAGGTATTCATCGTGATATTAATGATAAAATTTGGAAAACACATCATTTAGGTACAAACATCATAGCTGCTATGTATGGCAGTAGTTGGCCTATTTTCATAGTATAGTATTCCATTGCATGATTATTTTATTTCATTTTTTTCATTATTTCATTTTTGTTTTCATCATTATTTTATTTCATTTTTCTCCTGTTGATGGACATTTGGCTATTTCCAGTCTAGGGCTCTGGTAAATGCTACTGCACATCACATAAGCGTTTGTTTCTTTTGGGTGGAGTGGTGAGGTCCTAGCATGTGTGGATATTTATCTACTAAAGATCCTGCTGGCCAGTGCAGTGGCTCACATCTGTAATCCCAGCACTTTGGGAGGCCGAGGCGGGCAGATCACCTGAGGCCAGGAGTTCAAGACCAGCCTGGCCAACATGGCGAAACCCCCGTCTCTACTAAAAATATAAAAAATTAGCCAGGCATGGTGGTGGGCGCCTGTAATCCCAGCTACTCGGGAGGCTGAGGCAGGAGAATTGCTTGATGTCGGGAGGCGGAGGCTGCAGTGAGCCGAGATTGCGCCGTTACACTCCAGCATGAGCTACAAGAGCAAAACTCCATTTCAAAAAAAAAAAAAAAAGATCCTGCCAAACTACTTGCAAAGTGGCTGCACCAATTTAGATTCCCATCAGCAGCGGGGATGTTACTCCTGGTATTGTCAGTCTTTTTCATTTGATGGGTCTATGGGTCTGTACTGGTATCTTAGTGTGTGTGTGTGTGTGTGTGTGTGTGTGTGTGTGTGTGTGTGTGTGTGTGTGTGTTTGAAACAGGGTCTCACTCTGTCACCCAGGCTGGAGTGCAAGGGGTGCAATCACGGCTCACTGCAGCCTCCATCTTCTGGGCTCAAACAATCCTCACACCTTAGCCTCCCAAGTATCTGGAACTACAGGTGTGTGCCCCCATGTCCAGCTAATTTTTAAATATTTTTTAGAGATGGGGTCTCACTATTTAGTCCAGGCTGGTCTTGAACTCCTGGGCTCAAGCGATCTTCCTGCCTCAGCCTCCCAAAGTGCTGGGATTACAGGTGTGAGCCACTGCACCCCGCCTTGTGTTTTTATTTGCTTCTGCCTGATCACTGATGAGATTGAGCACCTTTTCAGGCATGTTGGCCATCTGGGTATCCTCTTACAGTTTTTGTTGTTGTTGTTGTTGTTGTTGTTTTGTTGTTGTTGTTGTTTTGAGACGGAGTTTCGCTCTTGCTGCCTAGGCTGGAATGCAATGGCGCGATCTCGGCTCACTGCAACCTCCGCCTCCCAGGTTCAAGTGATTCTCCTGCCTCAGCCTCCCAAGTAGCTGGGATTACAGGCATGCACCACCATGTGCGGCTAATTTTTTTGTATTTTTAGTAGAGACAGGGTTTCACCATGTTGCCCAGGCTGGTTTCAAACTCCTGACCTCAAGTAATCCGCCCATCTCGGCCTCCCAAAGTGCTGGGACTACAGGCATGAGCCACAGCGCCCCACCCCTTTTACAGTTTATAAGACCATACACTTAAGTTCCCTCCACCAGACCACATGAATAACAACATTTGTGTGTGAAAATTAAGATAACCAGTGTATAAAGGGACCAGCAAGGTGCCAGCTCCAGTCCTAGACAATACGGCATCCCTCAACCCCTTTCCCGTGTCCACAGTTCTCAGCTTGGTACCTGGCAGGCAGCAGCACACGGCCTGTGTCAACACTGGGCTATCCTGTAGATGATCGCAGGCCAGGAAGGGAGAAGCCACAGATGTGGATGCCCTCCCAAGAGGCTCCTTAGAGAACTCACACTTGGGTCTCCTCAAACACTCAATGATTTGTGGAAAAATAATCAAAGGGCAATAGATGAGTTTTTTTGTTTAACTCTACATTCTAACCATGGCTTCCTGCATTTCTGGTATTAAGATGACCATCCCTTTCATCCTTTCCTGATGAGACTATTACTTTTTAAAACATCATTAATTTCTGCAATTATACAGGCAGTAGGAAAAATGTAAAGAAATAAATAGGCCAGGCATGGTGGCTCATGCCTGTAATCCCAACACTTTGGGAGGCCAAAGCAAGTGGATCACCTGAGGTCAGGAGTTCAAAACCAGCCTGGCCAACATGGTGAAACCCCATCTCTACTAAAAATACAAAAACGTTAGCTGTGAGTGGTGGCACATGCCTGTAAACCCAGCTACTCAAGAGACTGAGGCAGGAGAATCACTTGAACCCAGGAGGCAGAGGTTGCAGCGAACCAAGATTGCTCCACTGCACTCCAGCCTGGACAAAAAGACCAAAACTCCATCTCAAAAAAAGAAAAAAAAAAAAAAAGAAAGGAAAAGAAAAGAAGGAAAGAAATAGACAAATAGACACCATTATTTAAGAAAGTAGCAAGTTGGTAGTAAAAATATGGAGGACTTTTACTTGTTCTTGAAATCCCAAAGTCTGGGAACTGATGGTCTAGAATAGCACTATCCAATAGAAATAGAAATCGACCCACATAAAGAAGGTTAAGCTTTCTAGGAGCCACATTATAATAAAAGTAAAAAGTGTTGAAAGCAGGCCCCCCAAAATCTGGCCATAAACTGGCCCCAAAACTGGCCATAAACAAAATCTCTGCAGCACTGTAACATGTTCATAATGGCCCTAATGCCCATGCTGGAAGGTTGTGGGTTTACGGGAATAAGGGCAAGGAACACCTGGCCCGCCCAGGGCGGAAAACTGCTTAAAGGCATTCTTAAGCCACAAACAATAGCATGAGCGATCTGTGCCTTAAGGACATGCTGCTGTTGCAGTTAACTAGCCCAACCTATTCCTTTAATTTGGCCCATCCCTTCGTTTCCCATAAGGGATACTTTTAGTTAATTTAATATCTATAGAAACAATGCTAATGACTGGTTTGCTGTTAATAAATATGTGGGTAGGCCGGGCGCGGTGGCTCACGCCTGTAATCCCAGCACTTTGGGAGGCCGAGGCGGGTGGATCATGAGGTCAGGAGATCGAGACCATCCTGGCTAACAAGGTGAAACCCCGTCTCTACTAAAAATACAAAAAATTAGCCGGGCGCGGTGGCGGGCGCCTGTAGTCCCAGCTACTCGGGAGGCTGAGGCAGGAGAATGGCGTGAACCCGGGAGGCGGAGCTTGCAGTGAGCCGAGATTGCGCCACTGCAGTCCGCAGTCCGGCCTGGGTGACAGAGCGAGACTCCGTCTCAAAAAAAAAAAAAAAAAAAAAAAATAAATATGTGGGTAAATCTCTGTTCGGGGCTCTCAGCTCTGAAGGCTGTGAGACCCCTGATTTCCCACTTTACACCTCTATATTTCTGTGTGTGTGTCTTTAATTCCTCTAGCACCACTAGGTTAGGGTCTCCCCGACCCAGCTGGTCTCGGTAAAAAAGAAACAGGTGAAATTGATTGTAATCATATTTTATTTAAAATGGTTGATCTAAAACATTATAATTTCAATGTATCATCAATATGAAAATGATCGATACTACATTTTACATTGTGTGCACTATGTCTTTGACGGCCAGTGTACTCTTTACACTTACTGTACTTCTCCAGTGGACTCGCTGCACTTCAAGTGCTCAGAGCACGTGTGGGTGCCAGAGTGGACAGCATAGAGCTTCGGAGGCCTGCAGGTACTCCCCAAATATTTCAAGAATGAATGAATGAATGAACGTAGGCATGAACTGTGGATTGCCACAAGTTCTCACTGGGACCATGTCCTATACCCACCTCATCAGGGACGGCCACCAGGGGGCGCGAGAGTGCTAGTTGACGGGCTAGTTGACAGGCTCCACATGGCATTCTTGCTGAGAGCCCAGGCCTGGGGTGGGGTGTCCCGGGGCCACAGGTCTCACAGGACTCAGCAACCCAGGGCGTTGAGTCCCCATGCCCCCCACCACCACCCCCAACCATCTGCTGCCGGCCACTTTTCCATGCTTCAGCCATCCCCTGGTGAGGAAGGGGAGGAGGGCTGGCACTGGTCAGGCAAGGAGCAGGTCTGAGGGTCTCAGAGAGGGATCCCTCTGGCTGCTCAGTAAGGCACAAGCCCCTTGACTCATCAAGTGTGAGGGTCCCTGCAGAGCCGACATAATAGCTGGGAAGAAAGGCCGCTCTATGGCAGAGTCAACCCTCTTTGTGGCTCTGGCTCAACAGTGGAGAGACACCCTCCTCCCTTTTCAGGGCGGCTCTCCCACTGGGGCACCTCCCTCACTGATGCTATCTCCTCGACAACCACTGGTTTACAGCCAGCCTGTCTCTAGCCCCATTTCTCTTCCAGGTTGTCACCTCTTGATCTAGCCCGCCCATTCAGTAGGTAAGAACACCCAACCCCCACCAATCTCTCCCCACACATGCCTTCTGCGCTTCCCGGAGGTTCCTGCCAGTGGCCCTTGAGTTGCTCCTTCAGGTGCTCCCAGTAGGTGCTCCCCCAGGTGCTCTTCCTAGATGTTAGATGCACCTCCTTTTTTTTCCTCTTCCTTTGTTTTTAAGCACCTAGGGAATTTTATTTATTTATTTACTTATAGATGGAGTCTTGCTCTGCTGTCCATGCTGGAAAGCAGTGGCATGATCTCAGGTCACTGCAACTGCTGCCTCCCAGGTTCAAGTGATTCTCCTGCCTCAACCTCCAGAATCGCTGGGATTACAGGCATGTGCCACTACGCCTGGCTAATTTTTTTGTTTTGTTTTGCTTTTGCTTTTTTTTTTTTTTTTTTTTGAGACAGAGTTTCGCTCTTGTTGCCCAGTCTGGAGTGCAATGGTGCGATCTCAGCTCACTGCAACCTCCGACTTCCAGGTTCAAGCGATTCTCCTGTCTCAGTCTCCTGAGCAGCTGGGATTACAGGCGCCCACCAATATGCCCAGCTAATTTTTGGTATTTTTAGTAGAGAAGGGGTTTCACCATGTTGGCCATGCTGGTTTCAAACTCCTGACTTCAAGTGATCCACCCGCCTTGGCCTCCCAAAGTGCTGGGATTATAGGCATGAGCCACCGCACCATGCCATTTTTTTGTATTTTTAGTAGAGAAGGGGTTTCACCATGTTGGCCAGGCTGGTTTCAAACTCCTGACCTCAGGTGATCCACCCACCTCGGCCTCCCAAAGTGCTGGGATTACAGGCATGAGCCACCACACCCGGCCATTTTTTTGTATTTTTAGTAGAGACAGGGTTTCACCATCTTGGCCAGGCTGGTCTCAAAACTCCTGACCTCAAGTGATCTGTCCGCCTGGGCCTCCCAAAGTGCTGGGATTACAGGTATGAGCTACCACGCCCAGCTGGAGTTCTTTATTTAATGATGTCCTACCATGAAAGTTCACATAACTCCTTTTTTTTTCAGTTTTTATTATTCTTTTATATAAATCCTCTGGATCATAACTGCTTCTGTCAAACCATGATACCGAGCTTTATGACAACTCAGAAGTAAGGACTAAGAGAAGGCAAATATAATGCCTTCAAGATCAAGAGACGTTTATGTAGTTCAACTGTTAGAAACAGCTCAACATTGAGCTAGTGAGTAGAGTGTGTATGTCAGTATCCACAATATACAAACCCTTCACGGAGCTGCAAGACCTTTTAACTGTCCTTCAGGTGCTTCCAAATGCTGGTCCTGTGGAACTTCTTTCTTTCTGAGGCTGGTTTTCTTTCAACACAGTTTGGGGTCTGACAATCATGTGTTCAGATTTCCAGGAAACGTGACTACCTTCCTGTTGAGTCCTTGTTTCTCCTACGCATCTTAAAATGACACTTTCTGCCAATAAAGCTTTCCTTGTTTCTACAAATAACTTCTCTTCATCTGTTTCTTTAAGTTTCTGCAGCTCAATATACTTCACAAAGCATTGACAGGTAGGCTTGAAGCTTGGATTGAACAGATCAAAAGCTTTTGACCAGATTTGTAGGCTGAATAGAATTTTGCTCCAATGGGCTGGGCGCGATGGCTTATGCCTGTAATCCCAGCTCTTTGGGAGGCCAGGGCAGGTGGATCACCGGAGGTCAGGAGTTCGAGACCAGCCTGGCCAACATGACAAAACCCCGTCTCTACTTAAAATACAAAAATTAGCTGGGTGTGGTGGCGTAAGTAGCTGGTGTAATCCCAGCTACTCGGGAGGCTGAGGCAGGAGAATCACTTGAAATCAGGAGGCGAAGGTTGCAGTGAGCCGAGATCATGCCATTGTACTCCAGCCTGGGCAAAAAGAGCAAAACTTCATCTAAAAAAAAAAAAAAGAATTTTGCTCCAATGGGATCCTCATGATACCAGATGTCCTCCATGAGAATTTTGGCTTTGCCATATCATAAGTGGGGCCTCTGGAAGACTGGCTCCTTCCACAGGGGAAAGGTGTTATGTATGTGATGCTAGAGAGGTTTCTCCTTCAATTTCTCCTACAGCACTCCTGCTCAAATCACATACTGAGTCTGCAAAAAGATGCTCCCTGCGATTTCCAGCCAGCTGTAGATGTTCCTCTTGAGTGCTTCCTGAGTGGTCCTCAAGGGTGCTCCTCCTAGATTCTCCAGATGCTCCCCAGGATACGCCTCCCATAAAAGACATCTAGGTGATTTTCCACTCCGTGAATTCTTAGGACACTTTCTTAACTGCTTCTGGTTTCTCTGTTTTCTACTTAACTTTGCATATTCCTGTTAGATCAATCTTTCTAAAGTGCAGCTCTGAAAGGGGGTATGGTGGGGGGATACTTCTGTGCAAATGCCTGAAATACCTCCAGTGGCATCTCCATCAGAATAAAACCCAGACATCTGCATAGAACATGTAATGATCAAGTCAGAGTATTTAGGATATCCATTGCCCTAAGCATTTATCATTTCTATGTGTTGGAAACATTTCAAGTTCTCTCTTCTACCTACGTTGAAATAAACAAAACATTGTTGTTAACTATAGCCACCTTACTGTGACTAGATCTTTTTCCTTCTAACTGTATGTTCGTACCCATTAACCAACGTGTTCTTCCCCCCTCCCACTGACACCCCTTTCCCAGTCTCTACTATCTATCATTCTACTCTCTACTTCTATGGGATCCACTTTTTTTTTTTGAGATGGAGTTTCACTCTTGTTGCCCAGGCTGGAGTGCAGTGGTGCAATCTCAGCTCACCACAACTTCTGCCTCCCAGGTTCAAGCGATTCTCCTTCCTCAGCCTCCTGAGTAGCTGGGATTACAGGCATGTACCACCACGCCCAGCTAATTTTTGTATTTTTAGTAGAAACAGGGTCTCACCATGTTGGCCAGGTTGGTCTCAAACTCCTGACCTCAAGTGGTCTGCCCACCTCGGCCTCTCAAAGTGCTGAAATTATAGGCGTGAGCCACCACGCCCAGTCAATTTTTTTTTCTTTTTTTGGAGACAGTCTCACTCTGTAGCCCAGGCTGCAGTGCAGTGGTGCGATCTTGGCTCACTGCAACCTCCGCCTACCAGGTTCCAGTGATTCTCCTGCCTCAGCCTCCCAAGTAGCTGGGATTACAGGCACACACCACCACGCCCAGCTAATTTTTGTATTTTTAGTAAAAACAGGGCTTCACCATATGGCCAGGTTGGTCTCAAACTCCTGACCTCAAGTGATCCGTCCACCTCGGGCCCCCCAAGTGCTGGGATTACAGGTGTGAGCCACTGTGCTTGGCCTGAGATCAACTTTTCTAGCTCCCACATATGAGTAAGAACATGTGATATGTTCAATAATGAGAGGATGAAAAAAAGGACATGTGATATATGTCTTTCCATGCCTAGCATATTTCACTTAACATAATGATCTCCATTTCCATCCATGTTGCTGCAAAGGACAGGATTTCATTCTTTTTTATGGCTGAATAGTATTCCATTCTATACATGTAACAAAATATCACATGTACCCCATAAATATGTACAAATATGTATTGATTAAACAAAAGAAATGTATCCAATAAAGAATGAAGATGCTAGTAACCAGAATTTGGCATATCCTGTGTTTTAGAAACCAGTGCTTACCAGATTTCTGGAAGATAAATAATCAGCTAGTTATTCTGTATGTGATGGTCTATGTGGATTGAACCCTTTCCTTACTATTTTTACTGGTATTTTGTAAATATGAAGCCATTGAAGAATAAACAAATTCTATGTTGTCCCAAAGGAAAATACAACTAATTACGTATCAGTGACTAATTAAATACGGTCATTTTTTTCTTCTGAAACACTTCAATATAGTTTAAAAATAAAATAGTTTACATAACTTTAAAAAAAATCCAGACATTTGGAAGTAGCCTGTCCCTCTGAACCCTCAGAATGTTTGTGAACTTGTCTCTGGCCAGGTACAGTGGCTTGTGCCTATAATCCCGGCACTTGGGGAGGCTGAGGCAGGAGGATCACTTGAGGCCAGGAGTTAGAGATAGGCCTGATCAACATAGCCAGACCCTGTCTCTACAGAAAAAAAAATTTTTTTTTTAATTAGCTGGGCATGGTGGCCTGTGCCTATAGTTCCAGCTACTTGGGAGGCTGAGGCAGGACGATTGCTTGAGGCAAGGAGTGCAAGGCTGCAGTGAGCTATGATTGTGCTGCTGCACTCCAGCCTAGGTGACAGGGCAAGAGCCCATCTCAAAAATAATAATAATAATAATGATAAATAAATAACTAAAATTAGCTGGGTGTGGTGGCATATTCCTGTAGTCTCAGCTACTTGGGAGGCTGAGGTGGGAGGATCTCTTGAGCCTAGGAGTTTGAGGCTGCAGTAAGCTGTGATGGTGCCACCGCACTTCAGCCTGGGCAACACAGTGAGACCCTATCTCTAAAAAAAAAAAAGGTAGCAGGGATACTTTTTTCTTATCTCCTACTAAATGCCTATTTACCTTTCCAGAATGCCACACTTGGCTTATAAACACTAATGACCTAACAGAATGCCTTACTCAGTGGGAGGCCAAATAAATAACTCTCATGTTGTTCTCTTTCTTCATGTGACCCAGTCTGAGTATTTGAACCTAAGGGTAGAACTTACCCAACACCATACTTAGAAATGACTTCAGGTCAGGCATGGTGGCTCACGCCTGTAATCCCAGCACTTTGGGAGGCCGAGGCGGGCCGATCACGAGGTCAGGAGATCCAGACCATCCTGGCTAACACGGTGAAACCCCGTCTCTACTAAAAATACAAAAAATTAGCTGGGCATGGTGGCGTGCCCCTGTAGTCCCAGCTACTCGGGAGGCTGAGGCAGCAGAATGGTGTGAACCCGGGAGGCAGAGGTTGCAGTGAGCCAAGATCACGCCACTGCACTCCAGCCTGGGTGACAGAGCAAGACTAGGTCTCAAAAAAAAAAAAAAAAAAAAAAAAAAAAAAAAGCCAGGCACTGTGGCTCACACCTGTAATCCCAGCACTTTGGGAGGCCGAGGCGGGCAGATCACAAGGTCAGGAGATTGAGACCATCCTGGCTAACACGGTGAAACCTCGTCTCTACTAAAAATACAAAAAATTAGACGCACGTGGTGGTGGGTGCCTGTAGTCCCAGCTACTTGGTAGGTTGAGGCAGGAGAATCACTTCAACTCGGGAGGCCGAGGCTGCAGTGAGCCGAGATCGTGCCACTGCACTCCAGCCTGGGTGACAGAGTGAGACTCTGAGGTCTCAAAAAAAAAAAAAAAAAAGAGGCCGGGCGCAGTGGCTCACGCCTGTAATCCCAGCACTTTGGGAGGCCGAGGCGGGCGGATCACAAGGTCAGGAGATCGAGACCATCCTGGCTAACACGGTGAAACCCCGTCTCTACTAAAAATACAAAAAAATTAGCCGGGCGTGGTGGCGGGCGCCTGTAGTCCCAGCTACTCGGGAGGCTGAGGCAGGAGAATGGCGTGAACCCGGGAGGTGGAGCTTGCGGTGAGCCGGGATCGCGCCACTGCACTCCAGCCTGGGCGATTGAGCGAGACTCCGTCTCAAAAAAAAAAAAAAAAGAAATGACTTCAGACATTTACAATGCACTTTCACACACACCCCTTATTTCATATCACAACTAACCTTCAAGGTAGGTGTTCATACCGTCACGTCTCAACTGAGGAAACGTAGGCTCAGAGATGTGTAGGGATGGGGCTCCGGTTCTTTCTGTCCAATTTCGTACCGCCCAACACTTAGGTCCTGAGACCCTGGGGGCCCCTGAGATCTCCCGTCAGGAGGGACTGTTCTTATTCAGATATTGCTTAGCCACTACATGAGTGAATTACATTTTTCCAATGAAGTCTCTAAGACTATATGTATTAACTATTGCCAAAGTAAAAGAAGCACTAAAATTCCTAATATGAATATAGGTAATTAGCAAATTTTTTTTTTTTTTTGAGACGGAGTCTCAGGTGCCTGCAACCACACCTGGCTAATTTTTTGTGTTTTTAGTAGAGACATGGTTTCACCGTGTTAGCCAGGATGGTCTCTATCTCCTGACCTTGTGAACCACCCACCTCAGCCTCCCAAAGTGCTAGGATTACAGGTGTGAGCCACCGCGCCTGGCCAGCAAATAATTTTTATAATTTTTCAAAAGATCTATTATATTAATCATTGAGGTGTTTATATTGTTTGATATCTAAAAAGTCAAGCCAGTCTTATAGATTTACCCAAATCCATTTACTGGTACAGATTCCCATTTGGAACAGTATGTGGTTGTGACAGCCACAGGCAGCGCTGAGCCTGTGGGGGCAGAATTGGGGGACTGGAGAAGATGCAGACTTCACCATCACACAAGGCTGCTTTTCTATGATTCCAGGAAAAAGAAAGACTACTTGTCTAAACCACATAACTGTCCATAAAAGCCTGAGCTCTCTGTTAGTTCTCCCAAACCAAATCACTATGGCAACACAAGCTACGCACACTTATGCATGCTTACGCACACATACGAGCACACTTCCTGGGACAGCCCCAAATGGGCGCTCGCGTGTCTGGGCTGAAATGTGGGCCAGAACCCACTTCAATAGCACAGAGATCACCAGAAGCAGCATTTCTAAGCAGAAATGTTTTCACTCAGCCTTAAACCGATAAGCTTTCAAAATGTGGAGTATTAATTCACTCTACTATTTTTATTTTATTTTGTTTTATTTTATTTTATTTTATTTTATTTTACTTTTGAAACAGAGTCTCACTGTCACCCAGGCTGGAAGCACAGTGGCAAAATCTTGGCTCACTATAACCTCCACTTCCCGGGTTCAAGCAATTCTCCTGTCTCAGCCTCCCCAGTAGCTGGGACTTCGGGCACATGCCACCAGGCCCAGCTAGTTTTTATATTTTTAGTAGAGACAGGGTTTCACCATATTGGTCAGGCTGGTCTCGAACTCCTGACCTCAGGTGATCCACCCACCTCAGCCTCCCAAAGTGCTGGGATTACAGGTGTGAGCCACCATGCCCAGCCCACTCTACTATTTTTATCAAATAATTAGAAATGGTACCTGGGAAGATGAGTGGGCAAAATATGGGATGTTCAGATACCATGGTTTGAAGACATTACAATTAGAGATGTAAACCTGACATGAAAGTAAAAGGAAATTAGAATTATGTTTTATTTTCTGTCCTTTTAAAATATAGAAATCATGCATGCTCACTGGAAGAAACCGAAGGCATGGAAAGAAAGAGGCCCTTTTGTGGCCTCCAGTCTGGGGCAGCCTAGTGTGTGGCTAAGGAATATGTGGAAATGGAGGCGACTCTGCCCCTTTGCAGCAGGCCATCAAAAGCCAGCCGGCAAGTGAGTGAGATGTCAGATGGCTCCAGCCTCAGTCTTGAGCCATCCCCTCTGAGCCTTGCCAAACTGCAGATTTGTGAGCAAAATCAATGTGATGTTGCTTTTAGCCACCAAGTTTTCAGGCAGATCAGGGGTCCTGGAGTAGGTGTCATTGAAACTGGGCTCTGAAGGCACCCAAAGAGGGAGGGAGGGAAAGGGTTTGAGGAGACCATGGGTGAAGGCCTGGGGCAGGTGCACAACCAGGGGTGGGAAGAGGCAACTCCAGGTGAGAAGGCAGAGCTAGGGCAGGAGTGTGTGGAGGCTGGAGGGCCAGGAGAAGAGGCCAAACCATCTCCCTCAGGGCTCCAGGCCAAACCATCTCCCTCAGGGCTTGGGAGCCATGCCAGAGGGCCTGGCATAGTTGAAATGCTCATCTAAAGGCCAGGTGCAGTGGCTCATGCCTGTAATCCCAGCACTTTGGGAGGCTGAGGAGGATGGATCACCTGAGGTCAGGAGTTCGAGAGCAGCCTGGCCAACATGGCGAAACCCCGTCTCTACTAAAAGTAAAAATAAAAATTAGCTGGGTGCGGTGGCACACTCTGTAATCCCAGCTACTCGGGAGACTGAGGCAGGAGAATCGCTTGAACTCAGGAGGCAGAGGTTGCAGTGAGCCAAGATCGCACCACTGCACTCCAGCCTGGGTGACAAGAGAGAAACTCCGTCTCAAAAGAAAACAAAAAAGAAAAGAAAAGCAAAGCTCATCTATACAGTCACTGTTTGGACCTCAGAGTGCACTTGGCCAGAGAAGCAATATTTTGAATACAAACTGAGTTACCACGCTACCTACAGCTCAGTTAGATGGCTGGACACAGCGACTACGGGATTCCATCAGTCACCCTACTCTCACAGCCTGTCTACCTCCGTCCTATACAGGTTTTACTGACCCAGAATCCAACAAAGAGTAGGTGCTCAATAACTGTGGATGATTTTTGAGTGGTTCTAAATCTGAGCACTCCCATACTGTCTGAACAAATGACAGCTTGTGTCTGTGTCCCAAAGTGTGCCATCAGGAGCAGGCTCTCTAATGGACCATGCGTGTGAAGCAGCCTGTGTGTGAAGCAGGTTTGTAAAGAGAGCCACGTGGTGAGCTTGGTGGTGGCCAGAAGTCAGTGACCAGCCAGGAGGAAAGGAGCTTCAGGTAGACAGCTGATCTGAAGGCGGGGGCTGGGCCTGGGGGTTGGGGGTGGGAGGGCAGGTAGGAAAGAGGCCTGGACAGATCCAGGACCTGCCTCACCTCGGCCTGGCCATTCTGCCCTTAGAAACATTCCTATCTCAGGGCCCATTTCCTGCTTTCCTTCCTGAAAGCCTATGCAGGTCCTCCTCATGCCAGGGCCTATGTCCCCCGAGGCTGAAGGGAGGGCAGCAGGGTGCCTGGTGCTTCCTGGTGCCTCTATTTGCTGAATCTGGCCAAGCCACATGGAAGAACACACAGCTGGTGAGGAGCAGAGACTGCAGCTTCTGGAAATGGGATGGGAGTCGGCCCTTTCCTAATATCCCACACTGTCCAGAGCTGAGAAAGTAGATGCAAGGGTCGGGAAGATGGCAGAGAAAGCTGACCTTAAGCACAGAACCCCGCCTTGTAGTTCTGTACTTCATCAGCACCAGGAATGTGATGAGCCCCTGGGCTCTCAATTTTGTTTTGCAATTGAGATTTTTTTTTTAATTAAAAGAAATGATGTTCTTATGCCTCCTTTTAAACAGTTTCTCAGATATGGCTCAGCCCACAATGCACTTGGAGAGGTGTTGACCCGTCCTGAGCAGAGTTGAAACTGCCCTCCCTGGGGTGGGCAGTGAGCCTGAGAGCCCCAGCTGTTAGAAACCCTGGCTCTTCTCTCTCACTCTGCCCCCAGGGACAAATCATGCCATCTCTCTGGGTGTCAGTCTCTCCCTATAGTTCTGGAGAGCTGAGTTGGCATACCTCTGAGACCAGCAAAGTCATCATAAAAAGTTCCCATTATTGGGAATGAAGCAATTTCCCAGGTCCGTGGGAAGACTATGGAATTGGGTCACAAGTCACAGATGGAAAGGCATGGGCCACAGTGGGGGACTGGGTCCCTTCTTGGCAAGAACCCACCGGGACACAGTCCCTGCCTGTCATTCTGCCTTGCTGGCTGCAGGCCCAGGACCACCGGCCAGAAGCCATGAGAGATCAGGGCAGGACACGGGCAGCTTCAACGGTCACCCCAGACTGAGACACCACACGGGCCCGGGCCTCAGCCCCACTCTGCCCTGCTGCAGAGGCCATCTGCCTCCTGGCCTTGTGACTTCCTGCTGGGACTGAGCCCAGCACTAGCCCTGGCTGTATGGGCTGCAGCCTGGATCCCCATTCACCCTGACTGCTGACCCCTGACCCCTGAACCTCCTTGGGTTCCTGCCAACGTCTTTCTTCCAAGGCCAGGCCTGAAGTTTGGCAATCAAGACGCATGGATTTCTAGGATCTAGAAGTTTGGTCAGCCAAATCATTACCATCTAAATGACCCCCCAGGGTCCCCGTAATACATTTTAAACTTTTTAATTGAAGTATAACAGATATATATCCTAAGTATTCAGTCGGTGACTTATGCAAAGTGAGCACTAGGTCCTTTCATGTGCTGTAGGCCATTTGTATGTCTTCTCCAGAGAAATGCTTTGTCAGGTCCTTTGCCATTTTTGAATTGGGTTATGTGGGTTTTTTATTGTTGAGTTTTTGTTCTTTTTTTTTTTTTTTTTTTTTGAGACAGAGTCTTGCTCTGTCACCCAGACTGGAGTGCAGTGGCACCATCTCTGCTCACCGCAAGCTCCACCTCCTGGGTTCATGCCATTCTCCTGCCTCAGCCTCCCGAGTAGCTGGGACTACAGGTGCCCGCCACCATGCCCAGCTAATTTTTTGTATTTTTAGTAGAGACGGGGTTTCATCGTGTTAGCCAGGATGGTCTCAATCTCCTGACCTCGTGATCTGCCCGCCTCAGCCTCCCAAAGTGCTGGGATTACAGGCGTGAGCCAGCGCGCCCGCCGCTTTTTTTCTTTTTTTTTAGTGACAGTATCTTGCTCTGTCACCTAGGCTGGAGTGCAGTGGCGCAATTATAGCTCACTGTAGCCTCCAACTTCTGAGCTCAAGCAATCCTCCTATCTCAGCCTCTCAAGTAGCTATAACTACAGGCGTGTGCCACCATGCCTGGCTAATTTCTTTCTTTCTTTTCTTTCTTTCTTTCTTTCTTTCTTTCTTTCTTTCTTTCTTTCTTTCTTTCTTTCTTTCTTTCTCTCTCTCTCTCTCTCTCTCTCTCTTTCTTTCTTTCTTTCTTTCTTTCTTTCTTTCTTTCTTTCTTTCTTTCTGAGACGGAGTTTCACTCTTGTTGCCCAGGCTGGAGTGCAATGGTGCAATCTTGGTTCACCACAACCTCTGCCTCCCAGGTTCAAGCGATTCTCCTGCCTCAGCCTCCCAAGTAGCTGGGGTTACAGGCGCCCACCACCATGCCTGGCTAATTTTTTATATTTTTAGTAGAGATGGGATTTCACTGTGTTGGCCAGGCTGGTCTCGAACGCCTGACCTCATGATCTACCTGCCTCGGCCTCCCAAAGTGCTGGGATTACAGGCGTGAGCCACCATACCCACCCACCTAATTTCTACTTTTTATTTTTATTTATTCATTTATTTATTTTTGAGACAAAGTCTCACTGTGTCACCCAGGCTGGAGTGCTCACTGCAACCTCCACCTCCCGGGTTCAAGTGATTCTCGGGCCTAGCCTCCCAAGACCAGGAGGTGTGCACCACCATGCCTGGCTAATGTTTGTATTTTTAGTAGAAACGAGGTTTCCCCATGTTGACCAGGCTGGTCTGAAACTCATCTGCCCACTTGTCCTCCCAAAGTGCTGAGATTACAGGTGGAAGCCACCGTGCCTGGCCTTATTTTTATTTTTATCTTTTGTAGAAACAGGGTTTCACTATGTTGCTCAGCCTGGTCTTGAACTCCTGGCCTCAGGTGATCCATGGTGGCACAAGCCACTATGCCCAACCTCAGCTTTAATTCTTTATATGATAGCCTGCATATTAATCCCATATCAGATGTATGCTTTGCAATTATTTTGTCCCATTCTGTGGTCTTCCTTTTTTCTTGTGTTGCCCAGTCTGGACTCATCCTCCTGAACTGCTCTGCGGGCCCCACCCACAATGACAGAGCCTGAGGCCAGGCCTTTCTGAGCCTCCTTCTCTTGAGCTGCTGTCAACCTGGTTTCTCCAATCTTGTCTTTCATACAGGATTTCTTTATTAGTAGTATTTGCACAGTAGTTAAATTGGGAAACATAGGAATTTTAAGGAAAAGGAAAAAGGCACCCACAATTCTACCATGCCTACGAATAAAATCATTTTCTGTGCTGCCTTTGAATCTTTGTCTATGTTCATAGATTAATTTTAATAAACATTGTGGGGGTGCAGCTGAACCACTGAAGTTCTCTGCCTCGCACAGAGATCTTTGCCAGGGTCTCTTGTGGATTTGTTTTGTTTTGCTTTGTTTTTTGAGGCAAGGTCTCACTTTGTCACCCAGGCTGAAGTGCAGTGACGCAATCACAGCTCACTGCAGCCTCAAATGTCTAGGCTCAAGTGATCTCCCTACCTCAGCCTCATGAGTAGCTGAGACCATAAGCACGCACCACATACTCAGCCTCTTCTTCTTCTTTTTTTTTTAAATTTTCGTAGAATCGGGGTTTCTCCACCATGGCCAGGCTGATATTAAACTACTGAGCTCAAGCGATCCTCCTGCCTCAGCCTCCCAAAGTGCTGGGATTACAGGTGTGAGCCATCTCACATCTCACCCAGCCTCCTGTGTTTTTTTCAAATCTTGATTCATTTTCTCTCTTATTAGCCGTTCCGGCTGGCTTTAGTTTGTCTGCACATTTTATTTATTTATTTACTTATTTTTATGCTGAGGTTTTTGGGAGTTTTCAGGGGGACAGGGTTTCACTCTGTTGTCCAAGCTGAAGTGGCAATGTTGTAGTGTTGCCATCATTGCTTACTGTAACATCAAACTCCTGGGCTCTAGCAAACCTCCCGCTTCAGCCTCCCAAGTAGTTGAGACTATAGGTGCACACTACCACTCCTGGACAATTTTTTATTTTTTGTAGAGATATGGTCTCACCATATTGTCCAGGCTGGTCTTGAACTCCTAGCCTCAAGCAATCCTCCTGCCTTGGCCTCTCAACGCGTTTGTATAACAAGTGCAAGCCAGCCGGGTGCGGTGGCTCATACCTGTAATCCCAACACTTTGGAAGGCTGAGGCAAGTGGATCACCTGAGGTCATGAGTTCGAGACCAGCTGGACCAACATGGAGAAACCCCGTATCTACTAAAAATACAAAAATTAGCCGGGCGTGGTGACACATGCCTATAATCCCAGCTACTTGGTTGGGAGGCTGAGGCAGGAGAATTGCTTGAACCCGGGAGGCGGAGGTTGCAGTGAACAGAGATGTCGCCACTGCACTCTAGTGCAGTGGACAAGAGGGAAAGTGGGTGACAAGAGGGAAACTCTCTCTCAAAAAAAAAAAAAAAAAAAAAAAAAAAAAGGAAGAAGCCACTGTGCTCAGCACACATACTGAGTATTTTATTGTATGCTACTGCCTGTATATGTAAAACAATTACCCTTGTGAAATTGAAATTCATGAAAATTCAGAGAGGTAGATGGTAAGGACTGACAAAAGTAGAAGTTATGTATTATGGCACATGTGTTACAGGGATACGCTTTTATATAGTAGGCTTGAAATTTAGCTCTCTTTTGAATATTCAATGGTTCATGAGAAGCGGTTTGGGAACACACTTTCTGGGGTCTGAGGTATTTGTACCTGAAGAAACTCCAGGAAGCAGAGGGTCACGTTGAGCATTCTGCAGACAATTGTTTTAAGACTGCAGCTGCCTGGGAAGCTTTTACACAGTGGAGACCATCCTCTAGCCAGAGCATTTCAGCCACTTTCTTCATAGATACGATGCTGGAGGAACCAGACAGGGAGCAAACAAGAGCTGGGTCAATCTGTGGATCTGCACACTTTATAATCGTGTTTTATTCAAGTCTTAACTAGAGATGCTAAGTGGGACTTAGTGAGGATAGGCCTGCACCCTGCAGCAAGACCACCACAGTGCGGCACAGATGCTGGGCCCAGGTCACACAGGAGGCAATTCAAACTCAACCTGGAGAGAATAAGAGAAGTCAGACAGGGAGCCAGGACGGCAGGAAAGGATGCCCCATGGCACAGCGTGTGCAGGGACATGGGAGAGCGAATATGGGTTGAGCATCCCTAACCCAAAAATCCAAAATCGGAAATGCTCCCAAATCTGAAGTTTTGGGGTTGGTTGGTTGGTTTGTTTTTGAGACAGAGTTTCACTCCTGTCGCCCAGGCTGGAGTGCAATGGCATGATCTCAGCTCACTGCAACCTCCACCTCCTGGGTTCAAGAGATTCTCCAGCCCAGCCTCCCGAGTAGCTGGGATTACAGGCACACACCACCACACCCAGCTAATTTTTATATTTTTAGTAGAGATGGGGTTTCGCCATGTTGGCCAGGCTGGTCTCAAACTCCTGACCTCAGGTGATCCACCCACTTCAGCCACCCAAAGTGCTGGGATTACAGGTGTGAGCCACCCACCCCGGCCAAATCTGAAGCTTTGTGAGCAATGACATGATGTCACACATGGGTGGCTGAGATGATGGTTCAATGTATACAAACTTTGTTTCAGGCACAAAATTGTGAAAAATACTGTATAAAATTATCCTCCGGATATGTGTATAAGGTATACATGAAACAAATGAATTTGATGTTTAGACCTGAGTCTCATTCCCAAGACATCTCATTATGTATATGCAAATATTCCAAAATCCACAAAAATCTGAAATCCAAAACACTGCTGGTCCTAAGCATTTCAAATAAGGGATATTCAACCTGTAGTCCCGATTCTTCTTCCCGCATGTATTTCTATTTTCTCCTCACGTTTTCCCATATAGTTATTCGTTGCTGATCTCTTAACATCTACATTTGGAGGGAAGTGATCAAACTATAGTTGTGGGGCCGGGGGATTCTACAGTCGTGGGAAAGCAGATTCAGCGATCAACAACGTTCGCCAGAGGATGTGGACGAAACCACTGTGGAAAGGCCAACTTCCAACGCCTCTGACCTGGTGGTCAGCCCTGCAGATTTACTGAGTGAAAACAGCTGCCCATATGAGTATTACTTATAACAAACAAAAACCTGGAAACAACCTAAATCTTCAACCACAGAGCATGCAAATATATTACATCAGCTCATTTAAATTGGTAATCACTAAGACAACATTAAACATGGCACCATGTTTTCTCAATAATGTAAAGCAGGAGGAAAAACAGAAAACAATTTTGTTTCATTATACTATATGCAGCTACATACTATAATTACAATGTAAAAACAGATGTACATGTTAGTAGAAAGTAGAAGGAAACCAGAAAAAACAAAAATGAAGACAACAGGTGCACTAGGATGGTAAGATTGTGTATGAAATTTTGTTCACTTAAAATTGTCTGGCTAGGTGCAGTGGCTCACGCCTGTGATCCCAGCATTTTGGGAGGCCAAGGCAGGCAGATCATTTCAGGTCATGAGTTCGAGACCAGCCTGGCCAAAATGGTGAAACCCCGTCTCTACTAAAAATACAAAAATTAGCCAGGCATGGTGGTGGGTGCCTGTATTTCCAGCTACTTAGGAGGCTAAGGCAGGAGAATTGCTTGAACCCAGGAGGTGGAGGTTGCAGTGAGCCGAGATTGAGCCACTGCACTCCAGCCTGGGCAACAAGAGCAAAACTCCATCTCAAAAAAAAAAAAAAAAAAACAACGGAAATTTTCTGTAATATTTTAGTAAGGTTTTAATAAAATATACCTTAAAAATATTTGGCCGAGTGCAGTGGCTTGTGCCTATAATTCCAGCACTTTCAGAGGCCAAGGTGGGAAGATTGCTTGAGCACAGGAGTTTGAAACCAGTCTGGGAAACCCCCTCTCTACAAAATAAAAAATAAAAAAGTTAGCCAGGAATGGTAGTGTGCACCTGTGGTCCTAGCTACTCAGAAGGCTGAGGTGAGAGGATCACTTGAGCCCGGGAGGTAGAAGCTGCAGTGGACTGTAGTCGTGTCACTGCACTCCAGCCTGGGCGACAGAATGAGACCATGTCTCAAAAAAACAAAAAAAAAAAGTTCTACCTCCTAAACTAAAACTTGAATTAAAGAAGCAATTCAACCAGAGGAGGACAAAGAGGTGACAGATCTCACTGCTTATCTAACCTAGCAAGCAGGAAAATAACTATGCTGCTAATTTATCAAAAAGAGAGAAAGTAGAATCCTTGCCTGAGAGGAGTTTACCTTTTTGTACTCTGAAGACAGAAGAGCAAGACACATCTTGGAAATCATGGTATATTCAAGGCTTTGGTCAATGGGCTCTGCCCCTGACTGTTGTGCTCCATTTCTGATCAGCCATGTCCTGCAGCTCAGCAGCAGATGGTGTGGCCAGGCCCCTGATGGTGGGGACAGCCAGGGTGAGTGGCTGGAGGGAGTCAGGGGGCTGGTCACAGACACATGGAGTCTGAGACAGAGGCAGGATGTGTAGCTAGAGCCATGATGCATCACAAAGCGAATGGGAGAATCCAGTAGTGACAGAAACACTAGAGCTGTCGATATGGAAATGGCCCCATTGCAGAAACAGTGAAAGCTCAAAGAGGCCATAAGATGCTCAAGGGCAAGCATGAAGGAAAGATCAGGAAGCCCAAGGGGTGGCAGGACAGAAGCTGCAGTGGGAGGTGATTAAAGCAGGTGCACACAGTGGCACCGGGGCACGGGAACAGCTCTGCCAGGAACTGAGGCGACGAAAACCCAAGTCATTGTCAGCCAGGAAGGACCACACTGTCAAGAAGGCGCCTCCTGGGAGGGGCATGAGTGTGGTGGGGTGAGGTGGGCATCCAGGACCAGCCAAGGAGTGACGTCCAGGGTGCGCCACATGCGGTTCTTTCCCATGAGAAAGTTTCCATATACTGCTCACTTAACTGAAAAGATGGCACTCACACTTCAGAGTCTTGCAAGATGAGTGGGAGAAGCACATGAGAGATGCATAAGGGACCTTTGCTGAGAAGCAGGCGGGAACTGCTCAGCTGTAAACTACACCAAAGAGTCACCGGGACCCAGGGCCTACCTCCCAGCTCCCACCTGCAGGTGCATCCTTCTCAGCTTCTACACAGTTGATTCGATGCTGGAAGGTTTCCCATGCTCATGCTCCACTCCCCGTCCACCTTGCTGAAACTGCCTGAGTGCTGTCTTAATAAATACACATTTTCTTTATTTCTTACTCAAATTGAGGAGCCTCTCAACAGCTAGAAGTGGTTCATGGTTCTCCACTCCAGCTGCACATTAGACTCAATTGGAGAACTTTTGCAACATAGCAATGCCCCAGCTTCATCCCAGGTAATTAAATCAGAATGTGACAGATTCACTGGGTGATTCTGAGACGAGAACCGGGAATTCAGTGATACACTGTACATCCTTTGTGATATATTGGTAAATTAATAGGCTGTTATTAAGAATATCCTGAAGAGCCTCATGCAGTTTCTATAGAAACAGTATGGAGGTTTGGTTCCTCAAAAAAAAATTTTTTTTTTTTTAAGCAGAGTCTCGCTCTGTCGTCCAAGCTGGAGTGCAATGACATGATCTCTGCTCACTGCAACCTCTGCCTCCTGGGCTCAAGTGATCCTCCCACCTCAGCCTCCCAGTAGCTGGGATTATAGGCACCTGCCAAGACTAATTTTTGTATTTTTAGTAGAGACAGAGTTTCACCATGTTGCCCAGGCTGGTCTCGAATTCCTGGCCTCAACTGACCGTCCCATCTCAGCCCCCCAAGTAGCTGAGACTACAGGTGTGCATGTATTTTTTGTAGAGTCGGAGTTTTGCCATGTTGCCCAGGCTGGTCTTGAACTCCCAGGCTCAAGAGATACACCTGCTTTGACCTCTCCTCAAAAAATTAAAAACAGAACTACCATATGATCTGGCAATCCCACTGCTGGGTATTTATCCAAAAGAATTGAAATCAGGATCTTGAAGAGATGTCTGCACTCACTGTTCATAGCAATACTAGTCACAATCGCTAAGCTGTGGAAATAACCTAAATGTCCATTGATGGATGAAAGGACAAAGGAAATGTGGTGTGTAAATCCAATGACATATTAAAAAGAAAGGAAATTCTACAATATGCAGCAACACGGATGAACCTTGAGAACATTATGCTAAGTGAAATAAGCCATTACAATGTGGTTACCAGGGGCTAGGGGCAGGGGAAAAAGGGGAATTGCTAATCAATGCATATAAAGCCCTAGAGATCTTCTGTACATTTTCCCTATAGTTAACAATACAGTATTATGCACTTAAAAATCTGTTAAGAGGGTAGATACATTGTGTTCTTACTACAATTAAAAAATGTTTAAAGAATGTTTTTAAATAATAGTCTAAAGGAAATAAAAGATAAGCTACAAATAAGAGAAGACATAATCAACAAATGATTGCACTAATAACAGGTACAGGCAGGGTGAGGTGGCCCACACCTGTAATCCTAACACTTTGGGAGGCCAAGGCAGGAGGATCACTTGAGTCCAGGAGTTCAAGACCAACCTGGGCAACTGGGCACCTTGTCTCTACAAAAAATTAAAAAATAAAAATTAGGCTTGGGCATGGTGGCTCACGTCTGTAATCCCAGCACTATGGGAGGCCAAGGTGGGTGGATCACCTGAGGTCGGGAGTTCCAGACCAGCCTGACCAACATGGTAAAACCCCATCTCTACTAAAAATACAAAAATTAGCTGGGTGTGGTGGTGGGCACCTGTAATCCCAGCTACTCAGGAGGCTGAGGCAGGAGAATCACTTGAACCCAGGAGGTGGAAGTTGCAGTGAGCCGAGATCGCACCACTGCACTCTAGCCTGGGCGACAAAGCAATACTCTGTCTCAAAATAAAATAAAATTTAATTTAATTTAAAAATAAAAATAAAAATTAGCCAGGCATGGTGACACATGCATGTAGTCCCAACTACTCAGGAGGCTAAGGCAGGAAGATCACTTGAGCCCAGGAGTTCAAGGCTGCAGTGCTGTAATTACACCACTGCACTCCAGCCTGGGTGACGGAGTAAAACTCTGTCCTCAAAAAATTAAAAATTAGAGGCAGTTGGATCACTTGAGGCCAAGAGTTTGAGACCAGCCCGGTCAACACAGCGGAACCCCGTCTCTATTAAAAATACAAAAATCAGTCGGGCATGGTGGCGCATGCCTATAATCCCAACTACTTGGGAGGCTGAGGCAAGAGATTCATTTGAACCCAGGAGGCAGAGGTTGCAGTGAGCTGAGATCGCACTATTGCACTCCAGCCTGGGTGACAGAGGGAGGCTCTGTCTCAAACAAAACAAAACAAAACAAAACAAAATTTTTTTTTTGAGACGGAGTTTTGCTCTTGTTGCCCAGGCTGGAGTGCAATGGCACGATCTCGGCTCACCGCAACCTCTACCTCCCAGGTTCAAGCAATTCTCCTGCCTCAGCCTCCCTAGTAGCTTGGATTACAGGCATGTGCCCCTATGCCCGGCTAATTTTGTATTTTTAGTAGAGGCGGAGTTTCTCCATGTTGGTCAGGCTGGTCTCGAACTCCTGACCTCAGGTGATCCATCCGCCTTGGCCTCCCAAAGTGCTGGGATTACAGGCATGAGCACCACGCCCAGCCAACAAACTTTTAATTAAAAAAATATTTAAAGAACATGTGGCCGGGCACAGTGGCTCATGCCTGTAATCCCAGCTCTTCGGGAGGCTAAGGTGGGTGGATCACGAGGTCAGCAGATCGAGACCATCCTGGCTAACATGGTGAAACCCCATCTCTACTAAAAATACAAAAAATTAGCCGCGCGTGGTAGTGGGTGCCTGTAGTCCCAGCTGCTCGGGAGGCTGAGGCAGGAGGATTGCTTGAACCCCAGAGGCGGAGGTTGCAGTGAGCCAAGATCGCGCCACTGCACTCCAGCCTGGGCGACAGAGCGAGACTCCGACTCAAAAAAAAAAGAACAGGTACAGAATTCCTAGCCCTATTTTTTTAAATGGGCAAAAGACATGAAGAGGCATTTCACCAAAGGGGGAACACATACAGCCAACAGGCACTCAGAGGGATGCTTGGCCTCCTCAGTAATCAGGGAAATGTAAACCAAGATAAGAGATAGTACTTTTCATTCATTCCACTGGCAATAATTAAAAATCTGACAATGCCAAGAGCTGAAAAGGTTCTGGATTAAAGACATCACTTATATATACATGAGGGAAGTGAAAAGTTATAATGATATGGGAAAACCACTGGGCATTTTCTCACAAACTCTGAAATTCACATGCCTGACAACTCAGAAAACCACTCTCAGGTGCGTACCTATGACAAGCCCCACACATCTGCCGCAGGAGACAAGTTCCACTGAGTGAGAACATTCACAACCCTATGCCCATGGGCAGATGATATGGTGGTGATATTTGCTCATGATGAAATAATATACAACCCAGGAGGCGGGGGTTGCAGTAAGCCGAGATCACGCCACTGCACTCAGCCTGGGCAACAAAGTGAGACTCTGTCTAAAAAATAAAAAAAAGAAAAGAAATAGTATACAGTGGTGAACATTAATTAACTTTAGCTAAACACAAAAAGCATGGGTAAACTTTTAAACCATAATGTGGAGTGAAAAAAATCAAGTCCATCAAGCATATGTAATGGTTAATTTTATGCATCAACTTGGCTGAGCCATGGCACCCAGTTTTTGGTCAGACGCTAGTCTTGTTACTGTGAAAGTATTTTTTAGATGAATTAACATTTAAGTCAGTAGCATTTGAGGAAAACAAATGAGCCTCCATATTGCGTGGGCCTCATCCAATCAGTTGTAGGCCTTAAGAGAAAAGACTGAAGTTCCCAAAGAGGGAATTCTGCCTCAAGAAGGCCTTCAGACTCAAGCTGCAACATCTAACATCAACTCTTCCCTGCATCTCCAGCCCAACAATCCGTCCTGCACATTTGGGGCTTGTCAGCCCCTATAATCATGTGAGCCAATTCTTTTTTTTTTTTTTTTTTGAGATGGAGTTTCGCTCTTATTGCCCAGGCTGGAGTGCAATGGCGTGATCTTCACTCACTGCAACCTCTGCCTCCAGGGTTCAAGTGATTCTCCTGCCCCAGCCTCCCAAGTAGCTGGGATTACAGACATGCGCCACCACACCCAGCTAATTTTGTATTTTTGGTAGAGATGGGGTTTCACTATGTTGGTCAGGCTGGTCTCGAACTCCTGACCTCCAGTGATCCACTCATCTTGGCCTCCCAAAGTGCTGGGATTACAGGCATGAGCCACTGTGCCCGGCCTGTGAGCCAATTCTTTACTGAAATCTCCCAGATAGATACATAGATGGATAGGCAGATGGACACCCAGCTCGGTGGTTCACACTTGTAATCCCAGCACTCTGGGAGGCCAAGGCTGGTGGATCACCTGACGTCAGAAGTTCGAGACCAGCCTGGCCAACATGATGAAACCCTGTCTCTACTAAAAATACAAAAACTAGCCAGGCGTGGTGGTGTGCGCCTGTAATCCCAGCTACCCAGGAGGCTAAGGCAGGAGAATCTCTTGAGCCTGGGAGGTGGACGTTGCAGTGAGCCAAGATTGCACCATTGCACTCCAGCCTGGGTGACAGAGTGAGACTCCATCTCAAAAAAAAAAAAAAAAGGCAGATGGATAGATATCCTATTGGTTCTGCTTCTCTTGAGAACGCTGACTAATACAATGTATAATATGATTCTCTTTTTATAATGTTTAAAAAATAAAACTAAATGATTTTTTAAAAATAATTTAGGATTTTGGCCACCTGAGAGGTGGGGGAAGAATAAAATATGGAAGGAAGACATATAGTAGATTTGAATTATTGTCAGTGTTCTAGTTCTTGAGTTGGCTGGTAATTCAAGAAGTTTTATGAAAACATTATTAGCAAATGAATGAATGAATAAATGGATTAACAATGAGAGTGTATCATGAACCAAAGATTTTGATCAGTCTAATCCTGTGCATAAAATAAAAATTTCATGTTACACATCAGTATGCATGGTTGGATCTTAGTTATGTAATACAAATATATATACATATATATATTTATACACCCATATATGTGTAAATTTGCATTTAAAATTTTGCATAGGAAAAACTCAGAAGGCTAGACACTAATATCTCTGTGTAGCACGCAGCATTCTGAATCATTTACATGTTCTTATTTTGTTTCTTTTCTGAAATTTCAAAATTTTCTACAATAAAAGCATATTTGTCAAAGGAGAACACATTTTTATTTTTTATTTTTTATTTATTTATTTTTTTTGAGATGGAGTCTTGCTTTTGTTGCCCAGGCTGGAGTGCAGTGGCACGATCTTGGCTCACTGCAACCTCTGCCTCCCAGGTTCAAGCGATTCTCCTGCCTCAGCCTCCCGAGTAGCTGGGATTACAGGCGCCCACCACCATGCCCAGCTAATTTTTGTATTTGTAGTAAAAACGGGGTTTTGCAATGTCGACCAGGCTGGTCTCGAACTCCTGACCTCGTGACCTGCCCACCTCAGCCTCCCAAAGTGCTGAGATTACAGGCGTGAGCCACCACGCCCAGCCAAGAACACATTTTTAAATAGGAGAAGAAACATAGTGACATCATCAGGATGTTCTGTTGAAACTCAGTTATGATTGTCTAATGTGCGTTCATTTTCATGTTTAATGAATGGAAAGTTGAAAATTGTGTACTACTTTTCAATTTAATTCCATTAAATATTTAGTGAGTGTTTACAACGAAGATACAAAAATAAGAGATAGTCCCTGACCCTAAGGAGTTTGCAAGTATGCAGGAAAAGAAGACTTCAGAAATAGCTGCATCCTAAGGCAGAACATGGTAAATGCTTAAGAGTATACCAGAGGGCTGTGTGTCTCTGTCCAGAGAGAACTCACCATGGCTCAGAGGCCCTTAGAAGATCTTCATAGAGATTCTAAATAGGCAAGGGACCAATTACAAGGATTTCATGCTAAACTAGACAGTGAAAACGAAAAGAATACAATGGGAAAAAGAGCACTAACAAAATTTATTTTAAATCATTTTTAAAACATTTCAAGAAGTTGAAGGTTTCTTTTTACTTTTTATTTTTACATAATTTCAGACTTTGAGAAAAGTTGCAAGAACAGCACAAAGAATTTCTGTATATGGCTGGGCATGGTGGCTCATGCCTATAATCCTAACACTTTGGAAGGCTGAGGCTGGAGGATCACCTGAGTTCAGGGGTTCAAGACCAGCCTGGCCAACATGGCAAAACTCTGTCTCTACTACAAACACAAAAATTAGCTAGGCGTGGTGGCGCGTGCCTGTAATCCCAGCTACTCGGAAGACTGAGGCGGGAGAATCACCTGAACCCAGGAGGCAGACGTTGCAGTGAGCCGAGATCACACCACTGCACTCCAGCCTGGGCAACAGAGTGAGACTCCGTCTCAAAAAAAATATATAAATAAATAAATAAAATAAAAAGAATTTCTGTATATCCTTGTTAAAAAAAAAAGCTTTAGAAACAAGTTTAACAGTTTATCTGAGTAAATAACAATTCCTGAATCAATTAGCACTCAGAATCAGAAGAGGTTCAGGGCCGGGTGAGGTGGCTCATGCCTGTAATCTCAGCACTTTGGGAAGCCGAGGCAGGCACATCACAAGGTCAGGAGATAGAGGCCATCCTGGCTAACACGGTGAAACCCCGCCTCTACTAAAAGCACAAAAAATTAGCCAGGCATGGTGGTGGGCGCCTGTAGACGCAGCTACTCGGGAGGCTAAGGCAGGAGAATGGAGTGAACCTGGGAGGCGGAGCTTGCAGTGAGCCAAGATTACGCCACTGCACTCCAGCCTGGGCGACAAAGCCAGACTCCATCTTAAAAAAAAAAAAAAAAAAAAAAGGAGAGGTTCAGGGACCTCTGCCTGGCAGTGAACAGTGAGCTTTTATAGGCTGAACACAAAAATAAAGAAATCACTTGATTGGCTACAGCCAGGCATCTGCCTTATTTGGGCATGGTATGATGAGTTGGCGGCCTGTCATTTGCTGAAGCTTGGCTGTTGTGATTGGCTGAAATCTGGCTATTTATTACAAAAAACATACTCTTAAGTTTTGGTTTCTTTATATACTAAGTTAGGTTGCATTGTATTATGCCGGAATTCAAAAAACAGAGACAGCCTCAGGCTAATGGCCTCCTGCTTATTTAAATTTTTTTGGAGACAAGGTCTCACTCTGTTGCCCAGGCTGGCCTGAGCTCAAGTGGTCCTCCCACCTCGGCCTCCCAAAGTGCTGGGAGTACAGGTGTGAGCCACCACACCCAGCCAGCATATTTAATTTAACACCCTTTACCATTCTCCAACTGTTAATACTTTCCCACGTTTGCTTTATCATTCTCTGTGAATGTGTATGCCTTTTTCTGAATGAGTGTAAATTGCAGCAATTATGTCTCTTTCATTTCTAAATACTTCAGTGTGTATTTCCTAAAAACAAAGATATTACCTTACATAACCAAAGTACAATTATCAAAATCAGGAAATTAACATTAACACAGTGTTATTATCTGATTTACAGACCTTAATGTTTGTTATGGCAAAGAAGAGCCCAAACACATACTGTCATTACTTCTCTTAATTTTCCTTTAATCTGAAACCATTCTTCAGTTTTTCTCTTTCATGACACTGACATTTTTGTAGTTATTTCATAGCCTGTGGTTTTGTGGAATTTCCCCCAATGTGAGTTTGTCTGCTATTTCCTCCTGATGAGACTCAGGTTTTGCATTTTGTGTGGAAATACTAAAGAAGTGATGCTATGTCCTTCTTGGTGATCGTATCAGGAGGTTCATGATGCCCATGTGTCCCATTTCTGCTGCTGTTAACTGTGATCACTGGGATAAGGCAGTGAATGCCAGGTTTATCACTGTAGAGTTGCTAATTTTCCTTCTGTAATTAATATGTACTTCTGGGGAGACTATGTAATTTTTTTTTTTTTTGAGACAGAGTCTCACTCTGTCGCCCAGGCTGGAGTGCAGTTGCACAATCTCAGCTCACTGCAACCTCTGCCTCCCAGGTTCAAGCGATTCTCCTGCCTCAGCCTCCCGAGTAGCTGGGATTACAGGCACGCGCCACCATGCCAAGCTAATTTTTTTGTATTTTTAGTAGAGATGGGGTTTCACCATGTTGGTCAGGTTGGTCTCAAACTCCTGACCTCGTGATCCACCCACCTCGGCTTCCCAAAGTGCTGGGATTACAGGCGTGAGCCACCACGCCTGGCCAATGTATATATTTTTACTCAGCAAACTTTAACCCACTGGTTTCAAATTCCATCATTTTTCCCATATTTATCATGTGGCATTCTATTATAAGGAAGAACGATTCTTGCTCTCATTTATTTATGTATATCAGCACGTATACATGAATCCTTATTTTATTCAGTAGCTGATATTCTCTTGCTATTATTATTTATTTCATGATTAAATTGTCCCAGATTTAGCCAGCAGGAGTGTCCCTTTGCCTGTTGCTATCATTATTTATTTCAAGACTAAATTGTCACAGATTTAGCCAGCAAGAGTGTCCCTTTGACATGTCCCCTCGTTTTTTTGTTTTTTTGTTTGTTTTGTTTTGTTTTTTTGAGAGAGTCTCACTCTGTCGCCCAGGCTGGAGTGCAGTGGCACAATCTCGGCTCACTGCAAGCTCCGCCTCCCGGGTTCACGCCATTCTGCTGCCTCAGCCTCCTGAGTAGCTGGGACTACAGGCGTCCGCCACTATGCCCAGCTAATTTTTTGTATTTTTAGTAGAGACGGGGTTTTACCGTATTAGCCAGGATGGTCTTGATCTCCTGACCTCGTGATCCGCCCGCCTTGGCCTCCCAAAGTGCTGGGATTACAGGCATGAGCCACTGCACCCGGCCATCCCTCCTTTTTTTAAAGACTTACTTTCTGACACAAGATATTCCAGGCTCAATTTATGTTTTCTCTTCTCTAACCCAAAATCAGTCATTTCTCCAAGGAGCTCTGGTTCCTTTTAGAGCATGGTATCAACAAACCAAGATCTGGGTCCCAGTTGTGCTTGTTCCCCCCGAGGCCATCATTGCTTCTAGCACACATACATGTGTTCAAATATACACGCACCCATACCTATGTGGCCGTGTGTATTTCTATATCTGTATGCATATGAATTTGCATATGTATGTATTTCTATATCTGTCTGCATGAGTGTGAATTCGCTTATGTGTGTACTCCCATATCTGTGTGTAAATATGCATATGTGTATTTTTTTTTTTGAGACAGGTCACTCTGTTGCCCAGGCTGGAGTGCAGTGGCGCGATCTCAGCTCACTGCAACCTCTGCTTCCTGGGTTCAAGTAATTCTCCTGCCTCAGCCTCCCGAGTAGCTGGGATTACAGGCATGCGCCATGACACCCAGCTAATTCTTTTTGTATTTTTAGTAGAGACTGGATTTTGCCATGTTGGCCAAGCTGGTCTTGAACTCCTGACTTCAAGTCATCTGCCCACCTCGGCCTCCCAAAGTGCTGGGATTGCAGGCGTGAGCCACTGCGCCCAGCCAAATTTCTATATCAATCTCTGTGTGTGTGTGTGCATGTAATGAAATCATGAGCTCCTACCAATATCTCTAAATCTAATCCAACCATAAGGTTTGTCCTAATCTTCCCTCTTTCTGTATTTTAACTTCCTTCAGTTAAAGATGTTTTTAAAGGTCATGGATATAGTTCAGGCTGTTATCATTAATGACAGCATCCAGAAACCCTGCCCCTCCATCACATGGCCTTGTTTTGTGCTCAGCACAGACTTGGGCATTGTCCAGCCTGTGCGAGACCCTTGCTCTAATCAGGCAGAAGGGCAGACGGAGTAACCAGGCAGGGGTCTGGTTCTGAGCCAGAAGGCCCTTCTGGAAGGTTCAGGGGAGGCAGAAATAGAATCCCCAGGAAATGAGGGGTTCCAGTGGAGCAGGGGGAGCGCTAGGATTTTCTGAGTGAGATGAGAAGCAAGAACAGATGGGCTGTTGGCTGTCTCCACAGAAAGACCACAAGTGACCTATGGGCGCTTGGAAAGGTCAAACCTGTTCCCCACAGCAGCTGGGACCAGAGCCCCTGACTGGAGGCTTTGTTGGCACAACAGCTGGCCCTGGCCAGGGGTCAGGGGCAGCTGGGAGTCTAGGAGGAGGCTTCTCATACTCAGCTGTTGGCTGAGAGACAGGGCATGAAGGGCAGAAGCCACCCCACAGAAGGCCATGTGTGTAAGTCCTTCCCCTATTGTTTCAGGATATAAATGAGTGGGTTCAAACACCAGTGACCCTGGTTATGACTGCCTCAGACCTGCTTATTCATCACCAGCTGATATGCTTTCCAACCACTATGTTCCTAGGCATCCTGTTCCCTTGAAGATCATTGCATTTGGGGGTTTCAACTCCCTCATCCAAGTACATCTGTGTTTTATTTGCAGGTTCTCTCCACCCAACATTAGCTGAAACCAGTAGAGTCTTATAGAATATGGAGCCAGCCAGGAGATTTATGGAGAAAGCTCAACCATATTCATGAATAACATCAATAACAGCAGCAACATATTTGAGCATGGATGTACCAAACACATCCACAAGTGGCCTGCACACAATACCTTCCTTACTGCTCAGGCAGCTCTGTAAGGTGCAAGTGCCTGCCCTCCAGGAGGGCATGACCCACAGAAGTGAAGTAACTTGTCCCAGGAACACTGGGCAGTGAAGGTTTGGAATGTTTCAAGGCTCCAGTTTTTTGTTTGTTTGTTTGTTTGTTTGTTTGTTTGAAACAGAGTCTTACTCTGTCATCCAGACTGGAGTGCAGCGGCACAATCTCTGCTCACTGCAACCTCTGCCTCCCGGGCTCAAGCAATTCTCCTGCCTCAGCCTCCCAAGTAGCTGGGATTACAGGTGCCCATCACCATGCCCGGCTAATTTTTGTATTTTTAGTAGAGACGAGGTTTCACCGTGTTGGCCAGGTTGGTTTCAAACCCCTGACCTCAAATGATCCGTCTGCCTCTGCCTCCCAAAGTGCTGGGATTACAGGCGTGAGCCACACGCAGGGCCTCAAGGCTCCAGTCCTTTAACATATCAATCTTCCAGGGGCTCATGAGGCCCCCAGGGAGCACTAGGTGAGTGCAGACTCCACAGGGCACAGCAACTGTGCCTAACGCAGCTTCCCAACCTCTGGGCGTGCCAGAAGAGGAACTACAAATCATGGAGGGCAGCTGATTTGATTGATAAGCCCTGAGGCTGAGAACTCCGCTTCCTGGAACCCAATACTAACACAAGGAATTGATTTTCTACCTTACATAAGACAAAAATCCCCAGAATAAACGGCAGGTGTGGGCCTTCTGCCCAGAGCCAGAATTAGGCAATCTCTTTAGACTGTGCAAGATGCACAAACTTCCTTTCAGCCACACAAATCCAAAAAACATCACTGGAGGCTTCAAAGCAAGCCAGCTGGATACTTGGCCCAGAGTGTCAAGCTGCAAAGCATTTGCAGCACGGGGTGCCTGGCCTGGGAATCTCAGTGTCAGCACCCGCTAGGATGGCATATCCTGGACACCAGTTTCTCCTAACTGTCATCTTGTCTTGTTCCCTCTAGTTCAGTTTAATGCCTGATGGGCAGGAAAGGCAAAGAAGACTGCAGCTTCTAAGCAGCTCAAAGCAGGAGGGCCCAGGAAGCACATATGCAGTCTCCATCCATCGCAATCCCCTTTTGACCATCCCCAAGCTCTCCTGCCAGCCTGTCCCTGACCCTGGGACCTTCAACCATCTCCTCGTCCTCTTCTCAGCATCAGGCACAACAGGCAACGTCTCACTCACTACGGGAAGTTGAGCCAGCCAGGACGTGAGGAGTTTTCAGATTGTGGTCAGGAAGCACTCCCGGCAAACACAAATGGGGACAAACTACAAAATAATCGGCCTTCATATTTCAAAATGTCACTCATGTGAAAGACAAAGAGAGACCCAGGGATGGCTCCAGATTAAAGAGAGTGGGGTAGCTGGGCGCGGTGGCTCACATCTGTAATCCCAACACTTTTCGAGGCCAAGGTGGGCAGATCACCTGAGGTCAGGAGTTTGAGACGAGCCTGGCCAATATGGTGAAACCCCATCTCTACTAAAATTACAAAAGTTAGCCGGGCATGGTGGCACACACCTGTAATCCCAGCTACTCAGGAGGCTGATGCAGGAGGGTCGCTTGAACCTAGGAGGTAGAGGTTGCAGTGAGCCAAGATAGCGCCACTGTACTCCAGCCTGGGTGACAGAGTGAGACTCTGTCTTAAAAAAGAAGTGGTGGTTGGGGGTGGGCCTGTGGCAGTTAATGCTGCAAAAGTCTCCTTTGCTGTAGAGGATGCAATCAAGACACTTGGTGAAATCTGAATAATAAAGTCTGCAGATTAGACAACATTGTCAGATCTGTGCTGGTTTCTCGATTTTGATTGTTGTGCTCTAGATAGGTGAGAGAATGACCTTGAATAGACACTGAAGTGTTTAAAGGTAAGTGGTCATCATATTTCAGTTTATTCTCAAATGGTTCAGGAGAAAGAAAAATGTCAAATAGCGTGTGTGTGTGTGTGTGTGTGTGTGTGTGTGTGTGTGTGTGTAGAGACAGAGATGAAGAAACATAAAGATGAAAAGCGTAATGACACAAACACCGTGATGTTAACATTTTGGGGAATCTGTGTGAAGAATACTATTATTGCAGCTGTTCTGTAAGTTTACATTTTAAGTTTAAAAGGAAGGCCGAGCTCATGCCTGTAATCCAACTTTGGGAGGCCAAAGCGGTTAGATTGCTTGAGCTCAGGAGTTCGAGACCAGCCTGGGCAACATGGCAAAACCCCATCTCTACAAAAAATATTTTAAAAATTAACTGGGTGTGGTAGCACATGCCTGTAATCCCAGCTACTCTGGGAGCTGAGGTGGGAGGATTGCTTGAGTCCAGGAGGCAGAGGCTGCAGTGAGCAGAGATCACGCCATTGCACTCCAGCCTAGACAACCGAGCGAGAACATGTCTCAAAAATAAACAAGTAAAAAGTCTACAAGGAAAAGCAATGAGGGAAAAAAGGCGTGCCCACCCTGCAATGTGCAAACCCTTCCTCATTCTCCAGGCCTGGTTCTCCTGAATGCCCAGCTTTGTCTGCCCATGGCTGGCCATCTGAGGCTACTGTCCCCAGGATCTGGCACCCCCACAACCATCTCCCAGCCCTGGCAAGGCCCACTTCCATCTGCTGCCTCCAGCCCAGACTCCCAGCTCCTCCAAGGTGCAGATCTAGCCCATCCTGCTTCTGCCCTAGTCTTGGCCAGGCCCTGGGGCTGTTCAGCAGGCTTTTAGTCCAGCCCAGGCCTCACAGGTCTTTGCAGCCTCCTCCTTAGTGTGGCCTCACTCTTAGGCCCTTTCACCAAGAACTCCTCCAACTTCCCTCCTCTCCACTGGAAGCTCCAGTATCTCCTTTTCTCTCCTTGATCTCAGAAGAAAAAGGATGCCTTCTCATGTTCTAGGACCCAATTCCTTTCCTGAGTGCCCAACTTCTGTGCCTACTCCAGGCCTCACTGAGAGGCTTCTGTCATGACCCCTCAGCACCCCTCTCCTCTCCTCAGCCTCAGAGCTGGCTCAGGTTTCTCTGGGGTAAAACAGCCTTCATCCTGCCTTCCTTTGCCAGTACCCATCTTTTGTCACCTTCTGCCACATGAAATACCTCCTCAATCTACACTTCCTGCCCCTGCATTTACTTGTGAGCGTTCTGACATCTGGCTTCCATCCCCTGGGGCCCCAAAGTGACACAGTGTCAGAGACACAGAATTTAGAATCAGAAGACTCGAGTTCCAGTCTCTGCTCCACCTCCTAAGAGCTGGGTGATTTGTGATGTGTTTCCAAAACTTGTGGGAAGCCCAAGTACATAGTTCATATACAGCTCACTATGAACTATCACCTGTGACCTCACAGTCTTCTGACCCCTTGGCCTTTCTCTCTCCTCATCCTCTTCATCTTTCCCTGATTTCCCCACACAACCCTCTCTGAGCCTGATGTCCACTCCACCTGTCTGCTGGTGGCTCCCAAACCTGCATCTCTGTTACTTGCCTCTTTTCTGGACTCTGATTCTCTGAGTTCCAGAGACACTTGGAAATATCCTCTCAGGCATTCGGCCAGCTCCTCAAATTTAACATGCCAACAGTGAGATCCATCCTCAATTACGCTCAAATTGCCAAAAAGCAGTCAAAGCAGGGACTCAAGGCCACTAAGAAGTAAAAAACTTCTGAGGAAAGTATTTGATATTCCAAAAATGCATCAAAGCAGCTCATCCTGTTATGTGCCATGTATTGTGAATTACACAGGGGAGAAGTACCTAACATCTGCAGCAAGGGGAACTGTGAAAGCCTCAATTCAGTGTTTGATATCATCTTCATCTAAAGAGTTCATCCTCTTAGCCTTATTTTGCTAAGGTTAGCCTTGGTCCCTCATCATCTGAGCACCTACTTCAAAATAATCCTCGGCCAGGCACGGTGGCTCACGCCTGTGATACCAGCACTTTGGGAGGCCAAGGCCGGCGGATCACAAGGTCAGGAGTTTGAGACCAGCCTGACCAACAGTGAAACCCTGTCTCTACTAAAATTACAAAAATTAGCCAGGTGTGGTAGCACACACCCATAGTCCCAGCTACTCGGGAGGCTGAGGTAGGAGAATCACTTGATCCTGGGAGGCAGGTGGCAGTGAGCCGAGACCGTGCCATTACACTCCAGACTGGGCGAAAGAGTGAGACTCCACCTCAAAAAATAAAATAAAAATAAAAAAATAAAAAATAGGTCAGGTGTTGTGGCTCACGCCTGTAATCCCAGCACTTTTGGAGGCCAAGGCAGGTGGATCATGAGGTCAGGAGTTCAAGACCAGCCTGGCCAAGATGGTGAAACCCCGTCTCTGCTAAAAATACAAAAATTAGCCGGGCACAGTAGTGGGCGCCTGTAATCCCAGCTACTTGGGAGGCTGAGGCAGGAGAATCGCTTGAACCCGGGAGGTGGAGGTTGCAGTGAGCCGAGATCACGCCACTGCATTCTAGCCTGGGTGACAGAGAAGACTGTCTCGAAAATGAAAATAAAAATAAATAAATAAATAAATAATAAAAAATAATAATCCGGCTGGGTGTGGTGGCTCATGCCTGTAATCCCAGCACTTTGGGAGGCCAAGGCAGGCAGATCATGAGGTGAGGAGTTCAAGACCAGCCTGGCCAACATAGTGAAACCCCATCTCTACTAAAAATACAAAATAAAATTAGCCAGGCATGGTGGCTGGCGCCTGTAGTCCCAGCCACTTGAGAGGCTAAGGGAGGCGAATCACTTGAACCTGGGAGGCGGAGGTTGCAGTGAGCGGAGATCGTGCCACTGCACTCCAGCCTGGGCGACACAGCAAGACTCTGTCTAAATAATAATAATAATCCTCCAACTGGGTGCAGTGGTGTGTGCCTGTAATCCCAGCTACTTGGGAAGCTGAGGTAGGAGGATTACTTGAGCCTAAAAGTTCAAGACAAGCCTGGGCAACATAACAAGACCTTGTCTCCGAAAAAAAAGAAAAAAAAATCATCCTCCTCTCCTTCTCTCATGCCCCACATTTAGTTTTCGAATCCTGAGCCAAAGGCCCCACATGCTCCCTCCCCTCCCACCAGCACTGCCACCAGCTGCACCCAATCCTTGCTGGCTCTTGTCTGCAACACAGTCATTGCCTCCAACTAAGAGCCCATCCTAGGTCCCACCCTAACCCACCCATGCTATCCTCTACTATGGATCACTTCCTTGAAGCACAGAGCTCGAGGTGTTACACTTCTGTTCGCACAGTCAAGTGGCTCCCCCTTGACTCTTCAATCTAGCCCAAGCTCCCTGCCTACAAGTCAAAGGCCTCCCCAGTAGGACCCAGTCTAACTACCTTCCAGATCCATTGTTCACCACTTACTCCTCATAGATGCTGGGCTCTATCCAAACTGAACTTCTCACCATCTGGGGACATATGTTCCCTCTGCCCAAAATAATCTACCCCTGTCTCCACCTGTTGAGATCCATCCCTAAAGGATTATTCAATAAATAGTACTGGAACAATTGGTTAGTCATTTGGAGGAAATTTTTTAAATTCTTCACTCATACTATACACCAAAATATATTTCAGATAGTTAAACGTAAAATGTAAATATATAGTAAAATCACATATATAAAAAATAAAACCATAAAAAGCTTCCAAAAGTGTTCAAAAACATGACTACCGAATATCTGAAAGGGGAGAAGATCCTAGGCTTAAAGCAAAGAATGAAATTTCAAAAGAAACAAGCAATATATCTGACTCATTAAATAGAATTGGACTGGTTAAAATCAAACTGATAAGAAATGAACAGAGGGGTCCGGGCGCGGTGGCTCATGCCTGTAATCCCAGCACTTTGGGAGGCCGAGGCAGGCAGATCACAAGGTCAGGAGATCTAGACCATCCTGGCTAACACAGTGAAACCCCATCTCTACTAAAAACATAAAAAATTAGCCGGGCGTGGTGGCAGGCGCCTGCAGTCCCACCTACTCGGAAGGCTGAGGCAAGAGAATGGCATGAACCCGGGAAACGTGGCTTGCAATGAGCCAAGATCACGCCACTGCACTCCAGCCTGAGCGACAGAGCAAGACTCTCAAAAAAAAAAAAAAGAAAGAAAGAAAGAAATGAACAGAGGGGGCTGGGCGCAGTGGCTCATGCCTATAATCCCAGCACTTTGGGAGGCCAAGGCGGGCGGATCACGAGGTCAAGAGATCAAGACCATCCTGGCCAACATGGTGAAACCCTGTCTCTACTAAAACTACAAAAATTAGCTGGGCACGGTGGTCACATGCCTGTAGTTCCAGCTACTCAGGAGGCTGAGGCAGGAGAATCCGTTGAACCCAGGAGACAGAGGTTGCAGTAAGCTGAGATCATGCCACTGCACTCCAGCCTGGTGACAGAGTGAGACTCTGTCTCAAAAAAAAAAAGAAATGAACAGAGAGATAGTCCTTTTCATGAACTGAATGTTGGTGTCCTCTATGTAGGGAAGTTGCATTAGAGAGGAGAAATCAGAAAGTTGGTTAGCAAGAAACCAGAGAAGGAGCTGGGTGGACATCTTTCACAAAGGTCAAGTGATGCCTGACATTGCATTCCTTCCTTAGGGATTTTAATGTCTCAATCCTCTCCAAGGATTGAATTGTTCACGACCCAAAATTTGGTATCTTCCTCTGAACTCTCCTTCTTCTAGGAAACTGATGTCAAATCCACCCTACCTGCTGGCAGCTCCCACACCTAATTACTACTGACCCATGTGGATGCACCCGAATTCACATTTATTGAGCACTCACTGTAATTCAGGCATTACGCTAAACATGTTTCAAGGATTACTGCCCAACAACCCTACAAGGTATTTTTTTTTTTAGTGCAGTTGTCCCCAACATCCTCTTTGATTCGTGTCTTTTCAAAATAATAATAATTACTTTATTGGGGTCTAATTTCTCTATAATAAACTACATTTGAATGAGTTTTGGCAAATCTGTGAAATCACTACCATAAACAAGACACAGAATACATCACCCTTAAAAGTTTCCTTGTATTACCCTTTCCAATCTGTCCCTCCATATTCAGGCCCAGGCAACTACTGATTTGCTCTCTGACACACACACACACAGACACATACACACACACCTTCCTCTTTCATATACTTTTATATAAATGGGGTCATACAAACTGTGTGATCATACTTTCACTTCCCTCGGGTAAATACCTAGAAGTGGAGGCTGGCTGCGGTGGGTCACGCCTGTAATCCTAGCACTTTGGGAGGCCGAGGTGGGTGGATTGCCTGAGCTCAGGTGTTCGAGACCAGCCTGAGCAACACGGTGAAACCCTATCTCTACTAAAATACAAAAAATGAGCTGGGTATGGCTATAGTCCCAGCTACTTAGGAGGCTGAAGCAGGAGAATTGCTTGAACCCAGGAGGCAGAGGTTGCAGTGAGCCAAGATTGTTCCACTGCACCCCAACCTGGGCAACAGAGCAAGACTGCTCAAAAAAAAAAAAAAAGTGGAAATGTTGGGTCTTATTTTATGAAAGGTATATAAGAAACTGCCAAACTGTTTCCCAAAGCATTTATACCATTTTATATCCTTACTAGCAATGTATGAGTTCCAGTTTCTTCACATCCTTCTCAACACTTGATGTTACATTTTTTAATTTTAGCCATTCTAGTTGGTATTTCATTCTGACTTTAATTTATATTTCCCTAATGATGAATAATGTTGAGCACTGTTTCATGTGCTTACTGGCTTTTTTGACGAAGTGTCTGTTAAAATCTTTCACCTTTTATATTGGGTTATCTATTATTTGTGTTCTTTACAAGTCCATTGTTGGATTCACTATCTATGAATAACTACATTTAGGCTGGGTGTGGTGGCTCACATCTGTAATCCCAGCACTTTGGGAGGCTGAGGCGGGCAGATCACCTGAGGTCAGGAGTTCAAGACCAGCCTGGCCAACATTGTGGAACCCCATCTCTACTAAAAATACAAAAATTAGCCGGGTGTGGTGGCGGTTGCCTGTAATCCCAGCTACTCAGGAGGCTGAGGTAGGAGAATTGCTTGAACCCGGGAGGTGGAGGGTGTAATGAGCTAAAATCACGCCACTGCACTCCAGCCTGGGTGACAGAGCAAGACTCAAAAAAAAAAAAAAAAAAATTTAAGGATGAGGACATTTTGGCTTTGGAAAATCAAGTAACTGGTCAAGGTCACAGATTCAAACCCAGTGCAGTTGCAGAGCCTACACTTTTTAACACTATTCCAATTCTGCCTCTTGTTACACCTCAATGCTTACAACAAAAAGACCTCATAGGAATTATTCATTTTATTGATAAAGAAACTAAAGATTGGCAGTCAATTTCCTTAACCACTTTAATATGGCTAACTGTGGGGACAGTTAACTGATCTCTGGATCCCAAATCTAACCTCATCCTAAATCATCTTCTTTCTATATTGTTCCCACAGTGATCTTTCCAAAATGTGAACCTGATCACATACGGTGGCTCCAGACTCTGGGGTAGGCACTAACTCTCCCGCACTGCAAATGGCTTTCCTTGATCTAATCCACCCTCCAGTGTCATCTACGACCATTCTTCAGGCATACACACCCCCAGCTGCTCTGAGCTCCCAGCATCAGGCCCTGGGTGCCTCTGCACTGCCGTCTCCTATGCTGGGTGGCTCTTCTCCAGAGTTGCCAGGCCAACTGCAGTTTGCCCTTCAGAGTCAGCTCATGCCTCCTCTAGGGAACCCCACAGGCTGGTCAGAACCCGCTTCCGAGTGCTCCAAAGGATCTCCCTCCCCCCGGTCGCCAGTGTATAGACTGGAACTCTGTTCCCAGCACACAACCAGCGCGAGCAGGCTGGGGCCTGAGTATGCTCAGCTAACGCCCCGGAAGCGAGAAGGAGGGAAGTGGACGACACCGGAGTCTAAAGTAAAAGTGTCACGGGAAGAGGCGCGTAGACAGACGCAGCGGGCGGCTGAGTCACGCTAAGGCTGGCAAGTCCCCAGGGCTAGAAACCGAGCAGTAACACTAGCCTACTCTCAGCTTGCCGCCCGCCCGGCGCGGCCCCTGACGTCACCCCTCTGCGCCACGCCGCCGCGGCGCTTCCGGCCGCGAGGCCGCGGAGGGCGGGACGGAGTGACTTCACGGGAAATCGCGCGCCGGAAGTGGCTAGGGCTGCACGGAAGTCGCGGGGGCGGGGCGCGGAGGCGATGGGGGGGCGGCGGCGGCCGGCGATGAGCGGCGGGAGCGCGTGAGCGAGCCGGGCGGGCGAGGCTGGGGGGCCCCGGAGCGCGAGCCGGAGGGCGGGGGCGCGAGCGCGGCGGGCGGTGGCGGCGAGGCGGCGGCCTAGAAGATGGCGGACGGCGACAGCGGCAGCGAGCGCGGCGGCGGCGGTGGGCCGTGCGGGTTCCAGCCCGCGTCCCGCGGCGGCGGCGAGCAAGAGACGCAGGAGCTGGCCTCGAAGCGGCTGGACATCCAGAACAAGCGCTTCTACTTAGATGTGAAGCAGAACGCCAAGGGCCGCTTCCTCAAGATCGCCGAGGTGGGCGCGGGCGGTTCCAAGAGCCGCCTCACGCTGTCCATGGCGGTGGCCGCCGAGTTCCGCGACTCGCTGGGCGACTTCATAGAACACTACGCGCAGCTGGGCCCTAGCAGCCCCGAGCAGCTGGCGGCTGGCGCCGAGGAGGGCGGCGGGCCGCGGCGCGCGCTCAAGAGCGAATTCTTGGTGCGTGAGAACCGCAAGTACTACCTGGACCTCAAGGAGAACCAGCGCGGCCGCTTCCTGCGCATCCGCCAAACGGTCAACCGCGGCGGTGGCGGCTTCGGCGCGGGCCCCGGGCCGGGCGGCTTGCAGAGCGGCCAGACCATCGCGCTGCCTGCGCAGGGCCTCATCGAGTTCCGCGACGCGCTGGCGAAGCTCATAGACGACTACGGAGGCGAGGACGACGAGCTGGCAGGCGGCCCGGGAGGCGGCGCCGGGGGCCCAGGGGGCGGCCTGTATGGAGAGCTCCCGGAGGGCACCTCCATCACCGTGGACTCCAAGCGCTTCTTCTTCGATGTGGGCTGCAACAAATACGGGGTGTTTCTGCGAGTGAGCGAGGTGAAGCCGTCCTACCGCAATGCCATCACCGTACCCTTCAAAGCCTGGGGCAAGTTCGGAGGCGCCTTTTGCCGGTATGCGGATGAGATGAAAGAAATCCAGGAACGACAGAGGGATAAGCTTTATGAGCGACGTGGTGGGGGCAGCGGCGGCGGCGAAGAGTCAGAGGGTGAGGAGGTGGATGAGGATTGAAACGGGCAGCTTCCCCTACAGGCCTCCACCCAACCACCATCCCCTTGGCTAGAGAATTCCCTTTCCTGCTCATCCCCAGTGAGCTAGTGGAGAGGGAGCAAGGGAGGCCGCAGAGGGAAAAAACAAAACGTAACACAGTTAAGAGAAATAATCGTAAGAGAACAGTGACGGACAACTTGAGAAAAGCAGTCAAGTTCCAAGGAACTGACAGCAACCTGCAAAGAGGAAAACAGCATCTCCTCACCTGCGTAAAATTGTCTCAGCTTCTGTTGTTTCTCAACTGAGGTTCGTAAACCCATCAGGATAATCCCTGGAGGGAATAGATCCTTGCACATCCAGGGCAAGAAACATGTCCAAGTTACCCAGACCATTGATAACAGTTGCATTTAGGTTGCACCTGGGTAATCTGGCATAAAAGATCTCTCTAGGCCTCACTGTTGCGGTGTCTATCCCTTCACCTCCATTGAAATCAGCATTTTGGATCTAGGTCTTCATGGAATCCTTGAGAAGAGAGGCCTTTACAATTACCCAGTTCTGAGGGTTCAGGTTCACGAAAAGAAATGCAACTTGGGATAATCATGAACAGGTTAAAGATAAGATTTCAAGAAGCCATCTAAGAATACAGAACCAAATTGGATCCATTTTTTTAAAAAAATGGTTTTGCATGGAACCTGGACCAAGGCAAATGTCTTTTCTTCGCAGAATTGTTTTCCAGGATGCCAGTGGATTCAGATAGCAATGCTTGGAGTAGAATCCGTTACTAAAATAGTTTCAAAGTTGACAAAAAATTTTCAAAGATAAAAGCAGTTTTACATTGGGGGTTGCTGAGGTAGGCACAAGAAAAAGTCAGGCATAAAGCACAAGGCAGACTGTTTGAGTGGATTGGTTGCTGCTCACTAAAGTTGTTCCCCTGATCTCTAAATATGGAGGTCATTACCAAGAAATGCTTTGGTATGAATGAGAGCCAGATCTCCACTGTGTGAGCCAGTGAATTATGGCTAATTCGGCTGTTACAGCCACTGGTTGGCTGGATTTTAAACCATAAAACTTGAAGATTACCTACAAAAGTAACAGTGTGGCTATAAGCCTGAGCTTTAATGGATATACATCCTCACAGAAAAGTTGGAAATAACCAAAACTGAAGTCTTAATTTACCTTCAGTTTAATCTGTGGATTTGTTCAAATACTAAAGATCCTCAGGTCCAGAATTCCAGCATCATTTATTCTTTTAAAATTTTTAAGAACTTGATCCATTGTATCAGTACCTCACAATCAGAGTTGGCAAATGATGGATGAGTGATTCAAGCAGTGCACCCGGTGGAAGCTGAAATCCATCTGTGAATGGAACTGAAGTGAACGTGAATATGCTGACTATATCCTGGAAGCATTTTTATACCATCTTGAAATTTCAACAAACTGGCTTTTGCCAGTTAATCCAGCTGTCTTTCAAGAATAAAAGTTGGGGTTTTCAAGGATCGCCTCTTCTATATTTTAAATGGATTTTCAGTAGAAATGATTTTTACTAATCAAGTTAATCCCACCCCATCAAAAGGTATTCCTAGAAATGTCATAGACCTAGGTAACTTTGAATTGAATGGGAGCTAACGTTCTTTCCAAAGTTTTCAGGTATTCTTTGTGTGACACCTTCTCAACCAGGAGGCAAGTAACCCCGCCTCCACAATCTTAGTATTTTTTTTAAACTGCATGCCTGCCCCTTATTTGAGCTGCCTTTTTAATTTATTGCATATCCTTTTTATTATCTTATTTTGGTATTATTCAATCTATACAATCTTTTTGTATTTATTGGGAAATGAGTAATATACAAAAAGGTTTTCATGTATTTGTGGCTGAGAGGGCGGGAAATAATTGTGTACATAAAATTAGGCTTTTTTAAAAAAATAGATTATGATGCAGAATATTGTTGATCTTAGATTAAAAAGTGGAAGAGCCACAAACATTGGTGCCCTTTTCAGACTATTTCTCTACTCTCATCATCCACAGTAGAATTTTTAAACAGATTTTTTTAAAGCTTTTCTTTTAAATTTTTCTCCGTTGCAAAGAATGTTTCCTAAATTGTATGGGAGCAATAGTATTTTTGATGTTTTAATGACATCCGTATACTTGTACTGTATTTTGTACTACAAGGCAGCTGTTTTTCAATAATGTCCTGCTGTATTTACCTACGTGTTTTGAGTGTCTATTTCTTTGCTGCGGAGAACAAATTCCTAAATAGTTTTAGTAAAGGAGCTGAGAAGCTAGCATTAGGTTTGCAGAAACTATTTAAGTTTCAACTCTGAGGCAGCAATGAAAATTTAAGTTGCAGCTATTAGTTGATTGCTGTAACTTTTTCATTTTCAAACCATGTACAATTCTTGTATAGACCAACTTGTTTTCTTGCTTCAGTGGTGGTTCTGTTGCTCAGCTGCAGTGAGCCAGTTCAATTTTGCAAAGGTGCAGTACCTCTCCTTTTTAAGGGGTTGGTTTATTCTTTTTTCTTTTTGTTTGGCTGAATTGCAGTAACTAGCCTTGCCTTTCTATTCTGTAGAAATGACAGGGTCTTCACAATCCTTCACCAGTGGCTACTAAGCTATAATTAGCTGAATAGAAAGAATGTGGAAGTGGTCTGAGGCATATAGAGTATATGCCAAGAACACTACCATATATGGCATCAGCTTTGGTTACCAGAGAAATTTTCTTAGTCATTAGACCATGTAACAGTAATATATCATATGTAAATCTTTAGATATCAATTTGAAAATCCTCCAAAAAAAGGAGCAAAGAATGCATAAGCTATGTGTTGGCAAAAGTAATTTATATTAAAATTTTGACCTGCCTATGTAAGATTAAGTGGTAATGTCATAGTGGTGGGTTTTTAAGTCTTAACCAATCTCTAAGGTTTGTTTCTCCTGCAAGGGATGGTTCATGGCCTCTCTTCCCACTGCAGGAAGATTGCAGAAGGCTGTGGATTAATTGTAGCATTTCACTGATCTTCACTCCAGTCACTAGGGACAATAGAAACCTGCAAAACACAGATTCATTCGTAAATATTATTAATAGCTTATTAAAGGAAATGGTCTTTGTTAATTCCAGTCAGATAATGGCATTGTACAGACATGGGAAACAACCAATTTTTTTGTTTTTCAGTTGTTGCTATGAATGATTTTGAGCCTTTTTTTTTAAGCTTGGCAAACATCCCAGCTAATCAAAATAGTCATATTCCTGAGAAGTAGGAAACTAAAACTTCTTTTCATATAATTGTTAGAAGGTTTGTTTCCCAAACTACCATAGTTACAAAGGTGAAAAGCCAAATTTTAGGAACAGAATCAAAAGAATAAAAATCTGTGAAGAGATCCTACTACTCTTCCTTCTATGTTTTGGTTTTGGTTTCTATTGTCCCTATCATTTCAGCAAGTGGAACAGCAGCAAGTTTTTCAGTGCATATGCTGCACAAGAACAAAATATAAATCTGTATGGCACCAAAAATCAAAGTGAAAACCAAACCAAAAACCCAAACACCCTATGTAACTATCGGAGGCATATACGTGGTATAAATGACTGTAGCTGTGATACACACATGGCTACTTGTCACATCACTTTCCATAATTATTTACTGCAAAATGATTGAGAGGCTTTTGGTGCAGGCAGCCGTTAACCTCCTGCTTCCTTTGTTACCTCTGGATTACTTTGCAGTAAATTGCAGGTCTTTTAAGAGATTTAAGCTTCAGTTTTCTCAAAACAAAACAATTATCCTGTCTTATCTGAAGATGCAGGGTTGTGGGCAAAAGAGGCTGGTTATAATAATGCCCTCATATTGAGTGGTCTGTAAACGGCTGCACACTTCAGGCACTGTAGTTGCTGAAGATGCTTTGTTAAATGTGACCTTGACTGGCTTTACAGGGGTGTAGAATGTAATCTACACAAGGTGACTTTGCATCTATCTTGCTCTTGAGGTGGATGAAATTGAGAAGCTGGAGTGTGTAAGCCATGCACATAAGTATTCTTCACTGTAAATTTTGTTTTCATTTTTAACCCAATTATGGTACTTTATCCAATGCACAACTGATCTCTCAGTAGATATTCATTTGAAAATAGTGTGGCCTTGATCAGTGAGAAAGGGAAGGAGAAAAGTGACTTTTTTGCTTATGTAGAAATGACTCATTTGCTGAGAGTTTGTCTTTCTGCAGCACTCTTGGTATATAGTGATCGGTCTCCTTTTTGATTGGGGAAAGTTAATGTTTTTGACCCTGGAGTTAATTCAGTTGAGTTATCTTATATTTTTAGGAAGTATCAGAATTGCTCTGATGAATAACAAAGTTGACTGTTTTGATGTCCAATCTCAGGTTTTAGAATATAGTGGTGTAAAGTCCCACTATTTTTAATTCTTAAAACAACTTTAATTTCGTACACCCTAAAAGTCACATGCATAAGGCCTGTTCAGAGAGCAGAGCCTCCATCTTTTTGCTCCTTTTCTACTTTGTACTTCACTTGAAAAAATATCAAGTGACTTTACATTGTATATTTCCATTGTAACCCTGACATTTCTCAAAGATAAAGCACTTTTTGATCATGAAATACATGAAATCTTTGTGTGATGTGGATCATAGTTTCTCAGGCTCCCTTAGATAATTGCTTATGAATATTGTTCTAACTCTGTGTAAGAAGAGTAGAAATCTTTGCTAATGTTAGAAGGTTTGTATTATTGATCCAGAATGCATTTTGCTAGTTTCCAATGGATGGGAGAGTAAATAATGCTGCATTCACAATTTAATAAGTTACTTTCCCTTGAGCCTTAAGGTAACTTTTTCTTTCCTGTCAACTACAGCACTGAAGTTATAGTAAGTGAATGAGATTATCAGTTTTCAGGGTTGGTTTTAGAGTACTGTAAATCAATTAGCTGTCTTCCTAAAGAGTTACAACTCCCATTCAGTATACTGGATAATGGGTGTGTGGGTGGGGCTGGGGAGGGCGGGAGATAGTTTGTAGAAAAGAAAAAAGAAAAAAAAAAAAACACATTTACCTTAAGAAAATACAGACAAAAAAGAATAAAGTATGTGTCATATGCTCCATTTGAGATTCCAAATGCGGCCGGGCGTGGTGGCTCACGCCTGTAATCCCAGCACTCTGGGAGGCTGAGGTGGGCGGGTCAGTTCAGGTCAGCCTGGACAACATGGTGAAACCCCGTCTCTACTAAAAATACTAAAATTAGCCGGGCATGGTGGTGCATGCCTGTAGTCCCAGCTACTTGGGAGGCTGAGGCAGGAGAATGGCATGAACCCAGGAAGCGGAGGTTGCAGTGAGCCAAGATCGCGCCATTGCACTCCAGCCTGGGTAACAGAACAAGACTCCGTCTCAAAAAATAAATAAATAAATTCCAAATGTAAGGTGGAAATGGCAGATTATAACTTCATTTCCCCCATTTTTAACTTAGAAAAAACAAAGTCCTTAATTTTCAAGTATTAGCCCCCCAGAAGTTTCAGCAGATAGCTGGACTCTTGAATAATGATTTCTTTTGATATGTCTGACTTTGCTATTTAAAGTCTCCTTTCCCAGCCCTCAGTCTTAAAACTCAGTTTTATTACTGACGGATTTAACAGACTCTTACTTGAAAATTGTCCAATTATCAGTACTGAAAATTAGATTTGGAAAATGAAAAAATAATAAAATCGCATCAAGAAAACTTATTACCTTAGAGATTCCCAATTGATATCTGTACCCCTGATCCAAGTAAGGCCTTTATGAATGTATTTTATATTTCCTAAAGAAATAGGGAATATGCCATCAGTGTAATCACCTCTATTCACAGTCATTTAATTTGAAAATCTAACTCATGTCTCTTGAATTAGACATTCCAATTGGGATAGGTAGAGTCATGTTAAAACAATAGAATAGCAACTGCCATATTGGTAGTTTCACTGCTCAATATGATTTCTAATAAGAGCAGAGCTTTATTGGAAGCTAAAACTCATTTTTCTCCATAGATGATTCTAACAGTTTAATAAAAAAGTATAATTATACTTTAAGTGTCAACAGATTTTGAGTCTAGAAGCAAATTTCATTTTCCTTGTGTTATATCTAATATCCATTGACATGGGTAAGAAAACTAATTATGTCTTTTTAGTATGATGAAATGTGGGCCCAGAGTATTGGAAAGAAAGCAATAGCCCTATTCAGTGTCCACTAGGATGGATATTGCAGAAGGCATGAGTTTGTCCTTTTTTCCCCCTTACCTTAAATAACACTTCAATAGCTAACTTTTTCCAAAATATCCATTTAGGCCATCTCTTATTTCTTAAAGCCAAATATTTCGTCCCCAGTCTTAACTCTGAGTTGCAAGATCAGGCTGGTTGGAAGAATCTTTATATTTAGAAATAGGATGGTGAGTGGTTTGTTTATTCTCTTGTAAAATTCCTTTTTCAGAGACATAACTGCAGGGAGAGTCCCAAGAGAACTGAAGAACTGGATTATATCATTAAACACATTTGTGTTGTAGGAATTTGGGAGTTTCATTTTGAACTGATAAGATATTAGACATAAACCCTTGTTCCAGCCCACATGTGTCATCCCTGTGTACAAAAGCTCTCTGGATTCTTTTTTTTTTTTTGAGACGGAGTTTCGCTCTTATCGTCCAGGCTGGAGTGAGTGTAGTGGCTTGATCTCAGCTCACTGCAACCTTTGCCTCCCGGGCTCAAGCGATTCTCCTGCCTCAGCCTCCCAAGTAGCTGGGATTACAAGCATGTGCCACCATGCCCAGCTAATTTTCTGTATTTTTAGTAGAGACGGGGTTTCACCATGTTGGCCAGGCTGGTCTCGAACTCCTGACCTCAAGTGATCTGCCCGCCTCAGCTTCCCAAAATGCTGGAATTACAGGCATGAGCCATCACGCCTAGCCTACTCTCTGAATTTCTAAAAGTCAGTAGGTTGACCAAAAAGTCTAGAAACTGGCTTTAAGTCAGTATGGGACGTACTTATAAAGAGTCCATGGTTTTGCACGTTTCGGTAGACAAGTAAATCTGAGTTATTTTTCAATGACTTACCAATATTTGAATAGTAACTAAGATCGTCAGTGTATCTGGACTTCTTTTTTTGAAGTTCTAAAACAATTATAGTAGGGATTTATTATTTTGGGCCTCCATCCAGATGTTTTTCCAAGATCATTTTTAAAATTCATTTGTCTTCTGTTTCCAGATAACATACTTTCCGTTCTATAGGAATCTTCACTGCCAATCATAGTATCTACCAGTGGCTTTCTTAGACTATTCACTCCAAAGCTGGGACTGATGTCCTGCCAGTAGAGAATCTACAGAAATAATTTGAATGAATTAAAACCAAATCTTGATAGCAGGAGACAGCTTCCTGATCTAGATGTACAATTAGAGTTTAGGTTGGAAATTACTTTAAAATGTGTTTTTTGGGGATGTCTTCAATCTCTGTGTAAATACCCACATGCTTATGCATTGTAAACCAAGTGTGTATTCCTGTGTATGAATTTGTAGAACTGATTTCTGCTTCAAGAGAAGCTGCACCTTTAATTTTATAAGGTCCCCTCCACCTGTAACCCTATAAATGTCTGTAAATAAAACACTAAAATTTGTAGTGATAGGATCAATTTGGGAATATCTGCTGAGAGACCAAAAAGTTCATTTTTTTAAGTACCTTGGTTAAAGAGTAAAGATTATTCCTCTTATTTTTTAAAGAAGAATGCACTTTAACAAACATAGAGCTGCATGGGCAATTCAAACAAATCTGTGAAGTGCAGTACCCATTCAGAAATCACACTTCCTGAAAACCGTTCAAAAGCAGAGTCCAGACGGGCTGTTGATCTCACTGCCTGTAGGTTGAAGCTCAGATTCTGATCAATTTTGAGAGGAGCAGGGCTGCTTCAAAAGAGCAATGTGAATACAGTCAGAAGCTTCAGACTGGTCTGTAAAAATGGCGGGTCCCGTATTTACCACTAACTAGCAAAACTGACAGAAAAACTCACAGAGAAAAAATGTAAGAATCCTTCCTGCTGGTGTGCACTCCTTACAATAGACTTTTGCAAATGGAGTTTTACAGTCTATATTTAAAAAAAATTGTATGTTTGTAACAAATAAAGTATGCAGAAAAGTGAATGACAATCTTGTGCTTGTGTCTCTAAGTAATTATGTGGTGATAGGGGAGGGAAATCCCATCTGTTGGGGCTCACGAATGGGTATGGAATCAGGAGTTCCCACTTAAAATGACTTAAGTCATTGCACATTTCATCTGAACTATAGCCTGTTCTAGAACTTCTGGGTTGCCGTAACCCTTTTCTAGTAAGCAATTTGTGGAGTAAATCAAAACTGCAAATTAATTTTATGCTTTGGTTGATAACCTAGACAGCCACTTGGTTCCCTTAATTTCTTCCATCATTTACAATGGCTTGAAAGAAACTGCTAAGTCTTCATTCATTGTTTATCAACATTGTAGTTGCTTAGGAGGTAAATTAGGGCAGCCTTTTCTTGCCCTAATGTTTAAGAAAAAAACTGAATTGTGTCCATTTATCCTGGCCAGGTTGGTCTCAGGAACCCCTTTACAATTAAATTTACTGAATATCCCCAAGGAGGTTTTATCTTTCTAGGCTTTATCCGTAGATACCATTTTAGAAGCTGAAACTTTTTTTTTTTTTTTGAGACGGAGTCTTGCTCTGTCGCCAGGCTGGAGTACAGCAGCGCAATCTCAGCTCACTGTAACCTCCGCCTCCTGGGTTCAAGCGATTCCCCTGCCTCAGCCTCCCAAGTAGTTGTGATTACGGGCACGTGCCACCACGCCCGGCTAATTTTTTGTATTTCAGTAGAGACAGGGTATTACCATGTTGGCCAAGATGGTCTTAATCTGACCTCGTGATCTACCCATCTCAGCCTCCCAAAGTGTTGGGATTACAGGCGTGAGCCACCGCGCCGGCCAAGAAGCTGAAACATTTTCCAGACAAAAATAACAAGCACACATTCCATCAGCTATCAGAGCAATTACATGATAATGTCATAGCCTCTGGAAAACTCCACTGTAAATTTATGAAAGAATGAAAGTGGAAAATGCGAATGTTCTTATGAACATAGTTTTGACCTCTTGGGCTCCTGAGTCTCGGGCAACCCTAGGGGATTCTGGATCACACTCTTGAGAACCACTAACTAGACTAATAAGTAAATAGTGCCTTTCTGAAAATGAGGGATGGTTTTTTATGTATAGATAGCTTAATCCTTTAGTTCTCGTATATTTTCTTTATATTAGAAGCTCCTGCTACGAAATGCCTACACCGCCCCCAGCCCCCCCAACACACAACATACATAACTTTCCTGTGATTGTCCATTTCTACAATCTCTTAAGTGGTTCTCAATGCTGGCTGCAGAACCACCTGGAAAGCTTTGAATACTGATGCCCAGGCACCACCATAGACCAACTGAATCAATCTTTGAGACACAGACATGGAGTTTTTTGGTAATGCTTTGCCTTTTTGAGTTCCCCAAGGTGATTCTAGCCTACAGTCAGGGGTGAAACCAGTGGCCTGTGGGATTTTAAGGTATAAAGAAGGGAAAAGGGTTGGGAATCTCTGCCAGAGGAAAACAAAAGAGTATAGCAGAACATTCCTTGAATGTATGGCTTTCACCTCCCAACCACTGTGCCTAAATTACCACTTAAACCTCTAAAATAACTCATCTTGAGAAAAGTTTGTAAATGGAATCCTTCAGTATTGATATTAGTAGTCCCTCCCTGGGAAAATCTGGGGTTTTACTAGCACAGAGGAACCCTTAGCATGCATCGGAGTCACTTAGAGGGCTGGTTAAAACATGGATTACTGAGTTTCTGATTTAGCAGTTCTAGAGGGAACTTAAGTTGCATTTCTTTTTTTTTTTTTTCCCCTTGAGACAGAGTTTCACTCTTGTTGCCCAGGCTGGAGTGCAATGGCACGATCTCGGCTCACTGCAACCTCCACCTCCCAGGTTCAAGTGATTCTCCTGCCTCAGCCTCCCGAGTAGCTGGGATTACAGGCACGTGCCACTGTGCCCAGCTAATTTTTGTATTTTTAGTAGAGACAGGGTTTCTCCATGTTGGCCAGGCTGGTCCCAAACTCCTGACCTCAGGTGATCCACCCGCCTCAGCCTCCCAAAGTGCTGGGATTATAGGCGTGAGCTACCGTGCCCAGCCTTAAGTTGCATTTCTAACAAGTTCCCAGATAATGCTGATCCTGCTGATTTGAGGACCATGCTTGGGGACTAACTGCAGAAATCAACAAAAGTTATGGAAAGAATTAGCTTAGTTGCCAACTGACACAGGTCTCAGGAAGTATTTGCCCTGATGAGTTAGTCTGCTGTAGTGCTGCTGAGGCTGGGTTTGGTTCACTAGAAACCCTGTAGATGGTTTGAATTTTTCAGATTCATGTGAAGTTTGTTACTGTACAAGTTTAAACAATAGATGCAGCCAGGCTACAGCCTGAAGAGCTGCATTAGAGCAAATGCCTGCAGGAACAGGGCTATTACCTTTATAGTTTTTGTATTTTTTCATGTCATGACTATCCCTGACTGTTCTAAACTAACAGTCTGATTTTGGGCAAGTACCTTCAGTACCAAAATCTTTTTTTTTTTTTTTTTTTGAGACATAGTCTCACTCTGTCACCCAGGCTGGAGTGTAGTGGCGTGATCTCAGCTCACTGCAACCTCCACCTCCTGGGTTCAAGCAATTTTCTGCCTCAGCCTCCTGAGTAGCTGGGATTACAGGCGCCCGCCGCCATGCCCAGCTAATTTTTTCTTTTTATTTTTAGTAGAGACTGGGTTTCACCAAGTTGGCCAGGCTGGTCTTGAACTCCTGACCTCATGATCCACCTGCCTTAGCCTCCCAAAGTGCTGGGATTACAGGCGTAAGCCACCACGCCCAGCCCCAAAATCTTTTAATAACAATTCTTAGCTCAGATCGTTTGTAAATTCATTCAGTTAATTATTGGGTAGCTGCTATATTCCAGGTATTGTACTAGGGTAGAGGATACGGTTGTCGTTCATATGGGACTTATAGTTTAGTGGGTCGGGAGAAAGAAGAGAAAGCTTTTAGGAAGAACTAGTCTCCCTAGCTACTAACCAGGCCTCCATTCAAGCAATAGATAATTTGATTTGCAACATCGTTCCTGACCCAGACATTTGCTCCTTACAAGAGACAGCCCCATTTAAATTTAAAAGAAAAGGAAATACTCCCTACACAAGACAGATGTTTAACTTATCTTAGACATCCATGGTACCTTATGTAGACCCCTCAGTGGACCTAATTAAGGTCTCCAAACTAGTTAATGACAACAGCAAACATACATCTAAATTAGCTCTCTTGACATGACACCATGTTGTTATAGAAAGGACAAACTTCTTACTCCTATACTGTGTGTCTGAGATGACACAACAAATCCACTGGTAGTTTGTAGAACAGAGGTTGGAGAGAATGGACTAAGTCTCTCAAGCCTGTGGGTAACACAGAGATTGCCCTAGACTCAACCCTCACACACACTTCCCCACCTTCTCACATGCAGGACTGTACCAGGAATTCCTCCACGCAACCCTACACTGTCCTCACACTCAAAATCATCCTATCCTTTGCCTCATTTACTCAGTACCCCTTATAGTTGGTGGCCATTTCTTTTCTTTTTTGAAGTTATAGTCTCCAAACTTTCTTTTATTACAAAATTAATGCAACTCATTTTTACAAAGATGAACAGTATAGATTCTCTGTAAAGACATAAATGAGCTCTCCCTCTCCCTCTCCCTCTCCGTCTCTCTCCCTCCCGCTCTCGCTCTCACTCTCCGTCTCCCTCTTTCTACAGTCTCCCTCTCTTGCGGAGCCTGGACTGTACTGCCATGATCTCGGCTCACTGCAACCTCCCTGCCTCGGGCTCCGGTGATTCTCCTGCCTGGGCCTGCCGGGTGCCTGGCATTCCAGGCACGCGCCGCCACTCCTGACTGGTTTTTGTATTTTTGGTGGAGACGGGGTTTCGCCATGTTGACCAGGCTGGTCTCCAGCTCCTGGCCTTGGGTGATCTGCCCGCCTCGGCCTCCCGAGGTGCTGGGATTGCAGACGGAGTCTCGCTCACTCAGTGCTCAATGTTGCCCAGGCTGGAGTGCAGTGGCGTGATCTCGGCTCGCTGCAACCCCCACCTCCCAGCCGCCTGCCTTGGCCTCCCAAAGTGCTAAGATTACAGCCTCTGCCCACCCGCCACCCCGTCTGGGAAGTGAGCAGAGTCTCTGCCTGGCCGCCGATCATCTGGGATGTGAGAAGCGCCTCTGCCCGGCCGCCCCATCTGGGAAGTGAGGAGCGCCTCTGCCCGGCTGCCCCGAATGGGAAGTGAGGAGTGCCTCTGCCTGGCCACCCCCATCTGGGAAGTGAGGAGCGCCTCTGCCCGTCCGCCACCCCATCTAGGAAGTGAGGAGCGTCTCTGCCTGACTGCCCATCGTCTGGGATGTGAGGAGCGCCTCTGCCCGGCCGCCCATCGTCTGGGAGGTGAGGAGCGCCTCTCCCTGGCCGCCCCGTCTGGGAGGTGAGGAGCGCCTCTGCCCGGCCGCCCCGTCTGGGAGGTGAGGGGCGCCTCTGCCCGGCCGCCCCGTCTGGGAGGTGGGGAGCGCCTCTGCCCGGCCGCCCCGTCTGGGAGGTGGGGAGCGTCTCTGCCTGGCTGCCCCGCCTGTGAAGTGAGGGGCACCTCTGCCCGGCCGCTCTTCGTCTGGAAGGTGAGGAGCGCCTCTGCCCGGCCGCCCAGCCTGGGAAGTGAGGGGCGCCTCTGCCCGGCCGCCCTTCGTTTGGGAGGTGGGGAGCGCCTCTGCCCGGCCGCCCCGTCAGGGAAGTGGGCGCCTCTGCCCAGCCACCCCGTCTGGGAGGTGAGGGGCGTCTCTGCCCAGCCACCCCGTCTGGAAGGTGAGGAGTGCCTCTGCCCCGCCGCACCATCTGGGAAGTGAGGAGCGCCTCTGCCCGGCCACCACCCCATCTGGGAGGTGAGGAGCGCCTCTGTCCGGCCGCCACCCCGTCTGGGAGGTGGGGAGCACCTCTGCCCGGCTGCCCTGTCTGGGAAATGAGGAGCGCCTCTGCCCGGCCACCACCCCGTCTGGGAGGTGAGGGGCGCCTCTGCCCGGCCGCCCCGTCTGGAAGGTGAGGGGCGCCTCTGCCCGGCCGCCCCGTCTGGGAGGTGAGGGGCGCCTCTGCCCGGCCGCCCCGTCTGGGAGGTGGGGAGCGCCTCTGCCCGGCCGCCCCGTCTGGGAGGTGGGGAGCGCCTCTGCCCGGCTGCCCCGTCTGGGAGGTGGGGAGCGCCTCTGCCCGGCCGCCCATCGTCTGGGATATGGGGAGCGCCTCTGCCCAGCCGCCACCCCGTCTGGGCGGTGAGGAGCACCTCTGTCCGGCCGCCACCCCGTCTGGGAGGTGAGGTGCACCTCTGCCTGGCCACCTCGTCTGGGAAGTGAGGAGCGCCTCTGCCCGGCCGCCCATCGTCTGGGATGTGAGGAACGCCTCTGCCCAGCCGCCCCGTCTGGGAAGTGAGGAGTGCCTCTGCCCAGCCGCCCCGTCTGGGAGGTATACCCAACTGCTCCGAAGAGACAGCAACCATCGAGAACGGGCCATGATGACGATGGCAGTTTTGTCAAAAAGAAAAGGGGGAAATGTGGGGAAAAGAAAGAGAGATCAGATTGTTGCTGTGTCTGTGTAGAAAGAAGTAGACATAGGAGACTCCATTTTGTTCTGTACTAAGAAAAATTCTTCTGCCTTGGGATGCTATTAATCTATAACCTTACCCCCAACCCCCTGCTCTCTGAAACATGTGCTGTGTCAACTCAGGGTTAAATAGATTAAGGGCAGTGCAAGATGTGCTTTGTTAAACAGATGCTTGATGACAGCATGCTCCTTAAGAGTCATCACCACTCCCTAATCTCAAGTACCCAGGGACACAAACAGGGCGAAGGCCGCAGGGACCTCTGCCTAGGAAAACCAGAGACCTTTGTTCTCGTGTTTATCTGCTGACCTTCTCTCCACTATTATCCTATGATCCTGCCACATCCCCCTCTCTGAGAAACACCCAAGAATGATCAATAAATACTAAAAAAAAAATAAAATAAAATAATCATACAAGGACCCTAAGATAATAAATTCTAAAACAGGATTTGAATCCAGCCATTCTTTTTTAAAAAAAAAAAAATACATATATTTTTAAGATGAAGTCTCGCAATGTTTCACAAGCTGGTCTCAAACTCCTGAGTTCAAGTGATCTGCCTCCCAAAGTGCTGGGATTACAGGGTTGTGCCACTGTGCCCCACCAGAATCCAAGCATTCTGACTCCAGAGCCCAAAGCCATAATGTCACTCTGCCTTTCAGCACTACACATCCAAAATGACTATCTTCTCTCTTCTGAATTCCCCTTGCATTTTACCTGTTTAATAGAGTAAAAAGGATGTAATATGTAGGTATGTATAGGAATGTATACATATGTATGTAACATGTATGTGTCTTTCTAGACTCTAAGCCTCTTGAGATCAAGGTCCACCCACATGAGATTCATCTTTGTATCTGCTAGGTATCCAGCATAGTAGATACTGGATCAAATGTTTACTGAATAGATGAAGCTACATATCAGTCTTAAGATTTATTTTTGAAATAAAAGTAGTTTCTTATAGAAAAAAATAAAAATAAAAAAATAAAATTGCCCAAATGATTTTTAGAAAAAAAAAAAAAAAAGACATAAATGAATGTGCCTCCTTTCCCCAAACCTACTCTGTAAAGATAACTGCTGTTAAACAATTTAGTATGCATCCTTTTGTAGTTTTTTAATGAAGTATTTTTTAAATCTCACAGTGTTAAGTGGCCATCACATTTATGTATGTATTAATATATATTGAAAAAAATTGTATTAGCTCAGTAAATAAAATGATAATGAATTTATGTGGAGCACACTGATGGCTTTTTCCTGAGGCTTTCTTTTTTTTTTTTTTTTTTTGAGACGGAGTCTAGTTCTGCAGCCTAGGCTGGAGTGCAGTGGCGTAATCTCGGCTCACTGCAACCTCTGCTTCTGGGGTTCAAGTGATTCTCCTGCCTCAGCCTCCTGAGTAGCTGGGACTACAGGTGCCCACCATCATGTCCGGCTAAGTTTTGTATTTTTAGTAGAGACGGGGTTTTGCTATGTTGGCCAGGCTGGTCTCAAACTCCTGACCTCGTGATCCGCCGGCCTTGGCCTCCCAAAGTGCTGGGATTACAGGCGTGAGCCACCCCGCCCAGCCTCCTGAGGCATTTTCTAACATACATGTCTTATATTGAGCTGTGCACAAGGCCCACAAATCTTAGGCAGAAATAATTTTTTTTTTGCGCTATACCATGCCGAGATTTTTTTCTTTTGCAGAAATAAATTGAAAATTAATTTCAGACCCAGCGCGGTGGCTCAGGCCTATAATCCCAGCACTTTGGGAGGCCGAGGAGGGCGGATCACCTGAGGTCAGGAGTTCGAGACCAGACTGACCAACATGGAGAAACCCCGTCTCTACTAAAAATACAAAATTAGTTGAGCGTGGTGGCACATGCCTGTAATCCCAGCTACTAGGGAGGCTGAGGCAGGAGAATCACTTGAACCTGGGAGGCGGAGGTTGTGGTGAGCCGAGATCGTGCCATTGCACTCCAGCCTGGGCAACAAGAGTGAAACTCCGTCTCAAAAAAAAAAAAAAAGAAAAAAGAAAGGTAATTTCATTCTTTCTTTTAGGCCCCATTTAATCAGACTCAGGTAAGTACATCTCATGTAATGGTAAAATGAAAATTCTTGGTCTTCAGCCGGGCGTGGCGGCTCACATTTATAATCCCAGCACTTTGGGAGGCCAAGGTGGGCGGATCACGAGGTCAGGAGTTCGAGATCAGCCTGGCCAATATGGTGAAACCCCGTCTCTACTAAAACTTAAAAAGAAAAAAAATTAGCCAGGCGTGGTGGCGCGCACCTATAGTCCCAGCTACTCAGGAGGCTGAGGCAGAAGAATTGCATGAACCCGGGAGGCGGAGCTTGCAGTGAACCGAGATTGTGCCACTGCACTCCAGCCTGGACAACAGAGCGAGACTCTGTCTCAAAAAAAAAAAAAAAATCACCTAATAGGTGCATATTTCCCTTTGAGTTAAACAACTTACATTTAAAATGAACAAGTTGGCCAGGCGCGGTGGCTCATGCCTGTAATCCCAGCACTTTGGGAGGCTAAGGCAGGTGGATCATTTGAGGTCAGAAGTTCGAGACCAGCCTGGCCAACATGGTGAAACCCCATCTCTACTAAAAATACAAAAATTAGCCAGGTGTGGCGGAACGCACCTGTAATCCCAGCTACTCGGGAGGCTGAAGCGGGAGAATTGCTTGAACCTTGGAGGTGGAGGCTGCAGTGAGCCGAGATTCGCACTGCTGCACTCCAGCCTGGGCGAGGTGACAGAGCTAGACTCCGTCTCAAAAAAAATAAATAAATAAAATGAACAAGTCACTAAATGAAGTGATTCTCTGCTGATAATTCACTGGATGAAGGAGTACTGGGATCCAATTGGCCTTATGAGATGATGGCTAAGTTTAAGAATAAGAAAATGTATTGTCTTTACTGGCTTGTTGTATGACCTTAAGTGAGTTGTTTCTCTGCATAAAAAAATCCCTGCCCTTATTTACATCTAGCTGCTTCTGGCCTTGAAGCTTTGGCTTGGAATTCTGAAAGAGTTTTTTTTTTTTTAATTGGGTCCTCTATCATGCATAGTTCAGAACATAAAGGCAGGTTCCTCACCTTCTAGTATAAATAACATAAAAAGAGAAAGCATGCTAGGTGTTCTGGCAGAATGGCAGAAAACAAACTTCTGAAGGAAGAAGAGCTGTTGTCAGCGATGTGGAATGTTCTAGTCCAGCAGCTGCTGATTTTCTGGCAGTGAAAACCCAGCTGGTGACATCACTTAGGCAAGTGACTCATCAGAGCAGTGCTCTCATTTATCTGCTCCTCATCTGACACCACATCTTTTCTGGTGGGGACTGCAAACTCTATTTTGATTACACCTGCTGAACTCTCCCAAACCTTTGTCAGCTATAGGTTTTCTCTTTTGTGGGCAAGACTTAGGATAGAAACAAGCGTGGGAATTATCAGGGTTTGTTGCAGTGTTTTATATTGTACCTACCATTTTGCCTTCAAAGGTCACACTTTAAGGGAGCCAGGGCCAGGCAGGTGGCTCCTGATCCCAGCACTCTGGGATGCTGAAGTGGGTGGATCGTTTGAGTTCAGGAGTTCAAGACTAGCCTGGGCAACATGGTGAGACCTCACCTCTATTAAAAAATATAAAAAATTAGCCAGGCATGGTGCCATGTGCCTGTAGTCCCAGCTACTTGGAAGGCTGAGGTGGGAGGATCACCCAACCCTGGGAGATCAAGCCTGCAGTGAGCCATGATGATACCACTGCACTCCAGCCTCGTCAACAGAATGAGACCCTGTCTCAAAAGAAGGGGGGCTTGGGAGTGGAGCCAGCTCTCTCAATTTCCCTGCAAGCTGCTCCCATCCACCCTCTGAGGCTACGCCTGACATCATTGCTGGGGTGTGTTCTAGAGCACCTTCTCTCCATGACTGTGTGGGTTTTCTCTGGGTACTCTGGTCTCCTCCCACATCCCAACGATGTGCAGGTTAGGTTCATTGGCATGTCTAAAGTGTCCCAGTCTGAGTTCATGTGCCGTGTGTAGAATAGCATTCAGTCCAGGATTGGCTCCCACCTTGTACCCTCAACTGCCAGGATAGGCTCCAGCCACCCACAACCCTGAACTGGAATAAATGGGTTAGAAAATCAATGTATGGATAAATGAATACAAATTATTATAAAATAAAAATTGGTAAAGAATATGATAATTATACAAATGCATGACAATAGGCAATGAACAATGAGGAATGAAATTGCTCAGTGAGCCTGCCAAATGTGTGATTGTTTTTTAACTGTGTGGTAGCAGAGGCCATTCCTTACAAATTTTGCTTTATAAACATTTATTCCTTAATTTAACCCACCCCACTGTGACAGTCATCACTCATTCATTCACCAAAAATGAGGCAAATAATTATCCTACTTGTTTTTATTAATCTTTTTTTTTTTTTTTTTTTTGAGATGGAGTCTCACTCTGTCATCCAGGCTGGAGTGCAGTGGCATAATCTCAGCTCACTGCAACCTCCACCTCCCAGATTCAAGCAATTCTCTTGCCTCAGCTTCCTGCATAGCTGGGACTACAGGTGTGCGCCACCATGCCCAGCTAATTTTTTTTGTATGTTTAGTACAGACTGGGTTTCACCATGTTGGTCAGGCTGGTTTTGAACTCCTGACCTCAGGTGATCTGCCCACCTTGGCCTCCCAAAGTGCTAGGATTACAGGCGTGAGCCACCGTGTCCAGCCTGTTTTTATTAATCTTTCTTAAATGTATGTATAGCTCAAATTTATTTCAATGTTTAATATTAGAAGCTTTTTGGGTCTTTATTTAGAAGTTTGGTAATGTTTTTGTGACCAGAAATATGCTGTAGGAACTTAACTCTTGTTTATATCAATTACCCTGTCAACCTGAAAAAAAAAGACACTAGAAAAAAATTAACTCTAAATATGTTGGGTGTTGGGTTTACTCTGGAATAGAAATAAGGATTATAATCTAGAGTGCAGCTGGGCGCAGTGGCTCACATCTGTAATCCCACCACTTTGAAAGGCTGAGGTGGGCAGATCACCTGAGGTCAGGAGTTCGAGATCAGCCTGGCCAACATAGCGAAACCCCGTCTCTACTAAAAATACAAAAAAAAATTAGCCAGGCATGGTGGCATGCGCCTGTAATCCCAGCTACTTGGGAGGCTGAGGTAGGAGAATCGCTTGAATCTGGGAGGCAGAGATTGCAGTCAGCCAAGATCGCGCCACTGCAGTCCAGCCTGGGCGACAGAGTGAGACTCTGTCTCAAAAAAAAAAAAAAAAAAGAAAAGAAAGAAATCTAGAGTGCATGAAATGGCAAGCTACAAGTGCATTTAGTGAGGGAAGGGTGAGGGGAGCTTTTATTAGCAAAAAGAGATTACATAAGCTGCTTGGAAACAGAGTTCATCACTTCCAGAGGTTCAAAGCCAGAGTTGTCAGTTCCTTGGTGGAGATGCAAGTGTTCTTTCAAGAACATCTTAACCGAATTACTGAAATCCTAAAGAATGTCTAGTGATAAACCTTATCAAAGCAGGAGATTTGTGAAGGATATGAAAGGATTTTTAGAAAGTCCTTGGAAACAGTTCTTATTTCAGATATGCAAGCATGAGCCTCCTCTCCTTCAGACCTTCCTGGTCCTACTTTGCCTGGGTCTGAGAAAAGTGATTTCTTCCTGGTATCTCTAACTTTCACAAGCCTATGATAAAATTGGTTTTGTTAAAAACCAATTTAACTTAAAGTTCCATTTCCAAGAACCTATCAATGACATTAAGTGAGGACTTATATTCTAACCCTCTTCATTTATGGCAAGCTAAGAAATTTTGTACTTGGAATGACAAAGGCATTTCCTTATTTTTAGATCTTCTCTTCACTGACTACAAGTAAAATATGAAGAGCCTCAGAATATTGTTTAAAACAGTGTTCCCGGCTGGGCACAGTGGCTCATGCCTGTAATCCCAGCACTTTGGGAGGCCGAGGAGGGCAGATCACAAGGTCACAAGATTGAGACCATCCTGGCCAACATGGTGAAACTCTGTCTCTACTAAAAATACGAAAATTAGCTGGGCATGGTGGTGTGTGCCTGTAGTCCCAGCTACTCAGGAGGCTGAGGCAGGAGAATCGCTTGAACCCAGGAGGCAGAAGTTGCAGTGAGTTGACATCGCACCACTGCATTCCAGCGTGACACAGCAAGCCTCCGTCTCAAAAAACAAAACAAAACTAAAAACAGGGTTCCCCAATTCCTGGGCCACAGACCAGTACTGGGTCCTTGGCCTATAACAGAAAGTAAGCAGCCAACGAGTGAACATTACTGCCTGAGTTCCCACTGGTTCCACCTCCTGTCAGATCAACAGTGGCATTAGATTCTCATAGGAGCACAAACCCTATTGTGAACTTTGCATTCAATGGATCTAGGTTGTGTGCTCTGTATGAGAATCTAATGCCTGATGATCTGTCACTGTCTTCCATCCTCCCTGAGATGGGACTGTCTAATTGCAGGAAAACAAGCTCAGGGCTCCCACTGACTCTACATTATGATGAATTGTACAATTATTTCATTATATATCACAATGTAATAATAATAAATTGCACAATAAATGTAATGCGTTTGAATCATCCCCAAACCATCCCCCCGCCTAGGACATGGAAAATTTGTCTTCCATGAAATCGGTCCCTGGTGCCAAAAACATTGGAGACTGCTAGTTTAAAAAGAGTAAATTATACCTGTAATCCCAGCAATTTGGGAGGCTGAGGCAGGTGGATTACCTGAGCTCAGGAGTTGAAGACCAGGCTAATATGGTAAAACCCTATCTCTACGAAAAAAAAAAAAAATTAGCCAGGCATGGTGGCACATGCCTGTAGTCCTAGCTACTTGGGAGCCTGAAGCAGGGCGATCACTTGAACCCAGGAGACTAGAGGTTGCAGTGAGCTGAGATTGCGCCACTGCACTCCAGACTGGGTGACAGAGTAAGACTCCATCTCAAAAAAATAAATAAATAAAGTAAATTATAAATAAGTAGGTCTTTTTTTTTATATAAACAGATGCCCACAGATGTTGGCATTCTATACACTATTCTATGTCTTTTTTTCTTTTTTTAGTCTAACTTTAAAATAGATAATACATTTGCATGGTTCAAAATTGAAATAACAGGTCAGGCACGATGGCTCACACCTGCAATCCAAACACTTTGGGAGGCTGAGGCAGGTGGATCACTTGAGGTCAGGAGTTCAAGACCAGCATGGCCAACATGGCAAAACCCATCTCTACTAAAAATTTTTTTAAAAGTAGCTGGGCATGGTGGCAGGTGCCTATAATCCCAGCTATTCAGGAGGCTGAGGTGGGAGAATTGCTGGAACCCAGGAGGCAGAGGTTGCAGTGAGCAGAGATCGTACCACTGCACTCCACCCTGGGCAACAGAGTGGGACTCTGTCTCCAAAAAAATAATAAATAAAATATAAAATAAAATAATAAATAATAATTGAAATAACATAAAATGGAGATTGAGAAATCTTGATCCTAACTCTGTCTCTATCCATCCTCTTCGTTACCATGAGTAGCATTTGCCTTGGACAGTCCCATTTTGTCTGTTGTCTCAGTATGCCATCAGTTTAGCATTTGTCCCAGATTTTTCAGTCTTTACAAGGTAATATGATTTTTACTTTTACTAGAATAAGCAGGGATTAGCTTACTAGACCTCTACTTTGTATTCCTAGCTTGTCATGGTCTAGTATTGTGCTCAATGAACAGAGTTCTCGCTTGAACACCTGGTTAAATTTGAAAAAAGACCAGCAATGACGTCCCTGTGCTTGACCCTCCCAAACTCAATATAACATTTTCCTCTCAAGTCAGCATGGACAGCACTTGCTGACAAAACAGTGCACTTGGAGTGGCTGGGAAGAGCTCATTCCTTCTGTAGTTGTGGTGGTTGGAGAAGTTTTTCAGGCTGCTATCTGGGATCAGTAATAAATGATAGGCTAGTGATGTATGAACCATGTACAGAGAGAATTCTAAACGTTCTTGCTACAACTATTTTACCACTTATTGTATGGTAGAAATCTATATTTGTTATTTGATAATTTTTTTATTTTGCAATAAGCCCTTTCTTCAATAATGAGCTTAAAAGGTGTCTAAAAAAATACCTAAGTGAATACTGAATTTCCATTTCTGTGTATAACCTGCACAAATTTTTTGTTGACATTTACTATCAATGCCATATCAAGATCAATAACCAGGCTGGGCGTGGTGGCTTACACCTGTAATCCCAGCACTTTGGGAAGCCAAGGCTGGTGGATCACTTGAGGTCAGGAATTCAAGACCAGCCTGGCCAACATGGTGAAAACCCATCTATACTAAAAATACAAAAATTAGCTAGGTGTGGTGGCAGGCGCCTGTAATCCCAGCTGCTCAGGAGGCTGAGGCAGGAGAATCACTTGAGCCCAGGAGGCAGAGGTTGCAGTAAGCCAAGATCACGCCACTGCAATCCAGCTTGGGTGACAGGGCGAGATTCTGTCTCAAAAAATAAAAAGATCAATAACCACAGGAAATCCAGTAGACATAAATTTTCTGTAGAAGTTTCTGCATCTACTTCAAAATTTAGCAATTATCTTAAATAAACATTACCCAGAGGCCAGGCACAGTGACTCATGTCTGTAATCCCAGCACTTTGGGAGGCTGAGGCGGGTGGATCACTTGAGGTCAGGAGTTCAAGACTAGCCTGGCCAACATGGTGAAATCCCATCTCTACTAAAAATACAAAAATTACCTGGGCATAGTGGCGGGTGCCTGTAATCCCAGCTATTTGGGAGGCTGAGGCGGGAGAACCACTTGAACCCAGGAGGCAGACATTGAGTGAGCTGAGATTGTGCCACTGCACTCCAGCCTGGGTGACAGAGCAAAACTCTGTCTCAAAAAAAAAAAAATTACCCAGAGACAATGATTTAATTAATACAATTAATACAGAAGGTACACTTACAAATCACTCTGTGAAGCAAGACTTTTTACTTAAATAAATTGACTGTTTTTAATTAATTTCACTCATCTTCTCATCTTCAATTCAGAGTTTTCTTATGCCCATACAAAAAGTGAAGCCACGGCTCTTAATATGCAGACTAGACTAGATATATGTTACTACATAGAACTTCCAGTTATGTGATGCCAGTTTTATCAGTAACATATTCAGGTTCAAATAGAAAAATTGACTTCATTAATTCTGGTAAGTTTCAAATTTTTCACTCAATTCTTTTAATCAGTGTTGAAGTAAAACAATCTGATATTTTAATGTTACTATGAAATTAGTTTAAAAGTCCAACAATTCTGGAACGTGTCGGGGAAGCATTGCAGGGACGGAAAGCATTAGGAAAAAGATCTAATGCATGCTGGCCTTAATACCTAGGCTATGGGTTGATTTGTGCAGCAAACCATCATGGCACATGTTTATCTATGCAACAAACCTGCACATTCTGCACATGTACCCAGGAACTTAAAAAAAATTTTTTTTAAGTTCAACAATTAAAATTGTATTTGTGATAATACAAAGTTGGGTGGAGCAGATCATGGTAATACAAAAATGTATTTAATGAATTAGGAAATCAATGGAGGATAAATGTACTTGGAATTGGATGTAGTGTACATATAATTCATAATAATGTCCAAGCAAGCTGTTTTATTTTACCAACTAAAATAGAAGATGTAGTAGCCAAATTTTAACAAGTTTTGAGTAACTAACCTACAAAATTGCTGTGATAAAGTAGATGTTGAATCTAAAAAGCACTTCGGCTCACACCTGCAATCTCAGCACTTTGGGAGGCTTAACTGGGAGGAACGCTTGAGGCCAGCCTGCCTGGGCAACATAGCAAGACTTCATCTATATAAAAGAAATTTTTTTGTAATTAGCTAGCATTGTGGCAGGCATCTGTAGTCCTAGCTAATTGGGAGGCTTAGGCAGGAGAATCATGTGAGCCCAGGACTTCAAGGCAGCAGAGAGCTATGATTGCACCACTGCACTCCAGCCTGGGCAACAGAGAGAGACCCTGTCTCAAAAAAAAATAATAATAAAAATAAATAAATTTTTAAAAAGCACTTCAGCATGGCAGGTTTTGCCCATCATCCTTTTTAGAAATGTTTAAGCCTTTGAAAATCAACCTATCCTATACTGAAATTTTTGATAAATGAAGCCTCTAAATTTTGGTAGTATTTTATTGATTGATTGATTGATTGATTAAGGAGTTTCACTCTTGTTGCCCAGGCTGGAGTCCAAGGGTGTGATCTCAGCTCACTGCAACCTCCGCCTCCCGGGTTCAAGCGATTCTCCTGCCTCAGCCTCCTGAGTAGCTGGGATTGGAGACGTCCACCACAACGCCCAGCTAATTTTTTGTATTTTTAGTAGAGATGAGGTTTCACCATGTTGGCCAGGCTGGTCTCCAACTCCTGACCTCAGATGAGCCACTTGCGCCCAGCTGATAGTATTTTATTTAAAATCAATTGGGAACCTTTCATCTGAGCATTGAATGAATAGAATGATAAGAAACTTCGGCCAGGCACGGTGGCTCATGCCTGTGATCCCAAGCACTTTGAGAGGCCACGGCAGGTGGATCACGAGGTCAGGAGTTCGAGACCAGCCTGGTCAAGAGACCAGCCTGGCCAATATGGTGAAACCTTGCCTCTACTAAAAATACAAAAATTAGCTGGGCATGGTGGTGGGTGTCTGTAATCCCAGCTACTTGGGAGGCTGAGGCAGGAGAATTGCTTGAACCCAGGAGGTGGAGGTTGGAGTGAGCTGAGATTGAAACATTGCACTCCAGCCTGGGTGACAGAGTGAGACTCCGACTCTGAAAAAAAAAAAAAGAAAGAAACTTCAGGCCGGGAGCAGTGGCTCAGGCTTGTAATCCCAGCACTTCAGGAGGCCAAGGCAGGCAGATTACTTGAGGTCAGGAGTTCAAGACCAGCCTGGCCAACATAGTGAAACCCAGTCTTTCTTAAAAATACAAAAATTAGCCAGGCACAGTGGCAGGCACCTGTAATTCCAGCTACTCAGGAGGCTGAGGCAGGAGAATTGCTTCAACCTGGGAGGTGGAGGTTGCCGTGAGCTGATACCATGCCACTGCACTTCAGCCTGGGTGACAGAGTGAGACTCCATCTAAAAGAAAAAAAAAAAAGGAAAGAAAGAAACTTCGGTTTATGAGCCCTTACTAAGTTGCAAAGTGTTGAGAGCAATACTTGCAAACAGGAAGACATTAGACTTGATCCCTAGCAGGGAAAGCTTGAAAAAATAATGATAAATCACTCTGAAATACCTTGGCTTATGGAAAAAATCTTGTAATGCAACTTTTTTTTTTTTTTTTTTTTGAGACAGGTCTTACTCTGTCACCAGGCAGGGGTGCAGTGGCACGATCTTGGCTCACTGCAGCCTCAACCTCCTAGGCTCAGGTGATTTTCCCACCTCAGCCTCCAGGGTAGCTGGGACTATAGGCAGGGACCACCACCACACCCAGCTAACTTTTTGTATTTATTGTAGAGATGGGGTTTCGCTATGTTGCCCAGGCTGGTCTTGAACTCCTGGGTTCAAGCAATCCTCCCACCTCAGCCTCTCGAAGCAATGAACTTCCATTTTTAATTGGATAAATGTATATTCTGGCCAGGCGTGGTGGTTCATGCCTGTAATCCCCGCACTTTGGGAGGCTGAGGCTGGCAGATCACGTGAGGTCAGGAATTTGAGACAGCCTGGCTAACATGGCGAAACCTCGTCTCTCCTAAAAGTACAAAAATTATCTGGGTGTGGTGGCGCATGCCTGTAATCCCAGCTACTCTGGAGGCTGAGGGAGGAGAATCACTTGACCCTGAGAGGCAGAGGTTGCAATGAGCTGAAATGGCAGCCACTGCACTACAGCCTGGGTGACAGAGTAAGACTCTGTCTCAAAAAAAAACAAAAAACAAAACAAAAAAAACCCATTATATTCTGTACTGGAATGGAGTGAAATTGAGAGGGCTTACTATTTTGTAGCATATAAATTTGATGAAACAGGCTGGGTGGGGTGGCTCACGCCTGTAATCCCAGCACTTTGGGAGGCCAAGGCGGGCGGATCACTTGAGGTCAGGAGTTTGAGACCAGCCTGGCCAACATGGCAAAACCCCGTCTCTACTAAAAATACAAAAAAATTAGCTAGGCATGGTGGCGGGTACCTGTAGTTCCAGTTACTCAGGAGGCTGAGGCAGGAGAATCGCTTGAACATGGGAGGCAGGGGTTGCAGTGAACTAAGATCCTGCCACTGTACTCCAGCCTGGGCGACACAGTGAGACTCTGGCTCAAAAAAAAAAAGGAAAAAAATATATACAAGTTACATTTCTGCAAGAGAAAAAAAAAGTTTCATTTTCCATTTGTGCATTGCTAGTGGATAAAATAGGTAATGCATGCACATTGTACAAATTCTAGTGACCCAAGTTTTTTTTAAAGAAACAATTTTCTTGTAAAAACATTTGTTGCCAATTTACTTTAAATTTACTTCAACATACCCAGTTGAAAATGGGGCAAAATAAATGAGAATATAAAATAAAGTAAAAGAGGCCATGAGATATTATTGTAGCTGAGTGATGCCAGGTTCACTGCACTATTTGTTTTACTTTCATATGAGCTTAAAGTTTTTGATAAGAGAAAGTTTAAAAACAAAACAAAACAAAATCATATGCTGTATCAGTCAACATTCATTCAGGTTCCAGAAAATACAATGTTTTTTTGTTTTGATACAGGGTCTCACTCTGTCGCTCAGGCTGGTCTCAAACTCCTGGGCTCAAGGGATCCTCCTACCACCAACTCCGCCTCCCTAAGTGCTGGAATTACACACATGAGCCACTGTGCCCAGCCCATCACTTATCTGAACAGAGACAATATAAGATATCATTAACTGGGTATAATATTGTTAACTACTAGGGCCAGGCGCGGTGGCTCACACCTGTAATCCCAGCACTTTGGGAAGCCAAGGCGGGTGGATCATGAGGTCAGCAGTTCGAGACCAGCCTGGCCAACATGGTGAAACCCCGTCTCTACCACAAATACAAAAATTAGCTGGGCGTGGTGGTGGGCGCCTGTAATCCCAGCCACTGGGGAGGCTGAGGCAGAAGAATCATTTGAACCCAGGAAGCAGAGGTTGCAGTCAGCCGAGATCTCGCCATTACACTCCAGCCTTGGTGACAGGGTGAGACTCTGTCTCAAAAAAAAAAAAAAAAAAAAAAAAAAATATATATATATATATATATATATATATATATAACTATATATACTATATATAACTACATATATGATCATATATCTATAGTTAACTACTAAAGGGTAAAAAGAGAACTCTAAGGTGTCATGGAGGTAGCAACTAGCAGCTACCTTGAAAAAATCAAAGGGAAAATCTTAGAAACCTAGAGAAAGGGACCTCTAGAGCTGCAACTCAAACCTCTGAGGAAGGAGCCGGCTGGTGCTGGTGAGGGGGTTAGAGACAATTAGGCTGGCTTTTCAAGAGTTGGAAAAACTGAGTCAGCTGCTGCTACCTAACGAACTGCTCCAGCCAGAGTGAAGTCCTGAATAAGTGACACTCAGAGAAACAGAAAGCGGACTGGAGGGCGCCTTCAGTCTTTCCATTTCCCTCTAGTTCCCCCTATTGGCAAAGCCTAGCAGGGAAGCAAAGGCAAAGCAGAAGTGTGTTTTGCAGAGTCCCAGGCATCACAGCTGAGTATAGAAGGGTGGGTGCATCCTGATTGACCTCATTTAGAACTGGCCAGGCTTGGGCCAGGCTCACTGGCTCACGCTTGTAATCCCAGCACTTTGGTAGGCTGAGGCGGGCGGATCACAAGGTCAGGAGATCGAGACCATCCTGGCTAACACGGTGAAACCCTGTCTCTACTAAAAATACAAAAAAAAAAAGTCGCCGGGTGTGGTGGCGGGCACCTGTAGTCCCAGCTACTCCGGAGGCTGAGGCAGGAGAATGGCGTGAACCCGGAAGGCGGAGCTTGCAGTGAACCGAGATGGCGCCACTGCACTCCCGCCTGGGTGACAGAACGAGACTCCGTCTCAAAAAAAAAAAAAAAAGAAAGAAAAATTGGGCAGGTTCTGGCTCATGTGAGTAGCTGCCTTGCCACTGCAATCTGCCCTAAACCTTTCCAGGAATTTTTACAAAATAATAGTAATAATAATAATACAGTCATGTGCCACATAGGGCATTTATTTGTGGCCCCATAGGATTACAATGAAATTGAAAAATTCCTATTGCCTAGTGACATCATAACCATCTTAGCCATTATAACCTCTTAGTGCCAGGCATTACCCACGTTTCTGGTGATGCTTGTGTAAACAAACCTACTGGCTGCCAGTTGTATAAAAGTATAGCACTTGCAATTATGTACAATATATAATTGCTAATGATAATAAAAAACTATGTTACTGATACTTTTTTTTTTTTTTGAGACAGAATCTTGCTCTGTGGCCCAGGATAGAGTGCAGTAGTGTTATCTCGGCTCACTGCAACCTCCACCTCCCAGGTCCAAGCGATTCTCCTGCCTCAGCCTCTTGAGTAGCTGGAATTATAGACGTGTGCCACCATGCCAGCTAATTTTTGTATTTTTAGAGAGACAGTGTTTCACCATGTTGGGCAGCTGGTCTCGAACTCCTGGCCTCAGGTGTCTGCCAGCCTCGGCCTCCCAAAGTGCTGGGATTGCAGGCATAAGCCACCGCGCCCAGTAGTTACTGGTACTTTTTATCAATATTTTATTTATTTTTATTTTTTATTTTTTGAGACAGAGTCTCGCTCTGTCGCCCAGGCTGGAGTGCAGTGGCTCGATCTCAGCTCACTGCAACCTCCGCCCCAGGTTCAAGCGATTCTCCTGTCTCAGCTCCCCCGAGTAGTTGGGACTACAGGTATCTGCCACCACGCCCGGCTAATTTTTGTATTTTTAGTAGAGACGGGGTTTCACTATGTTGGCCAAGCTGGTCTCAAGCTCCTGACCCCAAGTGATCCGCCCACCTCGGCATCCCAAAGTGCTGGGATTACAGGCGTGAGCCACCACGCCTGGCCCTTTATCATTATTTTAGAGTGTACTCCTTCTACTCATAAAAAAAGAACTGTAAAACAGTCTCAGGCAGGTCCTTCAGGAGGGATCCACAAGAAGGCATTGTTATCACAGGACATGACAGCTCCATATGTGTTAATGCCCTTGAAGACATTCCAGTGTGACAAGATGTGGAGCTGGAAGACAGTGATATTGATGATCCTCACCCTGTATAGACCAAGGCTAATATGTGTGTTTGTTTCTTCATTTTTAACATACAAGTTTTTAAAAGTGAAAAAACAATTTTTTTTAATTAAAAATAGACCAGGTGCCATGGCTCACGGGTCTGTAATCCCAGCACTCTGGGTGGCCAAGAGGGGAAGGATCACTTAAGTCCAGGAGTTGGAGACCAGCCTGGGCAACATGGTGAAACCCCGTCTCTACAAAAAATACAAAAATTTGCCGGGCCTGGTGATCTGTGCCCATAGTCCCAGCTACTCAGGAGCCTGAGGTGAGAGAATCACTTGAGCCCAGGAAGCGAAGATTGCAGTGAGCTGAGATTGCGCCATTGCACTGCAGCCTGGGTGGCAGAGTAAAATCCCTTCTCAATAAAAAGCAAAAAGCTTACAGAATATGGATATGAAGAAATAAAACATTTTGTGCAGTCATACAAGGTATTTGTGTTTTAAGCTAAGTGTTTTACAAAAACTCAAAAAAATTTTTTAATGTAAAGGTTTATAAAGTTAAAAAGTTATGGTAAGCTAAGGTTAACTTATTATTGAAGAAAAATATTTTTATAAATTTAGAGGAGCCTATGCACACTGTTCATAGTCTCCAGTACTATACAGTATAAAGTCCTAGGCCTTCACATTCATTCACCACCCACTCACTGAATCATTCAAAGCAACTTCCAGTCCTGCAAGCTCCATTTATGGTAAGTGCCCTATACAAGTGTACTATTTTGTATCTTTTTTGGGGTTTTTGTTTGTTGGTTTGTTTTTTGAGACAGAGTTTCGCTCTTGTTGCTCAGGCTGGAGTGCAATGGCACGATCTCGGCTCACTGCGACCTCTGCCTCCCAGGTTCAAGCGATTCTCCTGCCTCAGCCTCCCCAGTAGCTGGGATTACAGGCATGTGCCACCACACCCAGCTAATTTTTGTATTTTTAGTAAAGATGGGGTTTCACCATGTTGGCCAGGCTAATCACGAACTACTGACCTCAGGTGATCTGCCCACCTCAGCTTCCCAAAGTGTTGGGATTATAGGCATGAGCCACCCCAGCCCAGCCTTGTATCTTTTATACTGTATTTTTACTGTTCCTTTTCTATGTTTAGGTATACAAATACTTACCATTATGTTACAGTAGTATTCAGCACTAGTAACATGCTGTACAGATTTGTAGCCTAGGAACAACAGGCTATGCCATATAGCTAGGTGTCTAGTAGGCTATATATACCATCTAGGTTTGTGTAAGTACACTCTATAATGTGAGCATGATGATGAAATTTCCTAATGACACATTTCTCAGAAGGTATCCCCATCAGTAAGCAATGCATGACTGTACTTTAAAAAGGAGAATTTGGCTATCCTTTACAAAAGTAGCCAAAAGAGGCCGGGCGCGGTGGCTCACGCCTGTAATCCCAGCACTTTGGGAGGCCAAGGCGGGTGGATCACGAGGTCAGGATATCGAGACCATCCTGGCTAACACGGTGAAACCCCGTCTCTACTAAAAATACAAAAAAAAATTAGCTGGGCGTGGTAGCGGGGGCCTGTAGTCCCAGCTACTCGGGAGGCTGAGGCAGGAGAATGGCGTGAACCTCGGAGGCGGAGCTTGCAGTGAGCCGAGATCGCGCCACTGCACTCCAGCCTGGGCGACAGAGCGAGACTCCGTCTCAAAAAAAAAAAAAAAGGAATAGCCAAAAGAAAATTTCTGTCTCTTACAGTCTTTGTGATATTTTGAAGAGCACTGCAGCATTAAAATGGAATTTAAAAGTGAACACAGGGATAAAAAGCTCCTGCAATCTATGTATAGTAATCTTTAAGTCTGAAGTCTCTAAATGCTAACACACTTCACTGTATCAGCAACACCTCTGCAGAGGTGAAACTGATGACTAAGGGCAAGGATGGGAGGAGTTTGTGTGTCTGTGTGTATGAGTCTTGCTCTCACTCAGGCTGGAAGGCAGTGGCACAATCACAGCTCATTGCATCCTTAAATTCCTGGGCTCAAGTGATCCTTCTCCCTCAGCCTCCTGAGTAGCTGGGACTACATGTGCACGCCACCATGCCTGGCTTATTTTCTTAATTTTTTTATTTTTTGAGACGGAGTCTTGCTGTGTCGCCCAGGCTGGAGTGCAGTGGCGCAATCTCGGCTCACTGCAGGCTCCGCCTCCCGGGTTCATGCCATTCTCCTGCCTCAGCCTCCCGAGTAGCTGGGACTACAGGCGCCCGCCACTACGCCCGGCTAATATTTTGTATTTTTAGTAGAGACGGGGTTTCACCGCGTTAGCCAGGATGGTCTCGATCTCCTGACCTCGTGATCTGCCTGCTTCGGCCTCCCAAAGTGCTGGGATTACAGGCGTGAGCCACCGCGCCCGGCTTATTTTTTTTATTTTTCACAGAGATGTGGGTCTCACTATGTCACCCACACTGGTCTCGAACTCCTGGGCTCAAGCGATCCTCCTGCCTTAACCTCTAAAGTGCTGAGATTACAGGCATGAGCCACTGCACCAGGGGAGTCTTTTCACTGTATACCCTTTGTACATTTTGAAATTTTGTACGTGTGAATATCTTGCCTACTCAAAAATTGACTACATTTTTGCAGAGAAAAGTCATTGTCTTAGTTCAGGTTTCCCAGGAAACAAATGGGATTTGCTTTCAAGAGGTAATAGTATGGAATGCTCTTGGGGACATTACTAGGAGAAAATAGAGGAAGTAGGATTACGCAGAAGTTGAACTTCAATGCAGTTAGATCAAGTCAAAACTAATCACACAAGAAACTCTGGAGCTGGAATGGCCCTTCAGAATTGTCTCAAATTAAGGCAAAAGAGCTAGGCACTATATCCTACATCCACCAGTCACTGGAGGTAGGCCCCCTAAAAAGGAGTGTAAACTTGGGCGATACAGCTTCCTTTGGCCAAGTCCAATTCCTGGGTAGAGATCCCTGAGTAATGATCAGTCAACACTTCCAGGAGCTAAATAAGTGCTCCAGTTTTTTTGTTTTTGTTTTTTTGAGACAGAGTCTTGCTCTGTTGCCCAGGCTGGAGTGCAGTGGCGTCATCTCGGCTCATTGCAACTTCCACCTCCTGGGTTCAAGTGATTCTCCTGCCTCAGCCTCCCAGAGTAGCTGGGACTACAAGCGCATGCCACTACACCCAGCTAATTTTTGTTTTAGTAGAGATGGGGTTTCACCATGTTGGCCAAGCTGGTCTGGAACTCCTGACCTCAGGTGATCTGCCCACCTCAGCCTCCCAAAGTTCTGAGATTACAGGGATGAGCTACCACACCTGGCCAAGTGCTCCAGTTTTATAAGGAATACGTGGGCTCTGGACTGTGCACTGCAGCATATACTATACCAGTGGTTCTTAAATTTCAGTATGCACCAGAATCCCCTGGAGCGCTTGTAGGTCCCACCCTCAGTGTCAGATTCAGCAGGTCTGGGGTGGTGGTGAGAATACATTTCTAACAAGTTCCAAGTGATGCTGATGCTGGTGGTCTAAGGATCACACTTTGAGAACAATTATACTATATATTACTGGGTTAAATCCAGCAACATTGAATAATTTTTTTTTTAGAGATACAGTCTGGTTCTGTTGCCTGTCTGGTGAGCAGTGACACAATCATACATAGCTCACTGCAGCCTTGAACTCGTGGGCTCAAGTTCTCTACCCACCTCAGCCTCTCAACTAGCTGGGATCACAGGCATGTGCCACACACTCAGCTAATTTTTTTCTTTTAATTTTTGTAGAAGTGGAGTCTTGCCATGTTGCCCAGGCTGGTCTCAAACTCCTGCCCTGGTGACTCATGCCTTGGCCTCCCAAAGCTTTAGGATTACAGGCATGAGCTACCATCCCCAGCCCAAAGTTGAATAATTTGTCAATGTTTGTAGTTTATCATTTATAGATGCTAATACATAACATTTTCTGGTTAGACTGGTGTTCTTCATGAGCTCATCTTTGCCTTTTTTGTTACCCTAGTTCACTAGAAACTAAATTTTACTAACACACTTGGTTTATAAAACTGTTAGTAGGCAGACTTTTTTCTGGCATCTGTGTTTACAGTGATGATATAATTTAGTGATGATATATAAATCAGTGAAAGGATTACTATTATCTACAATGAGAACCAGTCTTTTTCAACCTAACTCCACTTTCATCAAAATCTGAATCAATGACATGAAGGCTGAGGGGTAGAGAGTGGTGAGAAAATGATTTTCCTGTTAAGGAAGGAAGTTAACATTTATTGGATATTATGTGCTAGGTACAGTGCTAGGTGCTTTCTCATACATTATTGGACACTTCTTTCAGCCCCCCTTCACAAGGGCAACTCTTCTTTTTTTTTTTTTTTTTGAGATGGAGTGGAGTCTTGCTCTGTCGCCCAGGCTGAAGTGCAGTGGCGCAATCTTAGCTCACTGCAGCCTCCGCTTCCCAGGCTCTCCTGGGCCCAGGTGATTTTCCTGCGTCAGCCTCCTGAGTAGCTGGGAATAACAGGCATGCGCCACCACGCCTGGCTAATTTTTGCATTTTTAGTAGAGACAGGGTTTTGCCATGTTGGCCAGGCTGGTCTCGAACTCCTGACCTCAGATGATCCACCCACCTTGGCCTCCCAAATTGCTGGGATTACAGGAGTGAGCCACCACGCCCAGCCTGCATGCTCTTTGTGGACCACCCACACCAGCTAAACTACATTCCCTGTTTCTCTCTTAAAGCACCCTGTTCTTTTCCTTCAGCACACTTGAACTTATTATAATTCACATATGGTATTTGTTTATTTCTTTAACATCTGACTCCCGCTGCAGAGGACCACAAGGGCAAGGACAATGTCTATTTTGCTAATCACCAAATCCTCAGTACCTAGCACAGTGCCTGCAAACAGTAGGCACTGAGTGATTTGTTAAAGGAATAACTCACAGGCTTATGCCTTGGTAGATTGGTAATGCCATCCACTGAGGCCAGAAACACAGAGGAGCAGGAATTAACAATGGCTATTTTTACTGAAGTAACTCCACTCTTCTACCTAGTTTTGAGGCTTCTATTAATCTGGGCACATTGCTCCATTCCTTCCTATTTCACTGGACACCCTTCCTCACACTTGTCTGTACCTTCATCCGTATTTTTCCAAATTCTTACTTAGAAGCTCACCCTCTTCCTCTTCTTGAATTTAAGTTACCTTTTTTTAAAGACTCACTTCCCCAAAGTTGCTTCTCCTGATTCAAACTTTGGAACAGCTATCATCAGCCTGGATATAAATTTCTAAAGTGCCAGCCTGGGAAAATCCTATGACAACAGAATCTCCACTAAGGCAGAAACTTGTTTTTTTCACTATTAACTCACCAACACCAAGAACACATTCTAGCACAGTCAATGCATCATACTGTGAAAAGAATGAAAGAATTTAAAGCTGGAATGAGTTGGAACAAATGTGAGCTGGTATCTTGGTTATCTACAGGCTATGCGGTCTCAGGCAAATGACTAAGTTCACCTAAGCCCATTTCTTCAGTTATGAAATGAAGCTGGCTCTCCCAGAAAGCTCATATTGTCCAGACTGTAATAGAGATGATCATGATAGGGTGATGGGCCTTTTTTAATTGTGGAAACAGGCCAGGCGCGGTGGCTCACGCCTGTAATCCCAGCACTTTAGGAGGCTGAGGCGAGAGGATCACTTGAGGTCAGGAGTTCAAGACCAGCCTGGCCAACATGGTGAAACCCTATTTCTACTAAAAATACAAAAACTAGCGGGGAATGGTGGTGGGAGCCTTTAGTCCCAGCTACCCAGGAGGCTGAGGCAGGAGAATCGCTTGAACTCAGGAGGCGGAGGTTGCAGTGAGCCCAGATCACACCACTGCACTCCATCCAGCCTGGGCAACAGAGTGAGACTTCATCTCAAAAAGTAAATAAATAAATAAATTGTGTTAACACTGTGGAAGAAAAACGATCGCTGGAGAGCCTGTGCACTCACATACATCCTTTAATTTTTACAACAGCTTCCGGGGGAAGGCGATTCCACTTTAGAGCTTTTCTTCCTTTCTAGCTGGGAGTTATCCTCCAAATTTTAACCTAATGATGTAAGCAAAATAAACACACTGAAGAGGTTGAGAAAAGAAAAACGGCTCACAACAGTCTGAGCTCTGTGAGGTCTGCAAAATGTATTAGGCCTAGAGGGACATGAGTATGGGACTTCGGTTATGCCCACCCTCTGCCCCCACATACACACATACCCAATCCCATGCATACCCAATTGTTTAAAGTCATTTCATTCCTGACTATCGGCCTCATCCATTACCTTTTTTTTTATTATTATTTTTTAGACAGGGTATATTCTGTCTCCCAAGCTGGAGTGCAGTGGTGCGATCATGACTCACTGCAGCCTCGACCTCCTGGGCTCAAGAGATCCTCCTGTCTCAGTCTTGACAGTAGGTGAGGCTACAGGTTCGCGCCACCAAGCCGGCCCCATTATCTTCGTGTTCTTAGAATTTGTAATACATGCCGGGCGCGGTGGCTCACGCCTGTAATCCCAGTACTTTGGGAGGCAAAGGGGGGCAGATCACCTGAGGTCAGGAGTTCGAGACCAGCCTGACCAACACGGAGAAACCCCGTCTCTATTAAAAATACAAAAGTTAGCTGGGCATTGGGGCGCGCGCCTGTAGTCCCAGGACTCCATCTCTAAAAAAGGAAAAAGAATTTGTCATACAAATAACAATATGTAGCCAATTGATAGCTTTTGTTTTTGTTTGTTTGTTTTGAGACGATGCGTCGCCCAGCTGGAGTGCAGTGGCGCGATCTCGGCTCACTGCAACCTCCGCCTCCGGGGTTCAAGCGATTCTCCCGCCTCAGCCTGCCGCGGACCTTGTCAGGGTCCGCGCTGAGAGGACGTCAGGGTAGTCAGTCCGCCAGAATACGGCTGAGCATGAGGCCTGCCTAACCTTGAAACCCAGCGCCCTCCTGATCCACACGTTCTAAGACGAATAAATCCTCACAGTCTGTGAAAACCCACCAGGAGAAGCACGTCCAACACTCTTTACCTCCCCAAACAAGTCTCAGAAGCGGGAAAACCAACGCCGCGAATGGGCGGGAAAGCCACAGCGCCTGCAATCGCTTCACCTTATTAGCTAATTTTGCTGTCCTTCCCAGTGGCCCGCCTCCCTTGCTCGCGGGCGATATTTTTATTGGCTTTCGTCTGCGAGGCGTCCAATCTCATTGGTTTGCCTTTCTGTTCGTCAGGCTTGGGCGCCTGGTGAAAGGCAGAGAGCGCGTCACTATTGGGGCTGGAGGCCCCGCCTCCGCGTGCCGTGTGCAAAAACAAACAGCCGTTAGGAAGGCGGTGCCGGGGGGGCGGGGTCTGGCTAGAAGGAGGCGCGCGATTGAACAGCCGCTGGGGTTCGAACCAGCAAGACAAGCGGGCATTGGCCACAGCAGCGCGAGGCGGGCACGGGGTATTGTCCGGCTCCGGCGGCGGCGGTCGGTGCTGCGAGAGCGGCGGCGGCGGCGCGGGTCGGCAGCGGGAGGGCGCGCGGCCGAGCGGAGGCGGAGTCGGCGCCGAGAACATGGTAAGGGCGGCCGGGTGGGCCGGGGGCACGGGGCCTGGGAGAGCAGAGCGCGGAGGCCCTGGCGTCGGCGCCGCTACCTGTGGAGTCGGGAGTTTGCGGGTGTCTGGGCTTCGTCCGGCCGAGCCCCTCGCCGCCCGCCGGGGGGCGCCATGTCCCAGCTGCGGAGCCCGACACGGGTCCCCGGGTGAGAGCTGGGCCTGGCCGGGTAGAGCGCGAAGTCTGTTCCGAGCCGGATAGATCTGTCCCGACGCTTGTGACGCTGCACCGCCCGTCTTAGAAGGAGGAGGACGGCAGAATCCGGCTTGGAAATGTAGAAACAAGTGCTGGATCTTAATGTGATCGCTTCTCTGTATGAATGAGGTCAAACAGGCTGCCGCTGTACAAGTTAGATAAGTCTTTGGCGATGTTTGGTTACGTAATCTCCCTGGCAGTCAGTTTGAGGGTTTCTGCGAAAGGGTGCTTGTATTTGTGGTCTTTTGAGCGACAAAGAATGGTTTTATAGACCAGAACCACACGATTTGTTCTAGGTGATTGCACAGGTTAGAAATGAACGCCCGTTATCTTCTGAGCCCCTTGCAGTTTGCGGTTTTCATTATACAACAGTACTTTCCTTTGCCCTTGCTATGGATTTTCAGTCTTAAAGTATTCATCTTTTCATTCTGAAATTCAGATCTAGATAAGAAGAGTGTGGCTTTAAAAAAATGAAAGTGAATAGAACTTCAGCCCCATTTTAAAGTTGAGGGGAAAAGAGAAGGTGCTAAAGGATACGCTCTGAGTTGCATCAAAGATTGTGTAAAAATAATAAGACTGTTATGGAATCTTATTTTTGCCGGTATTCGTGCTTTAAGCATTCTGTTGAAAGGTTACTTCAACGGGAGCTACCTGCTTAAAAGTTAGCACCAAGCTGTCATTTATCATACTGCAGATAGTATTAGATGATTTGTCTTGTGCTTGATGTGACAGATATGGTATTGAATAGACATAACACCTAACTGTAAACAGATTGGCCAGTCGAGAGGACAATGTTTGGTTATTGTAAAATACCCAAATCTTAGAGCTGGAATAGACTTTAGGGATAATTGCTTCCAACGTCTAACGTATAGTTTATTGTTATTGTAAAAAACCCAAATCTTAGAGCTGGAATAGACTTTAGGGATAATTGCTTCCAACGTCTCACGTATAGTTTATTGTTATTGTAAAGTACTTTATAGTACTTTATCAAACTGAGGTACAGCTTACATCTAATCTGTAAAAGGATTTGCTCAAACAGATGATTTTCATGATTCTAGTTTTTTGTGGTTTTTTTTTTTTTTGGTTTTTTGTTGTTTGTTTTTTGTGGTTTTTTGTGGTTTTTTTTTTTGAGACGGAGTCTCACTCTGTTGCCAGGCTGGAGTGCAATGGGCGATCTTCACTCACTGCAACCTCCGCCTCCCGGGTTCAAGCGATGCTCCTGCCTCAGCCTCCCGAATAGCTACAGGCGTGCGCCACCACGCCCTGCTAATTTTTTGTATTTTTAGTAGAGATTGGGTTTCACCATGTTGGCCAGGATGGTCTCGATCTCTTGACCTTGTGATCCGCCCCCCTCGGCCTGACAAAGTGCTGGGATTACAGGCGTGAGCCACCGCGCACGGCCAATTCTAGTTTTTCAGATATTTTTCAATCTCTAGTGATACGCTATATGTTTTATATCCACTTACCAGTAGCTAAAAATACATAAGTATTAACATAAGCTAAAAATGCAGGAGACATTGAGTTGTCGTTCTTGATAGATTTTAAACCTGAGAGGAAGTAAGCAGATGTCTGTTAAAACTGACATGAAAGTGTCTTAGTATCCAGTTTGCAAGTTTATCCAAGTAAAATGAACGAACTCCTACTTCCTCCTCTCTCTCTCTCTCTGTCTCTCTCTGTGTGTGTGTGTGTGTGTGTGTGTGTGTGTGTGTGTGTAATTTTTTAAAACCAACAACCTTAACTCAGGTTAATACGAAGTCAGTTCTTGGAATTAAAAAATTTAGATTTGGGTTCTCAAGCACCAATTATATTAAAATGAATGTTCAAAGTAGGGAGGCTATATATACAGTTTGAGGGGATATCGGAAAGAAAGTAATTATCCATTTATTGTATAGTTTTATATTCAGATAAGTTTGATACCATAAAAGTTTTCTTTTGTTAAGTATGAGAAATGTATCAGGAATCTCTAAATGTTGGAAATAGTCATTTAATGGATTGAGGCTTTTAAAACCTGACTGTATGTCTACTTCCTTAAAAAGCAAATAGAACACCAAATATGACATATCTGAAACAGTGAGGATAAAATTGCTTAAGCAGAGTAGTTATTATATGACCTGGGGAGCCTGGGGAATTTTGTAGTTGTTGGCTTTTTATTAGTGACTACTTCTTATTTTTTCCAATCCAGTCATAGGAAGACAGTGATTATAATTTTAGATGCCAGTTGAGAGGTTTTTAAGTGTTATATATTAGGGCAAATGGAGGTAACAAGGGTTTTTTATTTGAGAAGTAAGTAAGACTGTCTTGTTAGTGGAGCTGACCTCAAAAATCCAAAAATTGTATTTTTCTTATATAACAACATAGTCAAAAATTATTAAAATATGAGGCATTCTGGTAGAAATAGAGAGCGTCTCAGTTCTTACTGGTAAACTTAAATCAGTCTCTTGTTGAATTACCTAATATAAGAGAGTGAATATGAATTAGTTCTTAGATTTTTATTTTTCCTGTTTCTGATACCTGCCAGGGTTTTACTGTTTTTCTTCCATATTATCTTGGGTGACACGCACTTAATCCACTTAGACGTGCAATTAGAGGAAGTATACAGGGGTAATTTTTAGCTTTAAAAAATTTTTAAGGAAAGGGTTAGCTACAAAGGGGATATGCCATTTCAAAGCTTACCATCTATTTTGAAAGAATAGCCCCTCAAACAGCCAATCTTGTAAACTGATTTCTTTTTTTAACAGTAAAGAAATAATCTGTTTAAATGGTAAAAGCAAAATATATGAGAGAAAATTAGTTTTCTTAAGTCAGACCTTTAGTATTTCCTCCCGAGAGGCAAATAACATTTCTAATTTATTGTGTCACCTACTAGAAATACATGTGTACACATATACTCTATAATACCCCATATTTACTTAAAAGCTCATTACATTGGCACATACTTTGCCTTTTTCATGCAGAAATAGGTTTTTTTAAAGCGTACAGTTCAGTGGCATTAAGTACATTTATAGTGTGCAACCATCACTGCCTTCTGCCTCTAGAACTTTTTCATCTTCCCAAGTGGAAACTCTACCCATTCAACAATAACTCGGCCAGGCGCAGTGGCTCACGCCTGTAATCCCAGTACTTTGGGAGGATGAGACAGGCAGATCACTTGAGGTCAGGAGTTCAAGACCAGCCTGGCCAACATGCAGAAACCTTGTTGGTACTAAAAATACAAAAATTAGCAGGGCATGGTGGCGCGCACCTATACTACCAGCTACTTAGGAGGCTGAGGCAGGAGAATCACTTGAACCCAGGAGGCAGCTACCCCTGGCAACCACAAATCTGCTTTCTGACCATGAACTTTACTATTTTAGGGACCTCATAAGTAGAATCATACAGTATTTGTCTTTTTTGTAACTGGCTTATTTTCCTTAGCATAATGTCCTCAAGGCCCATTCATGTTGTAGCTTGTGTCAGAATTTCCTTTTTAAAGCTGAATACTATTCCATTATATGTATATCATTTTGTTCATCCATCATTGGACACTCAAGATTGTTTCTACCTTTTGGCTATTCTGAATAATGCTTCTGTGAACGTGGGTATACATGTATTTGTTTGAATCCTTGCTTTCAATTTTTAGGTGTATACCTAGAAGTGGAATTGCTAGACTATATGACAATTCTGTGTTTAATTTTTTGAGGTTTTTTTTTTTTTTCTTGGAACATGCTTTATTTTTCTGAGAGCTAAGTTCTAAATATTTCTGTGGAAGTAATATATGTTACATTGACATTGATAAAAATTGTGAAATATTTCATGTATGCATAAAAGTTATATTGACTTGCAAGATTCTTTAATCTGGAAATTGATAAATATGTTTGTTTTTAAAAATCTCATATTTTTCAGCCTGGCACTGTGGCTTATGCCTGTAATCCCAGCACTTTGGGAGGCCTAGGCGGGCGGATCACTTGAGGTCAGGAGTTCAAGACCAGCTTGGCCAACATAGTGAAACCCACCTCTACTAAAAATACAAAAATTAGCCATGTGTGGTGGTGTGCGCCTGTAATCTCAGCTACTCAGGAGGCTGAGGCAGGAGAATCGCTTGAGCCCAGGAGGTGGAGTTTGCAGTGAGTCAAGGTCGCACCACTGCACTCCAGCCTGGGCAACAGAGCTAGACTCCATCTCAAGAAAAAAGAAAAATATTTTAAATAAGTGTTTAAGGTTTGATTTCTTTGATAGAAATTATAAAAGGTGATAGAATCCCATGTATATTTACAAATGAGGAAGGGGATCACCTACATATTGTTAACTACCTAAAGTAAAACTAGAAAAAATTCTGTTTCCAGAATATTTTTGAAGTAGTATTTTCAACTCTTTTCATTCAAAAAAATTTTTTTTTGCATTTAGGCTGGAGGCAAAGCTGGAAAGGACAGTGGGAAGGCCAAGGCTAAGGCAGTATCTCGCTCACAGAGAGCTGGGCTACAGGTAATGAATCCATGCTGTCATTACATTATTATTTTCTTTACTGTTGTAATTTATGACCTATGTTTCATCAATTACAAAAATCTACTTGTATTACTACAGACTTTTTTTTTTTTTTTTTTTTTTTTTTTTTTTTTTTTTTGAGACAGAGTCTCACTCTGTCGTCAGGCTGGAGTGCAGTGGTGCAATCTCGGCTCACTGCAACCTCTGCCTCCTGGATTCAAGCGATTCTCCTGCCTCAGGCTCCCACATAGCTGGGACTGCAGGCGTGCGCCACCATACCCAGCTAGTTTTTGTATTTTTAGTAGAGACGGGATTTCACCATGTTGGCCAAGATGGTCTCAATCTCTTGACCTCGTGATCTGCCTGCCTCAGCCTCCCAGAGGGCTGGAATTACAGGCATGAGCCACCGCGCCTGGCTGAGAAACCCTTTTAATCAGGAAGGCTAAGCTGTAAACTGTTATCCTCTTGGCAGTGGTAAGCCATTGAGAGTTTGAGCCAGAGGACAACATTATCCAGATGATACCGAAAGAAGGGGGATGGGAACTTAAACTGATATGCACATTCTGTATTTTAGGTCTCCATGTATATTCCCAATTAGAATTTATTTTAAGGCATACTTAATTTGAAGTAGAAAATGGAAGGCCAATGGAGGTTTTTGCAGTGGTTTAGGAATAAAGTAACATACTTGAATGGGAAGGAGTAGAAAGCATGTGTGTGCAGAAAATAGGTGAAGCAGTATAAGGTTGAGAGAAAGTCACAGGTTTCTCTAAGGCTTAGAACCTAAGGAACAGAGGAGTTTGTAGTAGGGGCAAGTTATGAGTAAATTTAAATGGAATCATTTTGAAGTTCACTAAAACATCCATGTGAAAATGTCCAGAAGTTGGAAACATGAGTTCAGCTTTCTAATAGAGGTGATAGAATTAGGAATTTGAGATCATTTATGTAAAATGGATAGTTTATGTTATGGATGAGTTTCCTAACCTAAGAGAATGAGAAAGGAGCACAGGGACGTTGGTGGACCCCTGAAAAACTTTAAGAAAAGGCTGAGGAGTAGTCAGACTTGGTATGAGAACTCTGAAGTCTAAGATGAAATGTTTTTGAGGGCCTACTGTATGCCAGACAACATACTGGTTACTAAGGATACAAAGGAAAAGAAGACATAAATCTTGCCCTTAAGAAGCTTTTGGTCACTTAGAGATGAAGTATAAATGCAAAAAAAAGATTGCTTGTTTTTATTAAGGAAGTAAAATGTCACTGCTGGCCTTCAAAGGTCAAGTTAGGGTTAGGAAAAATGGGTGACAAGGAAGTAAGGGTTTCAGGATTTGTTTTTTCAATTCAGTCTTTGGAAAGAGACTGTCTAGACTGTAACTGGAAGCAGTTTTCATAGATTGTGAAGTTTTCAGTAAAGTCTGTAGAAGGAAAGGAACCAGCGGAAAGGAAGTAATTGTAGCTGTTGAAATAATGGAGCAGTGAAGGGTTGAGGGAGGCCTGTAAGAAAGGCACAGACTGGCGGGGCACAGTGGCTCATGCCTGTAATCCCAGCACTTTGGGAGGCTAAGGTGGACAGATCACTCAAAACCCTGTCTCTACTAAAAATACAAAACAGCCAGGCGTCCTGGCGCGCCTATAATCCCACCTACTCAGGAGGCTGAGGCAGGAGAATCGCCTGAACCCGGGAGGCGGAGGTTGCAGTGAGCCAAGATGGCGCCACTGCACTCCAGCCTGGGTGACAGAGTGAGACTCTGTCTCAATAAAAAAAATAATAAAGGGCACAGACAAGTGGGATCAGGATACTTTGAAATGAGAAAAATACCCTCTTTTTCAGAAAGTAGAAAGAACCACAATGAGATAATAGTATTGATTTTTCTTAACTATCAGATCACCTCTTGAAACTGAAGAAAGAACATTTAAGATCTGAGGAAGGTATTGGAGGTTCAAAGTTGCATGTGGCTATTATGTGAAGAAATTAACTAGATAGGAATTTGATCCATGGGTCATGTTGAACGTACAGTTGATGACAGCCCAGCGTGGTATTTCTTCATTTTAGAGTGATATTTCCCATATTATGCAGAGGTTAAAGATTTTGGACAGATTACCAGAACAGAGACACAGGCCCTGGGAACTATTGATGCGTAATAGGTTTGGCTTCTGATATGTGTGATCAAGTTTTTTATTATTTCATGCTTACATTGTTCAGCCTTTGATTACAGTCAGTGCAATGTTAAGACTCTGCAGTGCTTCCCACTAAGACATCTCTCTTTTAGTTTCCTGTGGGCCGCATCCACAGACACTTGAAGACTCGCACCACAAGCCATGGAAGGGTGGGTGCCACTGCTGCCGTGTACAGTGCTGCGATTCTGGAGTACCTCACTGCAGAGGTTTGTACAGGAATGTCTGTTGTATATGGCCATCCAGAAGGTGCACTAGTCTCAGTGACAGAAACCCATGGAATATATTTGAAAAAAGACATATTATGCTCACTGGGGCTTTTTTGTTTGTTTGTTTGGAGACAGAGTTTCACTCTTGTTTCCCAGGCTGGAGTGCAATGGCCAGTCTCGGCTCACTGCAACCTCTGCCTCCCGGATTCAAGCGATTCTCCCACCTCAGCCTCCCAAGTAGCTGGGACTACAGGTGTGCACCACTGTGCCCAGCTAATTTTTGTATTTTTAGTAGAGACAGAGTTTCACCATGTTGGCCACACTGGTCTCAAACTCCTGACCTCAGGTGATCTACCTGCCTCAGCCTCCCAAAGTGCTGAGATTACAGGCTTGAGCCACCACGTCCGGCCTCATTGGTTTCTTTAATAGCAGTTTGAGATGCATCTTGTCAGCTATTACCCAATGCCAATGTAAAAGAACCTTGGTGTACTTGTTTTTAAAGCTAAGCAAGGGGCTGGGCACAGTGATTCACGCCTGTAATGCCAACACTTTGGGCGGCTGAGGTGGGTAGATTGTACACTTGAGTCCTGGAGTTCCAGACTAGGCTGGGTGACAGAGCAAGACCCTATCTCAAAGTAAAAAAATTTTTAAAAGTTAAGCAAGGGCCAGCAATCTCTTATCTTTTATTTTTATTTTTTTATTTTGAGACTGGGTCTCACTCTGTCACCTAGGCTGGAGTATAGTGGCATGATCATAGCTCACTCCAACCTCAAACCTCCTGGGTTCAAAGGATCCTCCTGCCTCAGCCTCCCTAGTAGCTGTGACTTCAGGTGTGTGCCACCACACCTGGCTAATTATTTATTTATTTATTTATTTATTTATTTATTTATTTATTTTGAGACAGGGTCTTGCTCTGTATCCCAGGTGGAGTGCAATGGCACAATCTTGGCTCACTGCAACCTCCACTTCTTGGGTTCAAGCAATTCTCCTGCCTCAGCCTCCCCAGTAACTGGGATTACAGGCACCCGCCACTACACCCGGCTAATTTTTGTATTTTTAGAGGAGACTGGGTTTCACCATGTTGGCCAGGTCAGTCTCAAATTCCTGACCTCAGGTGATCCACTTGCCTCAGCCTCCCAAAGTGCTGGGACTACAGGTGTGAGCCACTGCGCTGGGTGCTAATTTTTTATTTTTATTTTATTTATTTATTTTTTTTTGAGACAGAGGCTCGCTCTGTCACCCAGGCTGGAGTGCAGTGGTGCAGTCTCGGCTCACTGCAACCTCCGCCTCCCGGATTCACGCCATTCTCCCACCTCAGCCTCCCGAGTAGCTGGGACTACAGGCACCCGCCACCACGCCCGGCTAATTTTTTTTTTTTGTATTTTTAGTAGAGACGGGGTTTCACCGTGGTAGCCAGGATGGTCTCGATCTCCTGACCTCGTGAGCCACCCACCTCCACCTCCCAAAGTGCTGGGATTACAGGCGTGAGCCACCGCGCCCAGCCTATTTTTTATTTTTTTGTGGAGACAGGGCTCCCTATGTTACCCAGGCTGGTTTCTAACTCCTAGCCTCAAGTGGTCCTCCCAAGTTGCTGGGATTACAGACATAAACCACCATACCCCAGTGAACTTTGAAGTATGTATGTAATCAGTAGACAGTATTTGTGAAGTTAGAGCATAATGTTGTAGTTTATGAAGATTTGGGATGATGTAAAGTTTGGCCAGTGTGATGATATATAAAAATCACAAATATGATAATAGAAGTAAAAGACTCAGTCTGTCCTGGTTCTCTGCAGGGTTATACATACAAAATTGCTGTATATTACTCAGTTTGAAATTTCAGGAAGACAAGTTAATTGGGCAAGAGTTCTTGGGTCACAGACCACCACTTTCCCCATCCCTATTCCTCCTTTAAAAAAATCCGTTGGGAAGTCATAAAACTTCAGCTACATTCCAGATTGGGGAAGTAATTTGAGTAACAAGTAGGTCAAGTGTAGACGCATTCATTCTGGTGGAAACAGAAGGGTCTTACTTGGGGAGATGTGATTGGGAGCTAGGCTGAGGAATTTAGCTTTTAATCTGTATGTCAGTTATCATTGCTGTCATTTATTTCATTAGTCTCACCAAGTCATCTGTGTCCCACTGGGGATTTAACATCGAATTATGGATGTTATGGATAGTTTCAGCTTCTCTGTGTCATGATCAAGGGGTGTTTTGTTTTTGGGGTTTTTCTTGTGTGTTTGTTTTGAGACAGGATCTCTCTCTGTCTCCCAGGCTGGAAGGCAGGGACATGATCTCTGCTCATTGCAACCTCTGCCTTCTGGGTTCCAGTAATTCTCCCACCTCAGCCTCCGGAGTAGCTGGGGCTACCGGTGTGCATCACCACACCTGGCTAATTTTTGTTATTTTCTTGTAGAGACAAGGTTTTGCCATGTTGGCCAGGCTGATCTCGAACTCCTGACCTCAAATGATCTGTCCGCCCCAGCCTCCCAAAGTGCTGGGATTACAGACATGAGCCACCTTTTATTAAAAGAGGCCACCTGGCCTCTTTTATTTTTAAAAATTTTTAAATTTTAATTAAAATACATTTTAAAACTTTTCTATAAGCATTAAGAAATAAATTTCACGGCTGGGCACGGTGGCTTACGCCTGTAATCCCAGCACTTTGGGAGGCTGAGGTGGGCAGATCACGAGGTCAAGAGATCGAGACCATTCTGGCCAACATAGTGAAACCCTATCTCTACTAAAGATACAAAAATTAGCTGGGCATGGTGGCGTGTGTCTGTGTATAGTCCCAGCTACTCAGGAGGCTGAGGCAGGAGAATTGCTTGAACCCAGAAGGCAGAGGTTGCAGCGAGCCGAGATCGCGCCACTGCACTCCAGCCTGGCGACAGAACGAGACTCCGTCTTAAAAAAAAGAAAAAAAAAGAAATTTCAGCTATTAAAGGTTCTGCAGAAATAGACCACATAGATATATTAAAATATATGACTTTGGCTGGGTGTGGTGTCTTACATTGAACATTGTGGTTCACAAGGTTCAAGCCCCATCTATCTAAGCCCCCCCCCCCTTTTTTTTAAATCTTTGGGAACTTTGGTTAAAATTTTTAAAGTTTACACAGTGGCTCATGCCTGTAATCTCAGCACTTTGGGAGGTCAATGTGGGCAGATCATTTGAGTCCAGGACTTCCAGACCAGCCTGGACAACATGGCAAAACCCTGTCTCTACAAAAAAATACAAAAAATTGACCAGATGTGATAGTGTGCACCTGTAGTCCCAGCTAGTGGAGAGGGTGAGGTGGGATGATTACCTGACCCAGGAGGTTGAGGCTGCAGTGAGCCATGATTGCACCACTGCACTCCAGCCTGCATGACAGTGAGACCATGTCTCAAAAAAAAAAAACAATTTAGGTTAAGATTGGACAATGAATGTGTGGGTGCAGTCAACTTTTTTTTTTTTTTTTTTTTTCTTTTTTTTTTTTTTGAGAGTCTTGCTCTGTCGCCCAGGCTGGAGTTCAGTGGCTCAATCTCGGCTCACTGCAACCTCCACCTCCTGGGTTCAACCGATTCTCCTGCCTCAGCCTCCCAAGTAGCTGGGATTACAGGCGTGTGCCACCACACCTTGCTGATTTTTGTATTTTTAAAGTTCAGCAGTTGATTCTCCTGTATACCCAACACTGCTCTATTTAAAACGAGGAGGTGGCCTGGCGTAGTGGTTCACGTCTGTAATCCCAACACTTTGGGAGGCCAAGGCGGGCAGATCACAAGGTCAGGAGTTTGATTTTTTTATTTTTTTTGAGACGGAGTCAAGGTCAGGAATTTGAGACCAGCCTGGCCAATATGGTGAAACCCTGTGTCTGTTTTTTTTGTTGTTTTGTTTTTTGTTTTTGTTTTTGTTTTTCTTTTCGAGACAGAGTCTCGCTCTGTCGTCCAGGCTGGAGTGCAGTGGCGCCATCTCGGCTCACTGCAAGCTCCGCTTCCTGGGTTCACGCCATTCTCCTGCCTCACCCTCCCGAGTAGCTGGGACTACAGGTGCCTGCCACCACACCCAGCTAATTTTTTGTATTTTTAGTAGAGACAGGGTTTCACCGTGTTAGCCAGGATGGTCTCGATCTCCTGACCTCATGATCCACCCCTCTCGGCCTCCCAAATTGCTGGGATTACAGGTGTGAGCCACCGCGCCTAGCCGAAACCCCATCTCTACTAAAAATACAAAACTTACTCAGGCATGGTGGCAGGCGCCTGTAGTCCCAGCTACTCGGGAGGCTGAGGCAGGAGAATAGTTTGAACCCGGGAGGTGGTGGTTGCAGTGATCTGAGATCACACCGTTGCACTGCAGCCTGGGCAACACAGCAAGACTCCATCTCAAAAAAAAGAAATTATTTTAAATTATATTTTAGGCTGAGTGCGATGGCCCAGTACACCTGTAATCCCAGCACTTTGAGAGGCTGAAGTAGGAAGATCACTTGAGGCCAAGGGTTTGACACCAGCCCTGGCAACATAATGATGTCCCATCTCTTTTATTTTTAAAAAATTTTAAAAATACATTTGAAAACTTCTAAAAGCATTAAGAAATACATTTCAGCTATTAAGGGTTGTACAAAAATGGTCTACAAGTATATATTAAAATATATGACTTTGACTGGGCGTGGTGGCTCACACTTGTAATCTCAGCACTTTGGGAGGCCCAGGTGGGCAGATCATTTCAGCACAGGAGTCTGAGACCAGCCTGGGCAACGTGGGGAAACCTTGTGTCTACAAAAAACAAAAATACAAAAAAGCCGGGTTTGGTGGCGCTCACCTGGTCACAGCAGCTCAGGACGCTAGGGCAGGAGAATAACCCTGCACTTGGGAGGTCAAGGCTGCAGTGAGCCAAGATCACACCACTGCACTCCAGCCTAGGCAATGGAGTGAGACCTTGTCTCAAAAAAAAAAAAAAAAAAAAAAGACTTTTCTAAATGTTCACATCTGGCATCTTGGCTAAGGGGTAATATCTCCTGTCCTTACCTTTATTTCTATATAGAAGTGGGTTTTTGCTCAAGTTTGTGTCTCTGTTGCAGAGAATGAATATAAATGAAGTTAAATGAATTAGAGCTTTATAAAAGCATTATAGAAATACAAGAAAGAAAAATATATTATCAGTTTATGTATTGTGTGTGCATTTTGTATGTACAAATGCTAAGTGATCCTTCATTTGGGATCCTAGGTCCTTCATTTGATATGCTAATCATGGATGCTTTGTAGGTGCTGGAGCTGGCAGGTAATGCTTCTAAGGATCTCAAAGTAAAGCGTATCACTCCGCGTCACTTGCAGCTTGCAATCCGTGGTGATGAAGAGTTGGATTCTCTTATCAAGGCTACCATAGCTGGGGGTGGTATGTATTACTACTTAAGCCTTGATTCTTATTGGTCTTTCTGACTAATATATCGTTCAGATCAATGATATAGTATATTTGATCGGTTAACTAGAAAGCATATAAACTTTAATTTCATAAATACTAAATCTATAACAATTCTAAGCTTTTCATAATGATCTGAATAAATATTTCACCTTCTAGCCATATGTAATGCTATTTTTATTTTAGCCAGTTCTTTGTCTAAATTTCATATGATACTTAAAGCCTGATGTTTAACATATTTCCCATACTTTTTTAACTGTGTTTGAAAAATGAGTTGGAGAAGTTGCATAACATACACTGGAAAGGGTTGAAATAAATACACTTGAAAAGTGGGTCAGGATCAATGAAAGTGAGAGGTAAGTTGGTGGTTCTTAATCTTCTTTGGATAACCCTCAAAGAACCTCGTGAAAGCTGTGGTTACAGCTGGGCACGGTGGCTCACACCTGTAATCTCAGCACTTTGGGAGGCTGAGAGGCCCCGGATCACCCGAGGTCAGGAGTTCAAGACCAGCCTGGCCAACGTGGTGAAACCCCATCTCTACTAAAAATACAAAAATTAGCTGGGCGTGGTGGTGCACACCTGTAGTCCCAGCTACTCAGGAGGCTGAGGTAGGAGAATCACTTGAACCCAGGACAGAGGTCGCAGTGAGCCAAGATTACACCACTGCACCCCAGCATTGGCGACAAAGTGAGGCCATCTCAAAAAAAAAAAAAAAAAAAAGCTATGGTTACTCTTCTCAAAAAATGCACGGAAAGTCACACAATTTTACATACAGTTTTAAAGGGTTCACAGACCCCTGGGGTGTAGCCATTGGTATAGATAGTTTAACAGTATCAGAATATGAAAAGGGACTTAAGTAAATTTCATTTTTTCTATAATTAACTTTTTACTTGAGGCAAAAACTTTAAAAGTTTTTAATAACTTTTTTAAATTTCATTCTAGGTGTGATCCCTCACATCCACAAATCTCTGATTGGAAAGAAGGGACAGCAGAAAACTGCTTAGAGGGATGCTTTAACCAACCCTCTTCCTCCCCGTCATTGTACTGTAACTGGGACAGAAGAAATAATGGGGATATGTGGAATTTTTAACAACAGTTAAATGGAAAAGCATAGACAATTACTGTAGACATGATAAAAGAAACATTTGTATGTTCTTAGACTCGAAGTTTGATAAAAGTACCTTTTCATGTGGTGACAGTTGTGTGTTGATTGGCTAGGTTTCTCCCGTGTGTTTTATACAAAAATGGAATTGATAAACCATTTTTTACAAAATTAATTTGTCTCAAAACTGTTCTGTTCATGATGTATTAGAAATATTTTACTCAGACTTTAAATATTTTAAATCTCAGATTGGTTATTCAGAGTAACCTTAGAACAGAAATTGGGAATATATCTTTACAATGATTGATACCATGGTATATTGACTCTTAGATGCTATTGATCTGTAGCACCATTTTTTACAAACGACTAAGGAAAAAACCTGCCAATTAAATCATGATATGCCATCAATTATGAGACATCCCAATTTGAGAGATGTTAGATTATAGAAAAGTATGCATTTATGACTGAAATGGTAGTGGAATTATTTGAATTCTACACCAAGCACTTACCATGTGCCAGGCCCTTTGCAGAGTGCTCTACTGACCAAGAAAGTTGTTGCTGCCACATTATAGATGTGGAGCCTAAGGGTCACAGAAATTGTGTGCTATGCCAAAAAACATTGAACTGGTAGATAGAAAATGACAGAGCTAGGATTCAAACCTAGATCTGGCTGACTCCAGAGCCTAGTTTTACCTGGAATTGATGTTCAGTTTATCAAAGGTTTCTCCTTTTGGTTTAAAATCCCAATTTTTGGCCTGGCATTGTGGTTTACGCCTGTAATCCCAACACTTCGGGAGACCGAGGCTGGTGGAACACTTGAGGTCAGGAGTTTGAGACCAGCCTGGCCAACATGGTAAAACGCCGTCTCGGCCAGGCGCGGTGGCTCACGCCTGTAATCCCAGCACTTTGGGAGGCCAAGGTGGGTGAATCACGAGGTCAGGAAATCGAGACCATCCTGGCTAACATGGTGAAACCCCGTCTCTATTTAAAAAAATACAAAAAATTAGCCGGGTGTGGTGGCACGCGCCTGTAGTCCCAGCTACTCAGGAGGCTGAGGCATGAGAATGACGTGAACCCGGGAGGCGGAGCTTGCAGTGAGCCAAGATGGCGCCACTGCACTCCAGCTTGGCGACTGAGCAAGACTCCCTCTCAAAACAAACAAAAAAAAGTCTCTACTAAAAATACAGAAATTAGCCAGGCATGGTACACACATGTTGTCCCAACTACTTGGGGCACTGGGGCACAAAAAATCACTTGAACCCAGGAGGCAGAGGTTGCAGTGAGCCAAGATCACGCCACTACACTCCAGCCTAGGTGACAGAGTGTGACTCTGTCTCAAAAAAAAAAATCCCAACTTTTAGTAGTCTCTTAGTCATGCAATAACAGTAATTTGTACAATCTTTTAAAAATTATATTTATTTATCAGTTTCTAAGAAACTTTTTTGTTTGTTTTGAGACAGGCTCTTGCTCTTTTGCCCAGGTTGAAGTGCAGTGGCATGATCCTGGCTCACTGCAGCCTCCACCTCTCAGGCCCAAGCAATCCTCTTACCTCAGCCCTGCAAATAGCTGGGACCACAGGCACATGCCACCATACCTGGCTAATTTTTTTTATTTATGTAAGAGACAGAGGTCTCCCTATGTTGCCCAGGTTGGTATTGAACTCCTGGCTCAAGCCATCCTCCCACCTTGGCCTCCCAAAGTACTGGGATTATAGGCATAAGCCACCATGCCCTGCGCTAAGTAACTGTTACTTGAGTTAATGTACTAGTTAATTGACCCTTAGAAAATTATATTTTTCTGCTTGCAAGTCTTCATTAAAGAAGGAAATTTTAAAATATTTTATAGTATAATGCTATCCAAACTCATTTTTAAAAACATTTTATTATGGAAATTTTCACAAATGCACAAAAAGAATAGCAGAATGAAGCTCTGTGTACCCATCCTCCAACAGCTGTCCTGTGGTCAGTCTTGTTTACCTGCATCCCCACCTATCCCCTGCCCCAACCCACAGGGATCAGTTTGAGTCCCATTAACAGGCATAGTATTTTCATGTCTGTGTGATCAGAGACATTCAAATATAACTCCAAAGATAGGGTACTTTTTTGAACATAACCACAATACCATTGTGTAAGACTGCTAAAACATTTTTTGATGCCAAGTACCAGTCAATATTCAAACTTCCTGATTGTCTCGTAAGTTTTTTTTAACAGTTGGTTTATTCGAGTCAAGATCCAGGCAAGATCTAGATCTTGCATTTTGTTAATATAATCTATAGATTTAACTTTCCTGTTTTTAATTTTTGAAGAAACTAAGTTGTTTGTCCTATAGAATTGTCCTTCAGTGGATTTTACTGAATGTATCCTAATGGGATCATGTACACCTTTTCTGTCCCCTATATGTTCTATAAACTGACAGATCTAGAGGGCTTCTGTTGTTCTGTTTTGCTTTTTCACAAAAATAATTCATAGGTGATATATGCTCCATGTTGTATCACATCATGGCACATAATGGCTCTCATCTTGTAACATTAAGATTGATAGTGGGTTTGGATGCTGCCAGCCCACTCCATTCATTACAAAAGTTCTCTATCAGCTTTTCCCCTGATGGATTTAGCCATCATTAATGATATTTGCCCACATCTGGGATTCCATTAGAGGTTGCCAACCAGTGATATCTTGTCATTCCTTCTGCATCTATTAGCTGGAATCCTATAAAGAACTTGTGCTCATTAATTCACGAGGCAGGATAAAATAGAAATTTCAAATTCTGATTGAATAGGCGCCCATTTTGAAGTTTCTGTATTGAGAGTCAGGCCTACAGTAAAAGTAGCAATAGAAAGCTGATTGTTTGAAAAAAAAGAAGCGGGGGGGGGAGTGCAATATAATCAACAGACTTTCCTTTGGCTGAATCACTTGATTCAGGGCAATTTTTACTACAGTTTTATAGATAATTGCTTCAAATGTCTAATTCATTTTGATAGTATAGTTACTTGACTACATAATTTCTTCCCAGGGTTGTATTTTCAATTTGTTTTCTAACAAAAAACATAGAAATAGAACAACTAGGTCATGTACTCTGGGCTTAGCTCTCACAGTTATGATCAGTCTCGTTTCATTTGTACCCAACCCCTTGAGTTATTTTAAAGCACGTTCCAGCTATCATATCACTTCATGTATAATATCTTAATACGTATCTAAAAGATAGCTTTTTTATGTTTTATTTTATTTTTATTTTTTCAGACAAAGTATTACTCTGTCGCCCAGGCTGGCATGCAGTGGCACAATCTCAGCTCACTGCAACCTCCACCTCCCAGGTTCAAGTGATTCTTCTGCCTCAGCCTCCTGAGTAGCTGGCATTACAGGTGCCTGCCACCATGCCTGGCTAATGTTTGTTTGTTCTTTTGTTTTTGTTTCTGAGACAGGATCTCACTCTGTTGCCTAGGCTGGAGTCCAATAGCCTAATCTTGGCTCACTGCAACCTCAGCCTCCCAGGCAACTGGGACTACAGGCATGCGCCACCATGCCCAGCTAATCTGTGTGTGTTTTTTGTTTGTTTGTTTATTTGTGTAGTAGAGATGGGGTTTCACCATGTTGGCCAGGCTGGTCTCAAACTCCTGACCTCAAGTGATCCACCCGCCTCAGCCTCCCAAAGTGCTGGGATTACAGGCATGAGCCACTGTGCCTGGCGTAGAAAGTATTTCTTATAATTAAAAACAACACCCAGTCTAACTAGTATAACACCTAAAAAATTGTCAGATCTGTATTTTAGATAGTACGACACAGTGAAATGCAATGGCACTTAAGCAGAGAGAAGAAGGATTTTTCTTTTTCTTTTTTTAAATAGAAGGTGTTAGAACCTGAACTGGGCCTGGTTTGCATTTGGGAAGAGTCCAGTGGGGAAACAACACAAATAAGGTCTTGAGAATGAAGAATTGCATTTATATAGGGAGTTGTAACAAATGGCCTGGAGAGTATCTGACTCTTTATGAAACATTTAATGAGAAATGTGACTTGCTTTGGTGCCTATGGTTGAATTTGTTGCGATGCTTCTGACATTATGAAAATTTTCAAACATGCAAAAAAGTTCCAGTAGTTATCCAGTGAATTCTTATACTCACCACCTATATCTATAGTTAACATTTTACTTGTATTTTATCCAGTTATCAGCTCATCTATGAGATGGCCCTTATTTATTTGCCTGCTGTTTTTATTCTCTATTTGTCCTGTTATTTCTTGTTAGAGAAGAGAAGGTGTTCTTAGATCAGAAGATGCCATTGTATTAGGTGACGGCAAGGTTTTGCTGATTTAGTGGAACAAGATTCTACTGGGATGTGTGCTGAGCTGAACCAAGGAACTGCCCGAATGTGCTGAACAAGGACATTTGCTTCTCAGATACGTGAATTCAATTTTAAGCAAGATTCTTGATCTGCTTCAGAGCAGCTTTGATTTAAAGTAATTTCAGAGCGCTTTTCCTTGCATGAGTAATTTTCTGAATGTATAAAATATTCTATTTATGTTTGACCTTTTGGATAAACTGTGTTGCTGCAGTGTTGGTCCACACTACCATCCTAAGTGAAGACTTAGTAAGTCTGAGGATCTCCAGGCACTGGAAAGAGTGAGAACCTGGGAGTGAAAGGGTTATAGTTAGTGTTCATTTTTCGGGTTTTGTTTCATAGGGAGTCCTGAGTGGGGTAACCTGAAATGTTTTAACAGTTGAAGATCATCCTATTCCTATCCCCAGTAAAAATAGGCCTTTCCACAATCTTCTACCAGTTAACTTAGCTTTTTTTTTTTTTTTTTCCTTTAATAGAGTCTCATTCTTGTCACCCAGACTGGAGTGCGATGGCACGATCTTGGCTCACTGCAACCCTCCCTCCCGGGTTCCAGCGATTCTCCTGCCTCAGCCTCCCAAGTAGCTGGGATTACAGGCGCACGCCACCATGCCCAGCTAATTTTTGTATTTTTAGTAGACGTGGGGTTTCACCATGTTGGCCAGACTGGTCTCAAACTCCTGACCTCAGGCGATCCGCCCGTCTAAGCCTTCCAAAGTGCTGGGATTACTGGCAGGAACCACCAGGCCCAGCCAACCAGCATTTCTTAAGGTGAAAATACATGGTGTTAATTTATATTTTGAGTGAGACCCAGTCCAGCTGCTATAACTGCTTGGACACTTGGCAGAGGACAGAGTACTGCAAAAGTGTCTAAGGGAGACAGCATTTTGCCTTGGGTGCTGTAGATGTACAAGAGAGGTTCCAGGAGGGGGTGATAGGCAGAATTTTGGTCCCCATCACCTTCCCTGCCCAGTGTTATGCCTATGAATGTGTTACATTATGTGGTAAAAGGGACTTTGCAGATGTAACTAAAATTTCTAAAATAGAGATATTATCCTGGATTACCTGGGGGAACCCAGTGTAATTACATGAACCCTTAAAAATGGAAGAGGATGCAGGAGTCAGATTCAAAGGAAGGCCCAAGGTGCTATTGCTGACTTGAAGATAGAGGGGCCATGTGGAAATCAAGAGAAGGAAGTGAATCCTTCCAGTGAGCTTGGAAGAAAGCACCTTGAGGCACAGATGAGAAGCTTGGCCTTACCTGATGCCTTGATTTTAGCCTGGTGAGACCCTGAGCATATAAATTTGCTGTGCTATGCCACACTTCTCACCTACAGAAACTTAGTTTAAAGCCACTAAGTTTGTGGTAATTTGTTGGCTTTAGGCCCCTGAGGGTAGAGATTTATGGCTTGTGTTACAAGTAGAGAGCAGTGGAGAGTTGGGCTTTGTAATTCTTTCAAGGGTGATTGTAGTTCTGGAGTCCTATCTACCTGGGTTCAGATCTTTGTTGGCCAGTCCCTGGCTGTGTGACTTCACTGCTTTAAGCCTCTGTCTTCATCCTTAAAGTGGTGATGATAGTACCTACCTCACTCTGATCTCTGAATGAGAACACATGTAAGACACTTAGCACAGTTCCTGGTGCTCAAAGAGTTCCAACACCTGAAAGCACCATGGCCCTGTTTGTTTTTCAGTCAAGATTTCTAAAAGCCGTTATTACCAGAGGTTCAGTGAGAACATGGGCAGGGTAAACTCAAAATGGAGAACATAAAAACTGGGACTCCCAGACCAGTCACTTAGAAGACTGCTGCAGGAAGTACCAAGGTCGTTAAGAATCAGTAATAATAATAAGTAATGTGTGAATCCATTAGAATGTTGAGAAGTAGACCTTTGACATTTCAGAAAAATGTATATCTCAGACACAGCCATATGTATTGTTATCCCTGAGTTGGAAGAGCATCACAGGGCATAGTTTCACAAAAGCTTCAAAAAATATACTAATTGCTGGTAATATGTGAACTAACAGAAAAAAATAGCCATGTTAAAATAGGAGTGCCTGACAATTAGCTCTATTCATCTTGTCTCCTAGCTGTAAGCACCCTAGATTCAAATTATGCACCTAGAAAACTAAATTACTATGTATGTTATAGGCCTTTGAAATGGATACATGAAAATTAGTGAAATCAGAATGAACGTTTCGCCTGCCAAAGATATGTATTTTTATAAGTGATACAAGGGCCCCATGAGCTCCATGGCCACATCTGTACAAAACAGGCCCTCCTTTCAGGAACTGGTCTCGAGAGAGCAAAGGGGTCAACTCCCTAAATGGCAGCTGAGACAGTCCTCCCTGGTGGCATGGCCCTGTTTCCTGTTGATATGGTGATAGTTGGAGAGTCAAATTTTTACCAGAATTTGTGAATATCATCTCTGGTTAATGATTACACAAAACCTTTTAAAATTTTAAAAAATTATTTCTAATTCTATAAATAAACTCTGCAGTTGTACAGCCACTGTACAGCTAACATCTCAACACTGGAAATGAGGCTGGTTTCTTCCAGTTTGGCTCAGATTCTTCAGGGAAGCCCAGTTAAGACAAACAGCTCTCTATACTCAATCCTTACTTTGCTGAGAAGATACAGGCCTGCCCACTCGCTCCCACCTGCTCTTCACGAGGAGTCCTTTATTCCTGCATGTTTCCTGTTCTTTGGGACCTTTAGGAGCTAACCTCCACAGATGCTGATAGTCTGTAGAGTCAGGAATACCATGTAACATGTTGAAGTAGACTAAAGATTAGTTCTTTGGCAATAGCCCAGTCTGGACTTACTATGTACTTTTGAAAATAAAACTGCTTATTTGTAAACTCTGTAATTAGGACCTTTTGCTATTTGAGTTATATTCCTTTCTAACTTCAAACGTCTGCATTCATGTATAATAGCCATTTTATGCACAGATGAGGTGATTCCCACACTTTTTTTCGCAGATGTTTCATTATCTGGATGAGTGTATTACATAATAAATTTGAATAATGGTAGTCTTCCAAATGACAAAAAGCAAGCTAGTTGATTTGTCAATTTTGAGTTTAAATGTTTTGACTGCTTATCAGCAAAAAAAATCAAAGAATAGCATACTAATATTAATGGAAATGCAGAGTATATTTAATTGGCATGATTTTTTCATGGATGTGTGCTTCATTTGATCTATTGTATGTAGCTCGTGATCACATTTTCTGTTGGTTAACATTGTTCCTAGCTTATATGATGGAATTAAATATATTCTGTGTAAAAAGAGGTATGGACTAAATATTTCTGGACGATGGCTTTCAGCTTTAGAAACTCTGAGAAAGGGCTGGGTGTGGTGGTGCACACCTGTAGTCCCAGCTACTTAGCAGGCTGAGTAGGATTGCTTGAGCCTGGGAGGTCAAGGCTGCAATGAGCTATGACCATGCAACTGCACTCCAGCCTGAGCAACAGAGTGAAATCCTGTCTTTAAAAAAAAGAAGAAGAAGGAGAAACTGAAAAAGTGAGTCCTCCCATCTCTGAAGGTGTTGGAGGAGAGGGTGGGCCTAACCAGCCCTGGCCACTCTCAGGCCACACTCTGCTGAAGAGCCTCAGGCTCCTCTCAGTTTTCCATCTCCACAGCAAGAAGGCAATAATACTTCATTTTACAGATGAGGAAATTCAGGCAGAGGAAGATGATTCAACATCCCAGGGTCACATAATCTGAAATGGGAAAGTGCTGAGAATCTGGTCTGTTTAGCTCCAAAACTTAAGTTTTTTTCCTATGGAAGGGGAAGGTCACTAAACATTTCTTTGAAAACCTACCAGCCTGCCTTATGTGGATTTAGCTCATTTAACCCCCTGAATAAATCTGGGAAATAAATACCAGCCTCATTTTACAAGCAAAGAAATTCAGATTCAGAGATGTTAGATACAGCCTGGCGCGGTGGCTCACGCCTGTAATTCCAGCACTTTGGGAGGCAAGTGGATCACTTGAGGTCAGGAGTTTGAGACCAGCCTGGCCAACAAGGTCTACCAAAAAATACAAAAATGAGCCAGGCATGGTAGCACGTACCTGTAGTCTCAGCTGCTCGGGAGGCTGAGGTGGGAGAAATTGCTTAAACCTGGGAGATGGAGGTTGCAGTAAGCCAAGATTGTACCACTGCACTCCAGCCTGGGTGACAGAGTGAGACTCTGTCTCAAAAAAAAAAAGAGATGTTAGCCCAAGCCCAGGGTTACATGGCTCCAGTTGGTGACACAGGAATCTGAACCCAGGTCAGTCTGACCACAAATCCAGGTCAGTGCAAAAAGTCACGAGTCTGCTCAAGGGGGTCTGCAGCTGGCCCGTGGACATGCGATGGCACTTACATTCTTCTGGTTTGCTTGAGGCCACATATAGAAAAGTATCTATAAAGCCCTCATGTTAATGTCTCACATGTAGAGCCAGGTGGCCTTTTGAGCTTAGGTAGCTTTGTGCCTATTTATCGTCTGGGCTTTCAAAAAGAGTTTGTGGAATAGGTATATATGAGAGGTACATGTATTTCCTGGATGGACAGAAGCCGTGACTCCCTGTTTAGTATGGAGCCAGGCAAGTCTGGCACTCAGTATTCAGTTTAGCACTTCCTGCACACAGGCAGGCTCATCTAGTCTCCAGCCCAGCCCTACAAGCCCCTCACATGCCCAGAATGCCAGTGGGAAACTAACACTCTGGGAATTGCCTATAAGCCTGTAGACTCCATAGCCTCCTGCCACAGCTGAGTGTGAGTGTGGACCTCAGCAGCTGAGGAACTCTGCTCCAAGGCTTTGCTTGGTGGAGTTCAGCAGCAAAACCCTATGTGACAGCCTGTCCTGTCAAAAACTTGCTCCTGCTCCCACACAAGCTGCCTTTTTTTTCTCTTATCAGGAGCATCAATTCCTCAATCCCCATTCCGCTTTTACTGCCTCTGCCCACTTCCTGCTATCTTCTTCCCCAACTCTGAGTACAGCCACATACTTCTGGAAACTCATGATAATCTGTTTCAGATATTCTTCCTGGAGCACATTCATACTGTATTCACACATTGCAGAGCACACATTCTGACCTTCAGTTCTGACCTTTTCTTCAGATTTACACACATCCTTTCATTTTCCACTAGCTCCCTATGCTCTTGTAGTCACCTCCTAATTACCCAGTTTTGTTTGTTTTTTTAGAGACAAAGTCTCATTGTGTTGTCCAGGCTGGTCTTGAACTCCTGGGCTCAAGCAATCCTCCTGCCTCAGCCTCCCAAAGTACTGGAATTACAGGCATGCACCACCATACCCAGCCCAGTCTTCCAGTTTTAACCCATTCTACATACCACTGCCAGACTGTCCATATACCACATTTTAGACTGTCCCTAAAATGTGGCCCTTTGAGTCTGGCAAACCCTGCTCCAGTCAGTGCCTGTCTCATCCAGGAAGGCAAGGCCTTGTGTCTGCATCTGAGGACACATACTCAAGCTGCTTCCTTTACTGGTCCTCTGTCATCAAGTTTGGTTTTCTCCCACCAGTGAGTGTGATTTCATTTCCAGCTCATCCTCTGGTCCTGATGTATTGAAAGTCTTCCATATGCCACTGCAGGGGCTTTGCACACAAACTGCTACTGTCTGGCTGCCACCCTCAAGAAGCTTATAACCTAAGTGAAGGAAGGAGACATGGGCATATAGACGGATTCCAGGCACAAGGCCGCATATTGTTGTATGACAGGGCGCCAGATGTGTGGTACTGGCCCCTTCCCATTGTCCACAGATTTTTTTCTTTTTTTTTTTGAGTTTTCGCTCTTGTTGCCCAGGCTGGAGAGCAGTGGCGCGATCCAGCTCACTGCAATCTCTGTTTCCCAGGTTTGGGCGATTCTCCTGCCTCAGCCTCTTGAGTAGCTGGTATTACAGGCACACACCACCATACCCAGCTAATTTTGTTTGTATTTTTAGTAGAGACAGTGTTTTGCCATGTTGGCCAGGCTGGTCTCATACTCCTGACCTCAGGTGATCCACCCGCCTTGGCATCCCAAAATATTGGGATTACAGCCATGAGCCACTGTGCCTGGCCACAGATTGTTTTTTCAAGTAAAAACTATTAAGATTTTTTTAAAAGCTGGATGTGGTGGCTCATGCCTGTAATCCTAGCTACTTAGGAAGCTGAAGCAGGAGGAACCCTTGAGCCCAGGAGATCAACACCAGCCTGGGCAACATAGTGAGACCCTCATCTCCCCACCAAAAAAAATTTTTTTTAATTTTAAGGTTCTTTTAGAAGGTGTTCTAAGGGAAAAAAAATGTTTTTAAGTGTTCGAAAGTACCCAAATATAAACACCTCAGAGTTTAAAGGCGGAGATTTCCACTCAGTGGCTGGGAGTGTCCTGGGAGTGTGAAAGTGAGAGCCTTGGAGATGGGGACACCCAGCTAAGGGAAGGGAGGGAAGTAGAGAAAAAGGGAGGGAGGTGGAGGAGAGAAGGAGGGAAGAAGAAGGAGGGGAGGGAGGAGACAGAGGGGAAGAAACGAGAAGTGGAGGGAAGGAGAGATTGAGAGAGGGAGGGAGCACAGACAGGCAGGCATTCCAGAAGAGAATGAGAACTGTGGCATGTCAAGTTGCTGAGGGGCAAATTCCCTCCTCTGATCAGTAGCTAGTAGAGACTGACTGAAAGGGAATGCCACTCTATAGGGGGTTAGGTTTTGTAGGGTGATGCTTACTCTCTGCCTCACGCTGTTCACATGTCCACACCACCGGTTGATGAATCTCCTCACACTGCTTTGAGAGTACAAAGACAAGTCCAGTAGCAGGGTGGAGGATGAGTCTGGGGAGGAAGAGAGCTTGGGCTAGACAATCGGAAAACGAAGATCACTGGATCTTGATGAGATGGGGTTGAGTCTGGATTGGCACATCTTATTCTACTCCAAAGACATGTGAAAGTCCTGCACCAACACAGCTGAGGAGAAAGAAAAAGAACCTCTTGAAAGCAACAGCATTTGAACCATTTTTCCATACCAAGGAGAGTTACAACCCCAGGGCGGGTCAAGGCTTTGAGAGGACCCTGAGCCCTGAGGCCTTGGCCCAAGAGCAAGTCCTCAGAATTGTGGCATAGTCTAAATTGCCGCTTGCCAGAGGAGAATGGGAGCCCTTTAAAATTCACAAGTAAGTTGTTCTTGGGATAAATCCCAGTTTGTTCCTGTCTTCTGATACCTTCATCCTTCCTTCGTCAGGAAGAAAAGAAAACAAAACTTCCTGTTTTCTCCAGTACAGTCCAGAGATGAGCAATCACATGTACCCTTTTTTTTTTTTTTTTTTTTTTTTTGAGGCAGTCTCACTCTGTCACCCAGGCTGGAGTGCAGTGGTGCAATCTCGGCTCACTGCAACCTCTGCCACCCAGGTTCAAGCGATTCTCCTGCCTCAGCCTCCTGAGTAGCTGGGATTACAGGCACCTGCCACCACGCCCGGCTAATTTTTGTATTTTTAGTAGAGATGGGGTTTCACCATATTGGTCAGGCTGGTCTTGAACTCCGGACCTCGTGATCCACCCACCTCGGCCTCCCAAAGTGCTGGGATTACAGGCGTGAGCCACTACCCCTGGCCTTGTTTTGTTTTTGTTTTTGTTTTTGTTTTGTTTGTTTTGTTTTTTTTGAGACGGAGTCTAGCTCTCTTGCCCAGGCTGGAGTGCAGTGGCGCAATCTAGGCTCACTGCAACCTCCACCTCCCAGGTTCAAGTGATTCTCGTGTCTCAGCCTCTCAAGTAGCTGGGACTACAAGCACATGCCACCACGCCCGGCTAATTTGTGTATTTTTAGTAGAGATGGAGTTTCACCACGTTGGCCAGGCTGGTCTCGAACCCCTGGGCTCAAGTGATCCACCTGCCTCAGCCTCCCAAAGTGCTGGGATTATAAGTGTGAGCCACTGCCCCCAGCCTATCCACTTTTCTACAAGGTCACTGCTGCATCATTATGAGGTCATTGTTCCACCCTTTCTACATTGCAGCTGGCTACTCCAGAACACCTGGTGGTCAGTCTTCTTACCCATCCATGCTGGATTTGGTGCTATTGTAGGATGGTTTCTTTCTTACTCCATGCATAGAGACACACTGGAAAAAAAGATCACAAAATTATCACCAGAGTAAGAAAGGAAAAAAGCGTCGGGGTGAATCGTACTAAGGAACCACAGCCAGAGGGTGCAGTGGGGACTGAGGAGGACTCAAGGCCCATTGAGGAAAGGGGGCTGGCTAGGCTCGACTCCCTGACTATGGGACTAGAAAAGACTTTGTAATCCCAACACATCAGGAGGCCAAGGTGGAGGATCACTTGTGTCCAGGAGTTCAAGACCAGCCTAGGCAACATAGTGAGGCCCTGTCTCTACAAAAAATCAAATATTAGTCAAGCGTGGTGGCATGTGCCTGTAGTCCCAGCTACTTAGGAGGCTGAGGTGGGAGGTTCACTTGAGCCTGGGAGATGGAGGCTTCAGTGAGCTGTGATTGTACCACTGCACTCTAGCCTGGACAACACAGTGAGACTCTGTCTCAAAAAAAATTAAAAGACTTTATGTCCTTGAAATTGACCTAGATAAATGACACAAACACTCTCACAGGAAATCAAGGAAGTTGCCATCTGCCCAGAGTCACAGGTGCAAAAATAGAGCCCCCATTCTGAGAACCATGTCACTGCCCCGCAGATCAATGAATACAAAAACTGGGCAGCAAGCAACAGACCTGCAGGAAGTGAACTAGGCAGACTCAGAACCATGCCGTAAAGATGTTTATGTGGGGCCGGGCACAGTGGCTCACACCTATAATTCCAGCACTTTAGGAGGCCAAGGCGGGCAGATCACAAGGTCAGGAGATCGAGACCATCCTGGCTAACATGGTGAAACCCCATCTCTACTAAAAATACAAAAAAAATAGCTGGGCATGGTGGCAGGCACCTGTAGTCCCAGCTACTCGGGAGGCTGAGGCAGGAGAATGGCGTGAATCCGGGAGGCGGAGCTTGCAGTGAGCTGAGATTGCGCCACTGCACTCCAGCCTGGGTGACAGAGTGAGACTCCATTTCGAAAAAAAAAAAAGTTTATGTGTCCCAGGACACACGGGACTTTAATGGAAACACCTTTTAAAAAAAGTACAAACTTTGAGAGGCCTAGGAGGGAGGACTTGAACTCGGGAATTCAACAACAGCATGGGCAACACAGGGAGACCCTGACTCTACAAAAGATAAAATAAAAAATTAGCCAAGCTACTTGGGAGGCTGAGGTGGAAAGACTGCTTGAACCAGGGAGGTCAAGGCACAGTGAGTCATGATCACACCACTGCACTCCAGCCTGGGCAAAAGAATGAGACCCTGTCTCAAAAACAAAAACAAAAACAAAAAAAACCATACAAGAAGGCAAACCACCATTAAAAAAAGAGCAGCTGGATTTTAAAAATAATTAGAAATTGCATAAATGAAAGATACAGTCCAGGCAAGCTGACTCATGCCTGTAATCCCAGCACTTTGGGAGGCTGAGGCAGGAGGATCACTTGAGGTCAGGAGTTCGAGACCAGCCTGGCCAACATAGCAAAACCCCATCTCTCCTAAAAATACAAAAATTAGCTGGGCACGGTGGTGCACACCTGTAGTCCCAGCTACTCGGGAGGCTGAGGCAGGAGAATTGCTTGAACCCATGAGGCGGAGGTTGCAGGGAGCCAAGATTGCGCCACTGCACTCCAGCCTGGGCGACAGAGCGAGACTCCTTCTCAAAAAAAAAAAAAAAAAAAAAAAAATTGCAGGTTGAGTATCCCTTCTCTGAAATTCTTGGGACCATCTTATTGAATTTGTGATTTTTTTTTGGATTTTGAAATATTTGCATATACATTATGAGCTATCTTAGGGATGTGACCCCAGTCTAAACACAAAATTCATTTATGTTTCACATACCTTATACATGTATCCTGAGGATAATTTTATACTATATATATATATATATATATATATTTTTTTTTTTTTTTTTTTTTTTGAGATGGAGTCTTGCTCTGTCGCCCAGGCTGGAGTGCAGTAGCACGATCTCGGCTCACTGCAAGGTCCGCCTCCCGGGTTCACGCCATTCTCCTGCCTCAGCCTCCCAAGTAGCTGGGACTACAGGCACCCGCCCCCGCGCCCACCACCACGCCCAGCTAATTTTTTGTATTTTTAATAGAGACAGGGTTTCACTGTGTTAGCCAGGATGGTCTCAATCTCTTGACCTCGTGATCCACCCACCTTGGCCTCCCAAAGAGCTGGGATTACAGGCCTGAGCCACCACGCCCGGCTTATACAATATTTTTTTAAAATGTTGTACATAAAACAAAGTTTTGATTGCATTTTGACTACAACCCATCACATGAGGTCAGGTATGGCATTCTCCACTTGTGGCATCTTGTCAGCACTCTAAAAGTTTTGGATTTTGAATTTTGGATTTTTAATTAGGGATACTCAATTTGTACCAAAATTAGGCACTACCAGAGGAAGTAAATACTGTAACTATACCCCTTTTATAGATAAGGAAACAGACTTAGCATAAATCACTGCCCCAAGGCTCCCCAGGTGGTAATGATAAAAGTGGACTCAAAGCCAGTCTGACCAGAGCTCATCTCAGAGTGGAGAACGAGCTGGAGGCAGCACTACAACCCAGAGGGTGTCGAAATCTCCAGGGAGGCCACTGACCTAAAACCAGGCCCCTGGAGCCCAAGTTGGGCCCAAGGTATTCACCATCTCCCACCTCTGGATGTCTCCTCCCACTGCAGCTTCAGCTAGTGCTGGGGGTTGACTGGTTGTAGCTAGGGTTAGAAATTTTGAAAAAGCTTAAATGTCCACAACTTTTAGGGATATATGTATATATGTTAGTTACTGTTTGCCTAAAGTATTCCCCAAAAATACTGAAATTCAGGAAATTAAGCATCTGGCTGAACAACAGTCTTTTTTTTTTTTTTTTTTTTTTTTTTTGCGGGCAGGGTGGGCGGGTTTGTTTGTTTGTTTTTGAGACGGAGTTTTGCTCTTGTTGCCCAGACTGGATTGCAATGGTGCGGTCTCAGCTCACTGCAATCTCTGTCTCCCAGGTTCAAGTGATTCTCCTGCCTCAGCCTCCCAAGTAGCTGGGACTAGAGGCGCCCACCACCACAACTGGCTAATTTTGTATTTTTAGTAGATACGGGGTTTCACTATGTTGGCCAAGCTGGTCTCAAACTCCTGACCTCGGCCTCCCAAAGTACTAGGATTACATGTGTGAGCCACAGTGCCCGGCCAGTTTGTTTTTTGAGACAGAGTCTTGCTCTGTCACCCAGGCTGGAGTGCAGTAACACGATCTCGGCTCACTGCAACCTCCACCTCCCGGGCTCAAGTGATTCTCATGACAGCCTCCCGAGTAGTTGGGATTACAGGCACGTGCCACAACGCCCAGCTAATTTTTGAATTTTTAGTAGAGACAGGGTTTCACCACGTTGGCCAGGCTGGTCTCAAACTCCTGGCCTCATGTGATCTGCCTGTCTCAGCCTCCCAAAGTGCTGGGATTACGGGCCTGGTGGCTCACGTCTGTAATCCCAGCACTTCGGGAGGTTGAGGTGGGCAGATCACCTGAGGTCAGAGTTCGAGACCAGCCTGGCTAACACAGTGAAACCCCGTCTCTACTAAAAAGATACAAAAAAATCAGCCAGGCGTGGTGGCGGGCGCCTGCAGTCCCAGCTGCTCAGGAGGCTGAGGCAGGAGAATGGTGTGAACCTGGGAGGTGGAGCTTGCAACAGAGCCGAGATCACGCCACTGCACTCCAGCCTGGGTGACAGAGCGAGACTCCGTCTCAAAAAAAAAAAAAAGAATCCATTCTATTTCTTCCCAGATCTGCATATGTGAAAAATATCTATTTTAAATATGCAATTCAGTTAGCAATTATGTAAATCTATTATGAAATAAATATGAAAAAAGTTTTTTCTATGAAAAGCAGATTTAAAAAGAGTGGATTAACACAAATTGCTTTCTTTTTTTTTTTTTTTTTTTTTTTTGACAGAATCTCACTCTGTTGCCCAGGTTGGAGGGCAGTGGAACAATCTTGGCTCACTGCAACCTCCATCTCCTGGGCCAGCCTCCTGAATAGCTGGGACTACAGGCATGCACCACTACACCTGACTAATTTTTTTTTTTTTTTTGAGACAGAGTCTCTTGTTGCCCAGGCTGGAGTGCAATGGCTTGATCTTGGCTCACCGCAACCTCCGCCTCCTGGGATCAAGCGATTCTCCTGCCTCAGCCTCCAGACTAGCTGGGATTATAGGCATGCGCCACTACGCCTGCCTAATTTTGTATTTTTAGTAGAGATGGAGTTTCTCCATGTTGGTCAGGCTGGTTTCGAACCCCCTACCTCAGGTGATCCTCCCGCCTCAGCCTCCCAAAGTGCTGGGATTACAGGGGTGAGCCACCTCGCCTGATCTTTTTCTTTCTTTTTTCTTTTTTTTTTTGAGATGGAGTCTTGCTCTGTCGCCCAAGCTGGAAGGCAGTCGCACGATCTCGGCTCACTGCAACCTCTGCCTCCCAGGTTCAAGTGATTCTCCTGCCTCAGCCTCCTGAGTAGCTGGGATTACAGGCGCCCACCACTACACCTGGCTAATTTTGTATTTTTAGTGGAGATGGGGTTTCACCATGTTGGCCAGGCTGGTCTTGAACTCCTGACCTCAAGTGATCCTCCTGCCTCAGCCTCACTAAGTGCTGGGATTACAGGCATGAGCCACTGTGCCTGGCCTGATTTCTAGCTTTTGTTTTGGAAAATTGCCTAATAAGTAATAAAAGTAATAATGAATGGGCTGGATGTGGAGGCTCACACCTGTAATCCTGGCACTTTGGGAGGCCGAGGTGGGAGGATCACTTGTGACCAGGAGTTCAAGACCAGCCTGGCCAACATAGTAAACCCCTCATCTCTACTAAAAATACGAAAATTATGGCCTGGCATGGTGCCTCATACCTGTAATCCCAGCACTTTGGGAGGCCAAGGCAGGTGGATCACCTGAGGTCAGGAGTTCAAGATCAGCCTGGGCCAACGTGGTGAAACCCTGTCTTTGCTAAAAATACAAAAAAATTAGCTGGGTGTGGTGGCGGGCACCTGTAATCCCAGCTACTCAGGAGGCTGAGGCAGGAGAATCACTTGAACCCAGGAGGCGCAGGTTGCAGTGAGCCCAGATTGTGCCATTGCACTCTAGCCTGAGCAACAGAGCACGACTCCGTATCAAAAATAAATAAATAGCCAGGCGAGGTGGCTCACGCCTGTAATCCCAGCTACTCAGGAGGCTGAGGCAGGAGAATCGCCTGAACTTGGGAGGCGAAGGTTGCAGTGAGCAAAGATTGCGCCACTGCACTCCAGCCTGGGCGACAGGGCAAAACTCCATCTCGAAAAAAATAAAAATAAAAATAATAAATAAATAAATAAATAAATAAAAATACAAAAATTAGCCAGGTGTGGTAATGTGCACCTATACTCAACGCCGTCTCTACTAAAAATACAAAAATTAGCTGGGGGTGGTGGCGGGTGCCTGTAATCCCAGCTATTCAGAAGGCTGAGGCAGGAGAATCGCTTGAACCCAGGAGGCAGAGGTTGTAGTGAGCTGAGATAGTGCCATTGTACTTCAGCCTGTGAGACAAGAGCAAAACTCTGTCTCAGAAAAAAAAAAAAAAGTAATTTTTGAACAATATATTTGTTTAAGCACTTGGAGTGAGCCACATACTACTGATTTATTTTAAAATGTATGTTTTTGAAATTTTTCATATGTAATGCAGGTAAAAATAAGTCCTCTGGCCACAGTCCTTGAGCCTCTACTTGGAGACACCCACTGTGAAACATTTCTTCTCTGTCCTCCCAAGGATATTATAGTCACATGCAAGCATAAAGATACATTTAATTTTACTTTTTACAAAAACAGTGGCATATGTTATATTGCATTCTACTGTTCTTTGTTTTTCTAAATCTAACTTTACAAAATCTATGTCTACGTCTGTCTGAGGCTATTTTGAGGATGTACTACATTGGCCTTTATCTACTTTCTTTCTTTTTTTTTACGTCTGTCTTTTTTTTTTTTTTTTTTTTTGAGGCGGAGTCTCGCTCTGTCGCCTGGGCTGGAGTGCAGTGGCACGATCTCGGCTCACTGCAACCTCCGCCTCCTGGGTTCAAGCAATTCTCCTGCCTCCAGCCTCCTAAGTAGCTGGGACTACAGGTGCCCGCCACCATACTCAGCTAATTTTTATATTTTTAGTAGAGATGCTTGCATGTGCATAGAATATCCTTGGAAGGACAGCGAAGAAATGTTTCACAGTGGGTGTCTCCAAGTAGAGGCTCAATGACTGTGGCTAGAGAGGACTTATTTTTACCTGCATTACATATGAAGAGTTTCCGCCTGCCTTGGCCTCCCAAAGTGCTGGAACTACAGGTGTGAGCCACCATGCCTGGCACATTGGTCTTTTTTTAAAAAATAGAGACAAGGTCCATGCCTGTAATCCCAGCACTTTGGGAGCTGAGGCGGGCAGATCACGAGGTCAATAGATCGAGACCATCCTGGCCAACATGGTGAAACACGTCTCTACTAAAAATACAACATTAGCCGGGCCTGGTGGCGGGCCTCTTTAGTCCCAGCTACTCGGGAGGCTGAGGCAGAAGAATCGCTTGAACCCGGGAGGCGGAGGTTGCAGTGAGCCGAGAATGCGCCACTACACTCCAGCCTGGCGACAGAGCAAGACTTCGTCTCAAAAAAAAAAAAAAAATTACGACAACATCTCACTTGGTTTCCCAGGCTGGTCTCGAACTCCTAGGCTCAAGTGATCCTCCCACCTTGGCCTCCCAAACTGCTGAGATTACAGGCATGAGCCACAGCACCCAGCCTACACTGGTCTTTTAACAATTACTTCTATCTCGTCATGTTGGTGGTTTCAGCAGGACAGCAGTGCCTCCAGGAGGCACTTTGAAGATTTGTGGGCCTCCAACAGTGGTTGGGGAGATGTTGCACATCTTGTCATGCATGGCACTGTCCACATGACTGAAATGTCCAGCCAGATGTTCATGTACATGAATAACTCATTTATCATTGCCTAAGTCTAGAACTCTATTTTACATATAAACACAAAGGGGTTTGGTTGTAGTTTTGCTTGTTAAAAGTTTTAACATCCCTGACATTCTCCAGGCCTGTAAACTGCTGTGTAATCAGAGAGAAGAATGAACTTTATTTTACTTATTTACTTTTATAAATTTTTTTCTTTGGAGATGGGGTATCCCTATGTTGACCAGGCTGGTCTTGAACTCCTGGCCTCAAGTGATCCTCCCATCTTGGCCTCCCAGAGTGCTGTGATTACGGGCATGAGCCACTGTGCCTGGCCAAAGCATGAACTTCACCTTCATTGTTTGGAATTTTGTTGAGTTGTTCATCACTTCTGGAAGTCAGCTGGTGTCACCTGAGATACTGAAAGACACCTAAACTGCACTCCTTGCTACAAGCAGTTACAGCAGGATGGACTCGACCTCTCACTGTACCCTCTCCAGTGATCTTAGAGACCCAAGCATTTACAGAGTGAAACATGCCAGGCACAGTGGCTCACGCCTGTAATCCCAGCACTTTGGGAGGCTGAGGCAGGCAGATCACCTGAGATCAGGAGTTCGAGACCAGTCTGACCAACATGGAGAAACCCCGTCTCTACTAAAAATACAAAATTAGCTGGGTGTGGTGGCGCATGCCTGTAATCCCAGCTACTCGGGAAGCTGAGGCAGGAGAATCGCTTGAACCCAGGAGGCGGGGGTTGCGGTGAGCCAAGATCACGCTATTGCACTCCAGCCTGGGCAACAAGAGTGAAACTCCCTCTCAAAAATAATAATAATAATAATAATAATAATACAGAGTGAAACACATATTATTTCATCATCAGGGATTTCCCTTTCCTTTGTCCTTTATTGTCTAGTTAGACCTTACTGATCTTTAAAAATGTTGTAAGAAAGTCACACCCATAATTTGAGTTCAGGGCAGTAAAAGGAAGCAGTGGATCTGTAAGGCTATTATAAATTAATAGGCGGGGCGCGGTGGCTTACGCCTGTTATCCCAGCATTGTGGGAGGCTGAGGTGAGCAGATCACCTGAGGTCAGGAGTTCGAGACCAGCCTGGCCAACATGGTGAAACCCCGTCTCTACTAAAATTACAAAAATTAGCTGGGCATGGTGGCGGGCATCTGTAATCTCAGCTACTCAGGAGGCTGAGGTAGGAGAATTGCTTGAACCGGGGAGGTGGAGGTTGCAGTGAGCTGAGATCACACCACTGCACTCCAGCCTGGGAGACAGAGTGAGACTCCATCTCAAAAAATAAAATAAAATAAAATAATATAAAATAATAAATTAATAGAGAACTGTAATTTGTTTAGCCAGTCCCCTATGATGAATATTTATACTGTTTCCTAAAATTGCATTTGTACATAACCATTGATTCAAACAAAGCAAGAAAATTTAAAACATGAAGGAGAAAAAATAGTATTTCAGAATTTAAGGTTCTAAAGATAACCAATCTCATTTCCTCTTGCATTTATTTATATTTTATATTAATATATGTGTGTGTATATATATTTATTTATTTATTTATTTATTTATTTTGAGATGGAGTTTCGCTCTTGTTGCCTAGGCTGGAGTGCAATGGCGCGATCTTGGCTCACTGCAACCTCCACCTCCCAGGTTCAAGTGATTCTCCTGCCTCAGCCTCCCGAGTAGCTGGGATTACAGGCATGTGCCACCATGCCCGGCTAATTTTATATTTTTAGTAGATACGGGGTTTCTCCATGTTGGTCAGGCTGGTGGTCTCAAACTCCCAACCTCAGGTGATCCGCCTGCCATGGCCTCCCAAAGTGCTGGGATTACAGGCGTGAAGCACTGCGCCCTGCCGTATTTTTTTTGAGACAGTCTTGCTCTGTTGTCCAGGCTGGAGTGCAGTGGTGCAATCATGGCTCACTGCAGCCATGACCTCCTGGGCTCAACCAATCCTCCTGCCTCAGCTTCCTGAGTAGCTAGGACTACAGGCATAAGCCATCATATCCTCCTCTTTCATTTAAAGTAATCCTGTCATTAAAGCAGATTTACTTTTCACCACTGACATTACTATCCTGGCCCAAGCCCCTTTCCTCACTCCTGGATGATGCAGTAGTCTCCAGATTTCACTCCGCCACATAGTCTATCCTCAACAGACTTCAGTCAAAGTGACCTTTTTAAGAATGGTGGCTTAGGCCGGGCGCGGTGGCTGATGTCTGTAATCCCAGCACTTTGGGAGGCTGAAGTTGGCAGATCACCTGAGGTCAGGAGTTCAAGACCAGCCTGGCCAACATGGCGAAACCCCGTCTCTACTAAAAAATACAAAAAATTAGCCGGGCGTGGTGGTGGGCGCCTGTAATCCCAGCTAGTTGGGAGACTGAGGCAGTAGAATTGCTTGAACCTGGGAGGTGGAAGCTGCAGTGAGCCGAGATCACGCCACTGTACTCCAGAGTGGGTGACACAGCAAGACTCCGTCTCGGGGGGGAAAAAAAAGGTAGCTCTGTTGGGCACAGTGGCTCATACCTGTAATCCCAGCACTTTGGGAGGCCGAGTCAGGTGAATCACCTGAGGTCAGGAGTTCAAGACCAGCTTGGCCAACATGCCAAAACCCTGTCTCCAATAAATATACAAAAATTAGCTGGGTGTGGTGGCGCTCGCCTGTAATCCCAGCTACTCGGGAGGCTAAGGTAGGAGAATCACTTGAACCCGGGAGGTGGAGGCTGCAGTGAGCCGAGATTGCGCCACTACACTCTAGCCTGGATGACAGAGTGAGACTCTGTCTCAAAAAAAAAAAAAAAAAAAAAAAAAGAAGAAGAACGGTGGCTCATGCCTGTAGTCCTAGCACTTTGGGAGACCAAGGCAGGCGGATTGCTTCAGCCCAGGAGTCTGAGACCAGCCTGGGCAACATGGTGAAAGCTTGTCTCTACAAAAAATTTTAAAAGAATTTTTTGGCCAGGAGTGGTGGGTCACACCTGTAATCCCAGCACTTTGGGAGGCTAAGGCAGGCGGATCACTTACGGTCAGGACTTTGAGACCAGCCTGGCCCACATGGTGAAACCCTGCCTCTACTAAAAATACAAAAACTAGTCGGGCGTGGTGGTTCACTCCTATAGTCCCAGCTACTTAGGAGGCTTGAGACACAACAATCGCTTGAACCTGGGAAGCGGAGGTTGCAGTGAGCTGAGATAACACCAGTGCACTCCAGCCTGGACAACCAAGCAAGACTCTGTCTCAAAAAAATTTTTTTTTAATATTAGCCAGGTGTGGTGGGTGGCACATGCCTGTAGTTCCAGCTACCAGGAGGCTGAGATAGGAGAATCGCCTGAGGCCAGGAGGTCGAGGCTGCAGTGAGCTGAGATCAGTTCATTCCAGCCTTGGCAACAGAGCAAGACCCTATCTAAAAAAAAAAAAAAAGTTAGGCAAATGCTGTCACTCCTCTGCTCAAACTTCTATAGATATATGGATCCTATTTGGATGTAAATTCAAATAAGGCAACTGGGAAAACAATTATTTAATATATTGAATAAAAATACATAAGTCCATAGTGACAGGAGGAGGGAGGGATCAGAAGGGTACTTTACAACTGCAAAAGGGAATAATTGATTCAGACAAATATAATTAATGCCAAAACACAACAATCAGGTGAAAAGGCTCTCTTCTTGGAAAGAGGGTCTTTATGCAGAGGCAAAATATCACCCCTCAAGATTACCTAATTTTCAGAAAAGGGAAAAGATACCTTTCCAGTGGAGCAGTCTGGCAGGCATTACCTTAACTGCAAGTTCAAATTTAGCCTCACTGATGAGTCAGCCTGAGACTTTGTGCCTCCTGATGTGAGGCAAGATTAAGTACACAAAGTATCACCTATGAAATCTTCCTGCTAAATATGATGAATTTGAATCCAATTAAGCTTCTAGGCCTAGTGTAATTTCCAATTTACAGAAAATACAGGAGCTAAAAGAGAAAAACAGGAAACAATTAGCTCCAGAATAATGGACATTCCACAAAGTCAATGTCCTGAACTCTTTGTTTTATTTGTTTCTTTATTTTATTTATTTATTTATTTTTGAGATGGAGTTTTACTCTTGTCGCCCAGCCTAAAGTGCAATGGCACGATCTCAGCTCACTGCAACCTCCACCTCCCAGGTTCAAGCAATTCTCCTGTCTCAGCCTCCTGAGTAGCTGGGATTACAGGCATGTGCCACCACGCCCGGCTAATTTTTTATTTTTTAGTAGAGATGGGGTTTCACCATGTTGGCCAGGCTGGTCCTGAACTCCTGACCTCAGATAATTCACCTGCCTCGGCCTGGAATTGCAGGCGTGAGCCACCGCACCCAGCTGTTTTATTTCTTTTGGAGACAAGGTCTGGCTCTATCACCCAGGCTGGAGTGCAGTGGCACAATCACGTCTCACTGCAAACTCCACGTCTCACTGCAAACTCCACCTCTCAGGCTCAAGGGATTCTCCCACCTCAGCCACCTGAGTAGCTGGGACCACAGGCTCGCATCCAGTGTGACCACAGGCTCACACCTGGCTAATTTTTGTATTTTTTGTAAAGATGGGGTTTCACTATGTTGCCCAGGCTGGTCTCCAACTCATGAGCTCAAGCAATCTACCTGCCTTGGCCTCCCAAAGTGCTGGGATTACAGGAGTGAGCCACCGTGCCCAGCTGTCCTGAACTTTTTTTTTTTCTTTGATACACAGTCTCGCTCTGTCTCCAGGCTGGAGTGCAGTGGCATCTGCCTCCCAGGTTCAAGTGATTCCCCTGCCTCAGCCTCTTGAGTAGCTGGGACTACAGGTGCGTGCCACCACCCCCGGCTAATTTTTTGTATTTTAGTAGAGACAGTGTTTCACCATGTTGGCCAGGTTGGTCTCGATCTCCTGACCTTGTGATCCACCTGCCTCAGCCTCCCAAAGTGCTGGGATTACAGGCGTGAGCCACTGCGCCCAGCCTGTCCTGAACTTTTAAAAGAGTCAACATCGGCTGGGCGCAGTGGCTCACGCCTGTAATCCCAGCACTTTGGGAGGCCGAGTTTGGAGGATCACTTGAACTCAAGAGTTCGAGACCGACCTGGACAACATCGTGAAACCCCCTCTCTACTAAAAATACAAAAATTAGCTGGGCGTGGTGGCATCAGCCTCTAATCCCAGCTACTTGGGAGGCTGCGGAAGGAGAATTACTTGAACCTGGGAGGCGGAGGTTGCAGTGAGTGAAGATCGCCCATTGCACTCCAGCCTGGGTGACAGAGTGAGACTCTGTCTTAAAAAAAAAAAAAAAAAAAGAGGCCGGGCGCGGTGGCTCACGCCTGTAATCTCAGCACTTTGGGAGGCCGAGGCGGGCGGATCACGAGGTCAGGAGATCGAGACCATCCTGGCTAACAAGGTGAAACCCCGTCTCTACTGAAAATACAGAAAATTAGCCGGGCTTGGTAGCGGGCGCCTGTAGTCCCAGCTACTCGGGAGGCTGAGGCAGGAGAATGGCGTGAACCTGGGAGGCGGAGCTTGCAGTGAGCCGAGATCGCGCCACCGCACTCCAGCCTGGGTGACAGAGCAAGACTCCGTCTCAAAAAAAAAAAAAAAATCATTTTCACTTAAGGGAAACAATGTCGCCATGCACCTGTAATCCCAGCTACTCAAGAGACTGAGATTTAGCCAGTCCCCTAAGATGAATATTTATATTTCCTAAAATTGCATTCATACAGAACCATTGATTCAAATAAACAAGAAAAACATGGAGTAAAAAAAAATAAAGTCCAGGAGTCCAGTCCTGCACTGAGTTCAGGAGTTTGAGGCTTCAGTGAGTTATATTGCACCACTGCACTCCAGGTTGAGTGACAGAGCAAGACTCCATCTCTAAACAAACAAACAAACAAAGTGGGAAGGAGCAAAGACCACACAGTGTATGATTCACTGTAAAAGTCCAGCCAGGCCCAGTGGCTCACACCTGTAATCCCAGCACTTTGAGAGACAGACGTGGGAGGACTGCTTGAGCCCAGAGATCGAGACCAGCCTGGGCAACGTGATGAGACCTCTTCTCTACAAAAAACTTAAAAATTACCCAGACGTGGTGGTACATAGCTGTGGTCCCAGCTACTTGGGAGGCTGAGGCAGGAGGATCACTTGAGCCCAGGAGGTCAAGGTGTTAGTGAATGATGTTCGTGCCATTGCACTTTAGCCTGGGTAACAGAGCAAGACCCTGTCTTAAAAAAAAAAAAAAAAAAAAGTCCAGAAACAACAAATCTATAGAGACAGAAGGCATGTTTGCAGTTGCCAGGTGGTGAGGGGACTGCAGTTGAAGCAAGATTGACCACATATGGAAACAAGGCCTTGTACTGGGGTGATGGAATGCTCTAAAACTAACTGAAAATTATTGAACTGTGCTCTTAAAAAGGGTAATTTTGGCCAGGTGCAGTGGCTCACTCCTGTAATCCCAGCACTTTGGGAGGCCAAGATGGGTGGATCACCTGATGTCATGAGTTTGAGGCCAGCTTGGCCAACATAGTGAAACCCCGTCTCTACTAAAAATGCAAAAATTAGGTGGGCGTCTGTAATCCCAGCTACTTGGGAGGCTGAGGTGGGAGAATCACTTGAATCCAGGAGGGGGTGGTTGCAGTGAGCCAAGATCAAGGCCACTGCACTCCAGCCTGAGTGACAAAGACAGACTCCATCTCACACACACACAAAAAAGGTAATTTCATGGTATGTAAATTATAATCTCAATAAATTTTTAAAAGCTAGTAAGCAGAAATTACAGGTTTTGGTTTTGTTTTGTTTTTTAAGGTGGAAAGACTGCTCTGGAGTAAAAGAAACCAAAGACACCTAACAGTCAAATGTAATGTGTAAAACTAAATTAGATCCTGGGAATGGTGGAGAGAGGAGGAACAGTTATAAAAGACATTCTAATTGTATGTAAATTATACCTTAATAAGAATGATTTTAAAAATACATCCTCATAGAAAGAGCAGGATTGAAATAGAATTTTTTTTTATTTCTTCAAAAAAAAAAAAAAAAAAAAAAAAAACAGGCCAGGCATGGTGGCTCACACCTGTAATCCCAGCACTTTGGGAGGCCGAGGTGGGCAGATCACCTGAGGTCAGGAGTTCGAGGTCAGCCTGATCAACATAGTGAAACCCCATCTCTACTAAAAATACAAAAATTAGCTGGGCATGGTGGTGCCTCCCAGCTACTTGGCAGGCTGTGGCAGGAGAATCACTTGAACCTAGGAGGTGGAGGTTGCAATGAGCTGAGATTGTGCCATTGCACTCCAGCCTGGGTAACAAGAGCGAAACTCTATCTCAAAAAAAAAATAATAAAAATATGGAATACATGTGTAGAACATGCGGGTTTGTTACATAGGTATATGTGTGCCATGGTGGTTTGCTGCACCTATTAACCCTGAAATAGAATTTTATTTATTTATTTATTTTGAGACAGAGTCTCGCTCTGTTGCCCAGGCTGGGGTGCAATGGTACGATCTTGGCTCACTGCAGCCTTCATCTCCCAGGTTCAAGCGATTTTCCTGCCTCGGCCTCCTGAGTAGCTGGGATTACAGACATGCACCACCATGCCTGGCTAATTTTGTATTTTGAGTAGAGATGGAATTTCACCATGTTGGCCAGGTTGGTCTCGAACTCCTGACCTCAAGTGATCTGCCCACCTCGGCCTCCCAAAGTGCTGAGATTACAGGCATGAGCCACCGTACCTGGACTGAAAAAGAATTTTAAAAAGCAATAAACATAAAAACACATTATAAGAACAAGGGGGAACATCTGACTGTGAACCAGATATTATAGATTTTACAGATTTTCTGAGGTGGAGAAAGGCATTGGCTGACTTTCCCAGAAATAGTTCTTGTGTTCTCAAAGACCCTGAGGCCACACTCTAACCCAGCCTGCTCAACTTGCCTTCTCCTGGGAGCCTGCCTCATAATAGTGGCAATTTCGACCTTTCTTTGCACAATTAGGTTTGTGCTTGCTTCTCACTTTTTCTCAATATGTTTTTAGGGACACAGGTGCTAGAGATTGATGAACACAAAAATTGGAATCATGGGCTGAGCACGCCTGTAATCCCAGCACTTTTGGAGGCCGAGGCAGGAGGATCACCTGAGGTAGGGAGTTCGAGACCAGCCTGACCAACATGGAGAAACCCAGTCTCTACTAAAAATACAAAATTAGCCGGGCATGGTGGCACATGCCTGTAATCCCAACTACTCGGGAGGCTGAGGCAGGAGAATCGCTTGAACCTGGGAGGCGGAGGGTTGCGGTGAGCCGAGATTGCATCATTGCACTCCAGCCTGGGCAACAAGAGCAAAACTTCATCTCAAAAAAAAAAAAAAAAATTGGAATCATGGTTCCCTCTGAAGAGGAAAGAGCGTGCAACTGAAGAGGGCTTGCAAAGGGCATTTCTGGGATACTAGTAGATATGCTGGGGTTCTTTTTATTTCTGGTCTTTAAACTGTATTTTATAGACTTGTGGTAGGCAACTCTTAAAGATGGTCCCTTATCCCCACCTCTATAAATTGGGTTTCATCATGTTGGCAAGGCTGGTCTCGCACTCCTGACCTCGTGATTCACCCGCCTTGGCCTCCCAAAGTTCTGGGATTACAGGCATGAGCCACCATGCCCGGCCGCCTGGGTAATTTTTCTGTTTTTAATATAGACAGAGTTTCACCATGTTGCACAGGCTGGTCTTGAACACCTGGGTTCAAGCGATCTGCCTGCATTGGCCTCCTGGGTGCTGGGATTACGGGCGTGAGCCACCATGCCCAGCCTAGAATATTTGTAAAGGGATCAGAAGGGGTCTATCACACAGTTACTGTGATATTTCTTCTGAGCCTTCTCTGAACCAAGCTTTAGCCTAGGTACTGGGATACACTGGTGAAAAGCTAGACAAATCCCTGCTGGGTGTTTACACACTAACAGAACTGTTCATGCATGTACCATGTGCTAACCACTCTTCTAAGTACTTCATATCTAATCCCCACAACTCTGAGAAGCAGAGTTTTTAGTTTTTTGGTTTTTTTTTTTGAGCTGGAGTCTTGCTCTGTCACCCAAGTCTGGAGTGCAGTGGCACAATCTCCGCTCACTGCAACCTCTGCCTCCCGGGTTCAAGTGATTCTGGTGCCTCTGCCTCCCAAGTAGCTGGGATTACAGGGGCGTGCCACCACGCCCAGCTAATTTTTGTATTTTTAGTAGAGACGGGGTTTCACCATGTTGTCCAGGGTGGTCTCAAACTCCTGATCTCAGGTGATCTGCCTGCCTCAGCTTTCCAAAGCGTTAGGATTACAGGCGTGAGCCACCACGCTGGGGCAAGTATCTTTTTTTTTGTTTGAGACGGAGTCTCTGTCATCCGGGCTGGAGTGCAATGGGGCCAATTTCGGCTCACTGCAACTTCCACCTCCCAGGTTCAAGCGATTCTCCTGCCTCAAGCCTCCTAAGTAGCTGGGATTACAGGCGCATGCCACCATGCCTGGCTAATTTTTGTATTTTTAGTAGAGACGGAGTTTCACCATGTTGGTCAGGCTGGTCTCGAATTCCTGGACTCAGGTGATCCACCCGCCTCAGCCTCCCAAAGTGCTGGGATTACAGGTCTGAGCCACTGTGCCCGGCCCTGAGTATCTTCTTATTCACTGTGTAAGGCGTGGATATATACAGCAAACTCACAGTGTGGTCTAGGCAAACTCCCGCCTCTCAGCTTGTAAGTTTCCTAAGGGTTTCCATGAGAGCCTCCAACCAGCAGAAAAATGATGGGTTTTCCTGGTTACCTTTCTTCCAAGCTCCACTTCTTTCTCAGGGTAGCCATTTGAGACCTTTCTGACCAGGTCAAATCTTACTACACAAGCTGATGCCGCAATACCAGCTTGGCATCTGACTCACTTTCCTTTTTCTTTTTTTTTTGAGACAGCATTTTGCTCTTTTGCCCAGGCTGGAGTGCAATGGTGCGGTCTCGGCTCACTGCAATGTCCACGTCCGCAGTAGCTGGGATTACAGGCTAATTTTTTGTATTTTTAGTAGAGACGTAGTTTCACCACGTTGGTCAGGCTGGTTGCTAACTCCTGACCTCAGGTGATCCACCCGCCTTGGCCTCCCAAAGTGCTGGGATTACAGGCATGAGCCACCATGCCTGGCCCGGCCTTCCTTTCAAAAGGTCTGTTGAGGGAGGAAATTGTCTACTTTGGCACATAATTATCTTCCCAGTGGTTGGGCATGGTGGCTCACACCTGTAACCCAAGCACATTGGGAAATGGAGGCAGGAGGATTGCTTGAGGCCAGTTTTTTGTTTTTTTCTTTGAGACAAGAGTCTCACTCTGTCACCCAGGCTGGAGTGCAGTGGCATGATCTTGGCTCACTGCAAGCTCTGCCTCCCAGGTTCACACCATTCTCCTGTCTCAGCCTCCCAGGTAGCTGGGACTACAGGCACCTGCCACCATGCCCGGCTAACTTTTTGTATTTTTAGTAGAGACAGGGTTTCACTGTGTTAGCCAGGATGGTCTCCATCTCCTGACCCCGTGACCCGCTCACCTCAGACTCCGAAGGTGCTGGGATTTCAAGTGTGAGACACCGTGCCCGGCCGAGGCCAGTTTTTCAGACTAACCTGGACAACATAGCAAGACTTTTTTTTTTTGATACTGGGTCTTTCTCTGTCACCCAGCTGGAGTGCTACCACAGCTCACTGCACCCTCGACCTCCCAGGCACAAGGGATCCTCCCACCTCAGACACCTGAGTAGCTGGGACCACAGGCATATGCATCCACATCCAGCTTTCTTTTTTGAGACAAAGTCTCACTCTTGTCCCCCAGGCTGGAGTGCAATGGCCCAATCTCAGCTCACCGCAACCTCCACCTCCCAGGTTCAAGGATTCTCCTGCCTCAGCCTACCAAGTAGCTAGGATTACAGGTGCCTGCCACTATGCCTGGCTAATTTTTTTTTGTATTTTTAGTAGAGATGAGGTTTCACCAGGTTGGCCAGGCTGGTCTCAAACTCCTGACCTCAGGTGATCCGTCCACCTCGGCCTCCCAAAGTGCTGGGATTACAGGAGTGAGCCACCACACCTGGCATCCCAGCTTATTTTCTTATTTGTAGAGTCAGGGTCCCCCTATATTGCCCAGGCTGGTCTCAAACTCCTTGGCTCAAGGTCCTCAGGCCTTGGCCTCCCGAAGTGCCGGGATTACAGGTATGAGACACCACAGCCGGACCTTTTTTTTTTTTGGGACAGAGTCTCTCATATTCTGTCTCCCAGGCTGGAGTGCAGTGGCACGATCTTGGCTCATTGTGCTTTCTGGTTTCAAGCAGTTCTCCTGCCTCAGCCTCCCAAATAGCTGGGATTACAGAAATGCACCACCATGACCATGTAATTTTTGCATATTTAATAGATGGAGTTTCTCTACGTTGGCCAGGCTGGTCTCAAACTACTGACCTCAGGTAATCTGCCTGCCTTGGCCTCCCGAAGTGCTGGGATTACCGAGGCCCGGCCCAAGTATTGAACTCTAATACCAGATGTCAGGGATCACGCTGGGCACTGGAGAAATTAAAAAAAAAAAAAAAAAAGGAATGGGGCTGGACGCGGTGGCTCACGCCTGAAATCCTAGCACTTTGGGAGCCCAAGGCGGGCGGATTACCTGAGGTCTGTTTGAGACCAGCCTGGCCATGAACATGGTAAACCCCTACTCTACTAAAAATACAAAAAATTAGCTGGGTGTGGTGGCATACACCTGTAATCCCAGCTACTCTGGAAGCTGAGACAGGAGAATCGTTTGAACCTGGGAGGCAGAGGATGCAGTGAGTGGAGATAGTGCCATTGCACTCCAGCCTGGGCAACAAGAGCCAAACTGTCTCAAATAAAAAAGAAAAAAAAAGTTAAATACTTGGATGAATAAAAGCAGTTAATGACAACGTGGTGAGGCTATTCTGTTAATTAATGGAATAAGAAATACTAGGGATAATGAAAAGATGTTTGATGTTTATTTCCACCTTGCACTCAGGTCTGAGCCACAAGTACATTAAGACATTGAATGGTATCACCCAGGGAATACGTAACCAGACAACACACAAGACTGAGATGCACAAGTGGTGGTGGTGGTAATTCACGCAGAAGGAACCAGACAGTAAAACAAAAATTGCCCAACACACCAAATGATCAAATCCGCCACCTCTAGGATAGGCAAACTTGATTGCTGGGTTAAGAACCCTAGAGGTCTGTTAAGGTGGGCAGAGAAGGGGTTTTCTCAGCTTAGATTGTCCTGACATCTAACTGCCAGCAAGCACTGTACATATAATTTCCTGAGAAACCAAGTCCTTAGTGGGAAGGGTATCCCTTTGACCAGATCTTATGGCTTAAATTGGTCAGGTTTGCAAAACCTCAAAGCCTCCATAACCAAAGCTAGGGAGAGGCTCTATATGCTACAAGCAGTACCTCCTCACTGCAGGTAGTCTGCGCCTTAACCCTCTGCAGGGAGACTGACTGTAGCACCAAGTACCTGGCTTTTTAGACTCTACATAGGAATTCCACCATAATTAAGATGTATAAACTTGACCTACAGCCTAAAGCCCAATATGCTTCCCTCAAGAACATCAACAGTGTTCAAGCTTAGCTTTGTTACAGAAAATGAGGTAGGGTGCGGTGGCTCACATCTGTAATCTCAGCAGTTTGGGAGGCCAAGGCAGGCGCATCAGCTGAGGTCAAGAGTTTGAGACCAGCCTGGTCAAAATGATGAAACCCCATCTATACTAAAAATACAAAAATTAGCTGGGCATGGTGGCACACGCCCATTATCCCAGCTACTCAGGAGGCTGAGGCACTAGAATCACTTGAACCCAGGAGGCGGAGGCTGCAGTGAGCTGAGATCACGCCACTGCATTCCAGGGGAAAAAAAAAAAAAAAAAACCGCAACAGATGTCTCAATTTTTGACATTAGTCATCTTGAAGAACACCTCTAAATGCATGAACTCACTGCAGACTGACCCAACCTCTTAATTCTGGCTCCTTGCTTTTCCTGCCTCTGCCTACCTTTGAGACACAAGATCTGTGAACACCCAGGCTGTACAGTGGCATGATAATAGCTCACTCTAGGCTCAAGCAATCCTCCCACGTCAGCCTCCAGATCAGCTAGGACTAGGCATGCACCACCAGGCCAGGCTAATTATTTTTTGTAGAGACAGCGTCTCACTATGTTGCCCAGGCTGATCTTGACTCCTACCCTCAGGTGGTCTTCTGCCTCAGGTAATACATTACAGACAGTGAGCCACCATGCCCAGTTGCTGCCTACATTTTCAATATTCCACTCAACAAACATTGACACTTCCTGGGACTGGAAAGTAAAAAAAATCTAAGTACTGTGTAGAATTAAGCAAACAAGTGATGTTTCAGAAGTAACCCATTACTGCTTAAAATAAAGCCTACATCAACACTCTTAACTCAAACGAGGACAATTGTTATTTAGTTTTTATTTCATAATCATAAACTTAACTCTGCAATCCAGCTAGGCATGGGAGGGAACAAGGAAAACATGGAACCCAAAGGGAACTGCAGCGAGAGCACAAAGATTCTAGGATACTGCGAGCAAATGGGGTGGAGGGGTGCTCTCCTGAGCTACAGAAGGAATGATCTGGTGGTTAAGATAAAACACAAGTCAAACTTATTCGAGTTGTCCACAGTCAGCAATGGTGATCTTCTTGCTGGTCTTGCCATTCCTGGACCCAAAGCGCTCCATGGCCTCCACAATATTCATGCCTTCTTTCACTTTGCCAAACACCACATGCTTGCCATCCAACCTTGAAAAGGAAGAACAATCACTATGACTGGCAACCACAAACAAGCAGCCTCCATGTGTCATGAACCAAGACGAGAAAGGTAGCTTTTTTTTTTTTTTTTAACTGAAGCCTTTTGTACTAAATGTCATTAAACATGATTCTCCAATTACCATTAAAGAGTTACACATATAGGCCGGGTGCGGTGGCTCACGCCTGTAATCCCAGCACTTTGGGAGGCCAAGGCGGGCGGATCACGAGGTCAGGAGATCGAGACCATCCTGGCTAACACGGTGAAACCCTGTCTCTACTAAAAATACAAAAAATTAGCCGGGCATGGTGGCGTGTGCCTATAGTCCCAGCTACTCGGGAGGCTGAGGCAGGAGAATGGCGTGAACCTGGGAGGCGGAGCTTGCAGTGAGCCGAGATCGCGCCACTGCACTCCAGCCTGGGCGACAGAGCGAAACTCCATCTCAAAAAAGAGTTACACATATAGAATGAATTGCGCCCCCCTCCCCCAAAAACAAACAAAACAAAACAAAAACCCCAAAGAAACAAAAAACCCAACCAACCGCATGTTATTAATAGTAACATAAAAGCAGCACTTAATTGGGTGGGCACAGTGGCTCATGCCTGTAATCCCAGCACTTTGGGGGGGTCAAGGCAGGCAGATCACTTGAGCCCAGGAGTTCGAGACCAGCCTGGACAACATGGTAAATCCCGCTCTACTAATAATACACAATTTAGCTGGGAGTGGTGGTGCATGCCTGTAGTTCCAGCTACTTGAGAGGCTGAGGCAGAAGAATTGCTTGAACCCGGGAGGAGGTTGCAGTGAGCTGAGATGGCACCACTGCACTCCAACCTGGGAGATAAGAGCGAGATCCAGTCTGAGAAAAGAAAAAAAAAAAAAAAGCACTTAATTGGTTGGGCGCAGTGGCTCATGCCTGAAATCCCAGCACTTTGGGGGGCCAAGGCAGGTGGTTCACCTTAAGTCACGAGTTCAAGACCAGCTTGGCCAACATGATGAAACCCCGTCTCCACAAAAATACAAAAAATTAGCCAGGCATGCTGGCACACATCTGTATTCTCAGCTACTCAGGAGGCCAAGGCAGGAGAATCGCTTGAACCCAGGAGGCAGAGGTTGCAGTGAGCCCAGATTGTGCCACTGCACTCCAACCTGGCAACAGAGCAAAACTCCATCTCAAAAAAGTAGCACCTAATTCAACCACCCAGCTAAGGGCCAAGTTTCTATCATAGTATCTGACATTCTGTATCACATTGGCTATATTTGTCGTTTATGTATGCTCTTCTTCTAGTATCTTAGGGATGAAAAAGTCTGTGGAAGCAAAGGTTGAAGAAAAGTAGTGTTTGTTCCGTTCCCCCCAGGGCAACTTTTCATTTAGTCAGGTGGTTAGTGTGCCATGTTGTACCCTTACCACTCAGTCTTGGCAGTGCAGATGAAAAACTGGGAACCATTTGTGTTGGGTCCAGCATTTGCCATGGACAAGATGCCAGGACCCGTATGCTTTAGGATGAAGTTCTCATCTTCAAATTTCTCCCCATAGATGGACTTGCCACCAGTGCCATTATGGCGTGTGAAGTCACCACCCTGTCAACATATAGGAAAAATGTCACTTCTGACAACATAACCATGAAGTGTGCCAAATCTGCAAGGTTCAAACTTTAAACCCAAGTTCAAACTGAATAGAAGGGTTAAATAGAACCGAAATGGTAGAGTAACAGTTCAGATATGTGTATCCTGAAATATTCTGGCTCAATCCCAAATGAAGGGAGCAACCCAAATAAAATAAAATTCAGTAAATTTCGTACCTGACACATAAACCCTGGAATAATTCTGTGAAAGCAGGAACCCTTATAACCAAATCCTTTCTCTCCAGTGCTCAGAGCACGAAAATTTTCTGTTTAAAAAAAAATTAAACACATATATACATACATAAAAATATATATATACACACACACACACAAACTGTCACAATTGGAACATCTTTGTTAAACTTAGAAAATGGACCAACCTGCTGTCTTTGGGACCTTGTCTGCAAACAGCTGTAAGAGAAAATTACAGTTAATTAACATCTGCTTATTTTGTTGCTTAGTACCCATGTCTTTAGGGGCTTCTGAGTCATAAATTCATTTTCTCACTAGAATACTTCTTCAGTAATTACTTTAATTCCCAAGAACTGCTCCTGACAGCCATAAGGCCCTGCAGGCAGTTGGGTTAAGAAACATGAAACCCAAAGACATGCCAAAAATCCAATACTAGTCATAACTTAAATAGTGAGACTTCTAGAAAGTGTCTCAAACTTTTAGTACATCACACCTACTTCTGAAAAGATATATGGCTTCTTAAATGTCTATCACCACCCCCCAACTTGAGCTAGAACTTACAAGGCAAAATTCTAAGGAACAGCAAGCACTGCTGCACGATCAGGGGTAAACAGCTGTTCTTTTAGTCACTTGTAATGAAAATGCTACTACCTCCAATCTGTTAACATAGCTTTATGGATTAGATGAGCAGTCACTTCTTGGTATCCAGGCCCCTTACCTAGTAGTGGGGTAAAAAATAAAGATTGGTTTCTAGTATATCTGGTTTTGAACCTTTCTTGAATGTATAATACGTTATGGCTAGAGAGGTAGCTTAAATACCATAAACATTTACAAGCCCTTTCATAAAAACAGCTTGTTTAAAAGTAGCATTTTATAAGCTATTTCACAGATGTGACTGAATTAACTACTAGTATCCGTGTGCACTTCTCTTATAGCAATGTACTTTTTTTTTTTTGAGACAAGAGTCTCACTGTCACCAGGCTGGAGTGCAGTGGCACGATCTCGGCTCACTGCAGCCTCCGCCTCCGGGGTTCAAGCGATTCTCCTGCCTCAGCCTCTAGAGTAGCTGAGATTACAGGCAAGCGCCACCACGCCCAGCTAATTTTTGTATTTTTAATAGAGGTGGGGTTTCACCATGTTGGCCAGGACGGTCTCAATCTCCTGACTTCGTGATCCGCCCGCCTGGCCAACGTACTTATTTTTTAGTTTTTAGGTATTTGTACCTAGAATGTATGGTCTTTCTAAAACATCAGCTTTTCTCAGAGCTTTATAGTCGGTACGTTTAAGTTCCTATGGCTTCCCTTTCAGACTTTCGCTAAAGCCAAAGCCCTCATTGGCAGTTACCCCTCCATTCTCATCAAGACCTGCAAGTCCTTTCTCATTTCCCTGAAGCTCTTTGGGTAACCTGATGCCCAACATTAGGTCAGGCCAAGTTTCCACGAAAGCCCTTGTCACTTACCAGCTTTGACTACACTCATAGGTGGGGTGGGGTGTGGATTAACATGCAGTGTTTCAGTGCCTATGTGCCAGGCACTATGGACAGGGTAGGCAACAAGGAAATCGCTCTGTCCTCACGAAGACTGCATGAGGATCAATCTATTTTCGGAATAAGATCCCAAACTAGCCATTGGTGGCCTTTTGAGATGTGATTTAAAGGAATAAAACCACTAACATCCTATTTCGCTACTCCCTAAGGTCTATCCATGTTAACTGGAACGGAATCGTACTCAATATTTAACTTTGAAGACACGCGCCAAGTTTAGATACTATGCTATAATTACAACTGATCTTTAAGAACTCATTTAACGCTCTCAAAACTAATTAGGTAATCACTGGTAATCCACCTTGGTCGGAAGAGGCCTGCCTTGTGGCCAGTCGCAACTTGCTTGCTAGGCAGAGGGACAATCGGGAGGGGCTCAAGAGCGCCTCCCCCGCCAGCGCCGTCACTGCAGTGGAAGGCGGTCCTTGGGCACCAGCAAAGGCAAGGCCCATTTTCACATTTCCGCTTGGGGGTGGGGGACACGGAGGGACGTTTGGGGCACATGTATAAATATTCCTACTTTATCCAAATGGAAGATATTTCAAGTGGCAACCCGTCACATCCCAGCAAGTCTCCTTTTATAACATGGCCTCCCGGGATCTACAGGACCGAGCATGGACGGGCTCACACCGCGCCTCGATCCTTGAGAAAAACCCTCAAGCAAACAGCTTCCCAGCTCAGGATGTAAAGCACCCATGCCTGCCAGGGGACAGCTTCCCAGGAAGGCGGTCGCAAGCCCCCGCGAGCGTGCTTCTGGCTCCGGTCTGCGGCGCCCAGGCCAAGCTAGGGCGGAGCCCAACGACTCTCAAGGCGCGGACCTGAGCGCGGCCGCCGAGCACGTGCGTCGGACAGGACAGGGCGCGGCCACATGAGGCGGGCGGGCGGACGCGGGCCCCCTCCCCCAACGGCCTCGCAGCCGCCCCGCCTGCCTTTGTCCGCCGCCGTCCCGGCCTCCTCCCCGCGACTCGCGGACCTCCCAAAATGGCCCCTCGTCAGGAAATGGCGCCGCAGCCCGCCCGCGCTCGCCCCTCAAGCAGGGTCGCCCCGCGCCCGGGCCTTTGGGGCGCTACCACCCACCCCGACCCCGGCCCACTTTCTGGGCCCCATTCCCGCACGCCGCCGCCCGCCCGACCTCAAAGGAGACGCGGCCCAAGGGCTCGCCGTCGACGGCAATGTCGAAGAACACGGTGGGGTTGACCATGGCTAATAGTACACGGTTTTCCTCGGCGGTGGCGTCTGCAAAACGGCACGAGCCTGGCCTCCCGCCCCTTTTATACCACGTTCGGCCCCGCCCGCAACCCGGTCTCGCGCCTCCGTCCCGGCCAATCGGGTCTGCGACTTCGCCAGAGTGACAGTGCATCTGGCCTATAGACGGAAGCCGGCGCTGATGGGGACGACACATGAGGCGCGCGTGCGCGCTAACGCGCGGAGGCAGGTTCCCGCCTGCGGGCTCCGTCGCGGTGGCTGCGGCATGGGACTCGGGGCGGGGCGGCAGTACGGGACGCGGGGCACGGGGGAGGGTCAGTGCGGAACGGGGGTGGGCAGCATGGCGCGCGCACGCGGGAGACGGAAGCGCGGCGGCTCTTCGGCCGTTGTCAAGCGATGAGGCGCGTCTCCCCATTGCACAGAGGGGGCAACTGAGGCGAACGCAGGCCTCAAGGTCGCGCCGCCAGTCAAGGTCGACTGGGGTCCCGCGCCCGGACCCTACGCCTCCGCGAGCGGAAATGGGGATGGCGCGTCCCCGAGACCTAGGAGCAGCCTTGCGTCCGCATTCCGCGCGGGCAAACACCACGTCGCGTCCTACCAGGCAATGTCAGGAAGGAGGTTGCCTTTGAGCATCGCTGTTTTCTCTAACGAGGTGGGACAGGAGCAGTCTCCGGTTTTGAGAGATTATGAAATGCTTTCAAAATGCTCTACTTTCCGAAAATATCTTACACTCTGCTTGAATCTTCTTCAGGAGGAAGCCATTAAAACAGGAGCCTGGCCAGGCTCTTACCTGTGAAGATGCATTATGCACATTTTGCCCTCTTACTCTTTTTGAATCTCTGCTCCTGGTCTTTCCCTGCCCCCGCCCCGCCCAGCTCCTACCGCCCCCGCCTCGGGGCTGAATTGTGCTTTGATTTTTGGGTGAAAGATAAGTCACAATTTAAAAGCGAATTTCTTCAGGCAAAGACATTAATAATACTTTAATTAAAATGCACTTGTAGGCCAGGCGCGGTGGCTCATACCTGGCGCTTTAGGAGGCGCGGAGGCCAAGGCCGGGGAGGATCGCTTCATCTTAGGAGTTCGACACCGGCCACCAGCCTGGGCATCTTAGAGAGACGCCGTCTCTACAAAAAAATAAATAAAAATAAAAATTAGCTGGGCGTCGAGGCGCTCGCTACTCAGGAGGCTGGGCGGGGAGGATTGCTTGAGCCCGGAGGTCGAGGCTGTAGTGGGCGGTGATCGCATCACTGCATTCCAGCCGGGACGACAGAGTGTGACCCTCTCTCAAAAAATAGGCCGGGTGCGGTGGATCACGCCTGTAATTCCAGCACTTTGGGAGGCCGAGGCGGGAGGATCACCTGAGGTCAGGAGTTCAAGACCAGCCTGGACAACATGGTGAAACCCCATCTCTACGAAAAATACAAAATTAGCTGGGCATGGTGGTGCGCACCTGTAGTCCCAGCTACCCCCTCGGGAGGCTGAGGCAGGAGAATCGCTGGAACCCAGGAGGTGGAGGTTGCAGCGAGCAGAGATGGCGCCACTGCACTCCAGCCTGAGAGACAGAGACTCCGTCTCAAATAAATAAACAAAAATATAAAATAAAATGCACTTATGTGACTGGTGTTTTGTTAAGAAAACCTTACAAGGGAATTCATATATCCTGGGCTGTCACTTAAGTTGCAATATTAAGGATATTATTTAATGTTTCTTTTTGTTTTTTTGAGACAAGGTCTCACTCTCACCTAGGCTGGAAGTGCAGTGGTGTGTTATCGGCTCACTGCAACCTCCCCTTCCCGTGCTCGAGCAAGCGTCCCACCTTAGCCTCCCAAGTAGCTGGGACTACAGGCATGCACCCACACCCAGCTCATTTTGTGTGTGTGTGTTTTGTAAAGATGGGGTTTCGCCACATCGCCCAGGCTGGTCTCAAACTCCTGGACTCAAGCGATCCACCCGCCTCAGCCTCCCAAAAGTGCTGGGATTATAGGCGTGAGCTGCTGCACCTGGACGTTGTTTAATGTTTCTAAAACTCAGTTTCTTCATCTGCACAACCAGGATAGGGTTGTGGTGAGACAAAAATGATAATTCATCTGATAGATGAAGTACAGTTTCTGGCCTCTTGCCATTGTTAATAACCATGAGCCAACGTGTTAGGAATTTATTTATTTGAGATAGGGTCTCACTCTGTTGGTTAGTCTGGAGTGCAGTGGTGCAATCCTAGCTCACTGTAACCTCGAACTCTTGGACTGAAGCATTCCTCCCTCCTCAACCTCCCAAATGTCTGGGACTAAAGGCACAAGCCACTGTGCCAGCTAATTTAAATTTTTTTAACAGAAACTGGTTCTGGCTGTGTTATCAGGGCTGGTCTCAAACTCCAGGGCTTAAAGGATTCTCCCACCTTGGCCTCCCAAAGTTCTAGCATTACAGGTGAACCGCCATGCTCAGCCTGTGTTGGAAATTTAGACTATGTTGTTTTGTTCTCATCACCATCCCATTATCCCCATTTTACAGATGCGTAAAGTAAAGCTCTGGCTTCTTGTTCAGAGTAATCGCTTATGAGTGTTAGCAAAGCCAAACTGGAAACTGCTTTTTTCCCCCCCACTCCACATCACTTCTTGCTTTGTGATCTTAAGAAAGCCACTTGTCCTCATCTGACACTGAAAAAAAATGCCCAAGGCCTTCAGGCATAAATTCTTACCATTTCTCTCTCCATCCTAAAACGTAGAGCAGTTAGGAACTCCTCCAAAGAAGTAAATGAATGAGGCCGGGTGAGGTGGCTCATGCCTGTAATCCTAGCACTTTGGGAGGCAGAGGCGGGTGGATAATTTGAGGTCAGGAGTTCAAGACCAGCTTGGACAACATAGTGAAACCCTATCTCTACTAAAAATACAAAAATTAACTGGGCAGGGCTGGGCATGGTGGCTCACACTGTAATTGCAGCACTTCGGGAGGCCGAGGTAAGTGGGTCACTTGAGGCCAGGAGTTCAAGACTAGCCTGGCCAACACAGGGAAAACCCATCTCTACTAAAAAGTACAAAAATTAGGGCTGGGCACAGTGGCTCACGCCTGTAATCCCAGCACTTTGGGAGACTGAGGTGAGTGGATCATGAGGTCAGGAGTTCAAGACCAGCCTGACAAATATGGTGAAACCCCGTCTCTACTAAAAATACAAAAGTTAGCCGGGCATGGTGGTGCGCATCTGTAATCCCAGCTACTCAGGAAGCTGAGGCAGGAGAATCACTTAAGCTTGGGAGACGGAGGTTGCAGTGAGCTGAGATCACACCACTGCACTCCAGTCTGGGGGATGGGGTGAGATTCCATCTCAAAAAAAAAAAAGTAAATGAATGCATGAATGAATAATAAATAGGCTGGGCGTGGTGGCTCACGCCTGTAATGCCAGTGCTTTGGGAGGCCAAGGCAGGAGGATCGGTTGAGCCCAGGAGTTCAACACCAGCCTGGGCAACAGAGGGAAACCCTGCTTCTACAAAAAAATATGTATTTTCTTTTATTTTTTATTTTTATTTGTTTGAGACAGAGTTTCGCTCTTGACGGAGTGCAATGGCTTGATCTCGGCTCACTGCAACCTCCGCCTCCTGGGTTCAAGCAATTCTCCTGCCTCAGCCTTACAAGTAGCTGGGATTACAGGCATGCGCCATCACTCCCGGCTAATTTTGTATTTTTAGTAGAGATGGGGTTTCTCGTGTTGGTCAGGCTGGTCTTAAGCTCCCAACCTCAGGTGATCCACCCACTTCGGCCTCCCAAAGTGCTGGGATTACAGGTGTGAGCCACCATGCCCGGCCTATTTTATTTTTATTTATTTATTTATTTATTTATTTATTTATTTTTTGAGACAGAGTGAGTTTTACTCTTGAAGCCCAGGCTGGAGGTCAATGAATGGCGTGATCTTGGCTCACTGCAACCTCCACGTCCTGGCTTCAAGCAATTCTCCTGCCTCAGCCTCCCAAGTAGCTGGGATTACAGGCATGCACCACCATGCCCAGCTAATTTTATATTTTTAGTAGAGATGGGATTCATCATGTTGGTCAGGCTGGTCTCGAACTCCTGACCTCAGGTGATCCGCCTGCCTCAGCCTCCCAAAGTGCTGGGATTACAGGCATGAACCACTGTGCCCGGTCAAAACATTTTTAAAAATAAAAATTAGCCAAGCACGGTGGTGCATACCTATAGTCCCAGCTACTCGGGAGGCTGAGATGGGAGGATCACTTGAGCCCAGGAGGTTGAGGCTGCAGTGAGCCATGATGGTGCCACTACACTCCAGCCTGGGTAACAGAGCAAGACCCTGTCTCAAAAATAAAAATAAAAATAAAAATAAATACATCCGGCTGGGTACAGTGGCTCATACCTGTAATCCCAGAACTTTGGGAGGCCGAGGCAGGTGGATCACTTGAGGTCAGGAGTTCAAGACCAGCCTGGCCAACATGGCGAAACCCCGTCTCTACTAAAAATACAAATATTAGCCTGGTATGGTGGTGGGCTCCTGTAGTCCCAGCTGCTCAGGAGGCTAAGGCAGGGGAATCGCTTGAACCTGGGAGGTGGAGGTTGTAGTGAGCCAAGATCGAGCCACTGCACTCCAGCGTGGGTGACAGACTGAGACTTCGTCTCAAAACAAATAAATGAATACATCCTTGTGACTTGTCCTCCCTCTCGCTACTATTTGAAGTCCTGCCTTTTTGTCACCGTCAGCATTGTCACAGCAAAGTCCTAGTTCTTGTCATTTCATCTACACAGGCATGGGGTATGTACACTCAAGAATACAAATGTTCATGTTTTGTTTGTTAAGTGGGGAGCTGATATTCTGGGGGTTCCTTTTCTGACATTATCTGTTGAGTGGGACTGTCTAACTGTGGAAAATATCAGCAGACACAGAACCTCAGGAATGTGGAGCTGTCCATGCCTTATTTGGATGAATCAGACCAAAAGCAAATCCAGCTGAACTCAACAGTGCCCTGTTCTGGCTAGATGGAGGTGTTCCATGCCAGCAAGCAGAACTCTGAAACTCAACTGTAGCTCCTGATCATATAGCATCTTATAAACAAATGCTTATCTCAAAAATGTGCCTGAGCAAGAGAGAAGGTAACCAGGGAAAAAATTAGGGTATTCAAAATTATGAAAACAGACGACTTTGGGTAGTAACTTGTCTTCTCTGTGCCTCTTGCCCAAGGCCTAGCTTGGTGCCTCTGCTCTCCAGGCTGAATGGAAACCGCTTCTGCTGAGACCATCAGTGACCTCTCAGCCCACAAACCCAGGTGCTTTTTGCAGGTCTGACACTGCCTGCATCAGACAGGTTTCATCACCTCCTTGATTGGAAAGCTTCCTTTCCTTGATGGCTTTGACTTTTCTCTCATGTTTCCTTTACCATTTCCCCTTTAGCTTTTTCACAAATTTCTCCTCTGTCAGAATTAAGCATTTGATCTTGTTTTGTTTCCTTACATACCCTCCAAGATGAACCTCATCCTTTCCCATGACTCAAATTCTCAGATGATTCTAAACCAAGTTCTCAGTCAGGCACAGTGGCTCACACCTGTAATCCCAGCACTTTGGGAGGCCAAGGCAGTCGGATCACCTGAGGTCAGGAGTTCAAGACCAGCCTGGCCAACATGGTGAAACTCCATCTCTACTAAGAATACAAAAATTAGCTGGGTGGTGGTGTGCACCTGTATTCCCAGCTACTCGGGAGGTTGAGGCACGAGAATCTCTTAAACCTGGAAGGTTGAGGTTGCAGTGAGCCAAGATCGAGCCACTGCACTCCAGCCTGGGCAACATAGCAGAACTTTCTCAAAACAAACAAACAAAGAAAAAAAACCAACCAAGTTTTCTAGCAAGCAGTAGAAAACTTCATCAATACTGGCTTAGACAGGAGTTTATTTGTCTCATACAATAAAAAATCCAGAGGCAAAGAGCAACTCAAAGGTGCTCTTAGTAGAATGGACCTACTAAGTGGTGATCAGAAGTCAGAAAAGCAATGTGGAATAACAAATTCAAATAGGTATCACATTATTAGCCCTAAGAGTTATGCAGGCCCTGAAGTATATGAAAGATTCCTAAATGCCTGTCAAGCACAGAAATGGTCAGAGACATTAATCTTTATTTTTTTTCTTTTTGAAACAGGGTCTTACCCTGTTGCCCAGGCTGGAGTGCAGTGTTGATCCTCCCACCTCAGCCTCCTGAGCAGCCAGGACCACAGGCATGTACCACTACACCAGTTAATTTTTTAAAAAGAATTTTATTTGCTATGTTGTCAGGCTGGTCTCAAACTCCCGGGCTCAAGTAATCTTCTTGCCTCGGCTTCCCAAACTGTTGAGATTACAGGTGTGAGTCGCAGCACCTGGCCCAGAAAAGACATTTATATTAATATAAATGAGGATTTCATCAAATATAAAAGCGTTTAGAAGAAGAAGCAAAAGAGACCCGCACATTCCACCCAGGGAGGGCATGGAGAAAGAACAGTGAGTGGAAGGAAAACAGGTCTGTGCTGTCCTCAAGCATAGAGGTCTTTCTATGGCAGGCACCCGGGGCAGCCAAAAGGACACTGTCCACAGCCAGGCCAGAGTCTAGCTGTCACACACATAGGCAGGTGTGTTGCATACCTCAGGCATGCGTTCAGGAGTTGTAATACTTAAGTGAATTTGTTTTTTTACAGCAACAACCTATAGTTCCATTTAAAAAGGGATAGTTATTTAATTTTAATTAAAACATATAGTAGTTTTTTTCTCACTTTGGTTTATGTATCCATTTTCAACAGCTTTGTTGAGGTGTTGTTTACACACCCTCAAATTCACTTGTTTTAAGCATACAATTTAATAATTTTTAGTAAATTCAGAATTGCGCAAACATCACAATCTAGTAATAGAAATTTTCTTTCACTCCAAAAGAAACCTGTGCTCTATTTAGCAACTCCCTGTTCCCGCCCAGTAAGCGCATATGTGGGCAAAAGTTGACTGAGACTTGTGATTTTTAATTGAAATATCACAAAACTTATTGCATTTTTTTTTTTTTTGAGACGGAGTCTCGCTCTGTCGCCCAGGCTGGAGTGCAGTGGCACAATCTCAGCTCACTGCAAGCTCTGCCTCCTGGGTTCACGCCATTCTCCTGCCTCAGCCTCCCGAGTAGCTGGGACCACAGGCGCCCGCCACCACGCCTGGCTAATTTTTTGTTTTTTTTTTTTTTGTTTTTTTGTGTTTTTTTTGAGACAGAGTCTCGCTGTCGCCCAGACTGGAGTGCAGTGGCACGATCTCGGCTCACTGCAGGCTCCGCCCCCGGGGTTCACGCCATTCTCCTGCCTCAGCCTCCCGAGTAGCTGGGACTACAGGCGCCCGCCACCTTGCCTGGCTAATTTTTTGTATTTTTAGTAGAGACGGGGTTTCACTGTGTTAGCCAGGATGGTCTCGATCTCCTGACCTCGTGATCCGCCTGCCTCGGTCTCCCAAAGTGCTGGGATTACAGGCATGAGCCACCACACCCAGCCTATTTATTTATTTTCGAGACAGAGTTTCGCTCTTGTTGCCCAGGCTGGGGTGCAATGGCGCGATCTCAGCTCACAGCAACCTCCGCCTTCCGGGTTCAAGCGATTCTCCTGCCTCAGCCTCCCCAGTAGCTGGGATTACAGGCATGCGCCACCACGCCCAGCTAATTTTGTATTTTTTAGTAGAGACGGGGTTTCTCCAGTTGGTGAGGCTGGTCTCGAACTCCCAACCTCACGTGATCCGCCCACCTCAGCCTCCCAAGGTGCTGGGATTACACATGAGCCACCGTGCCTGGCCTGCATTTTAATATTTAAGATAACTTTAAGTTCAACATATTTAAAAGTTTATTAGAGTTATTTAATAGTCAGGGAGGTTTTCTTTGTTAATTTGGACAATTACATACTTTAATTGGAAATCAAATTTATTACATTGTTAAATGTAGTTTAAGATGTTAGAAGATGCCTGGGCGCAGTGGCTCACACCTGTAATCCTAGCACTTTGGGAGGCCGAGGGAGGTGGATCACCTGAGGTCAGGAGTTCAAGACCAGCTTGACCAACATGGAGAAACCCCATCTCTACTAAAAATACAAAAATTAGCCAGCCATGGTGACGGGCGCCTGTAATCCCAGCTACTGAGAAGGCTGAGGCAGGAGAATCATTTGAACCTGGGAGACAGAGGTTGGAGTGAGCCAAGATCGTGCCACTGCACTCCAGCCTGAGCAAGGAGACGGAGAGAGACTCCGTCTCAAAAAAAAAAAAAAAAAAAAAGTTTGCAAATATGTTCAAAGAGTTCAAATTTGCTATACTTATAAAGAGACTAATATTATTTCTAAGGTAAACTTAAAACCCAGGAAAGAAGTAGGTTTTAAAATTATAGTTTATTTTTTACTAACCTGATGTTTTTAAAATAAAATAATAAAAAACAAAATTGTAGTTTAGGCTGGGCACAGTGGCTCACACCCATAACCTCGCACTTTGGGAAGCCAAGGTGGGAGGACTGCTTGAGCCCAGGAGTTTGAGACCAGTCTGGGCAACATAGTGAGACCCCTCCCATCTCTACAAAAAAAAATTGCTTTAATTAAAATTGTAGCTTTAATGAATTAAATATCAGTTGTTAACATATAATAACCCCTGAATAGTCTTTCTACATAGGAAAGCCACAGGACACAAAACTGCAACAACAGGTGCCTGGGATTGGACAGGAAAACCAGGAAAGAAGGAAGAAGGGCAAAAGTTGAGGGAGGAGCCACCACCATCTGTCCTGTTTCAAAAGTTTCCCAGGAGCCCCACTCGGCAGCTTCCACTCTTGGCTATAAGCATTCAGGAAGATAACTACAGTTGACCTTGAACGACATGGTGTTTCACCATGTTGGCCAGGCTGATCTCAAACTCTTGACCTCAAGTGATCTGCCCTCAGCCTCCCAAAGTGTTGGGATTACAGGTGTGAGCCACCGCACCTGGCCTAAATAGGCTTTTTGAGGAGTCAAAGGTTATATGTGGATTTTTGACTGTAAAGAGTATCAGCATCCCTAACGTCCATGTTGTTCAAAGGTCAACTGTATTTTTCTTTTTAGAGATAGGGTCTTGCTATGTTGCCTAGGCTGGAGTACAGTGGCTATTCACAGACACAATCGTAGTACATTATAGCCTTGAGCTGCTGGGCTCAAGCAATCCTGCCTGAGCCTCCTGAGTAGCTGAGACTACAGGTGCAGCCAGCATGCCCGGCTAAGGGTCAACTGTATTTTGATTGGGCCTGTGGCTGCCCACACCACTCAAGGTCCTGATAGTAAGGAAGAAGGCAAGAGAGAAGCCTGTTGTGTAGACAATGGGTGGATGTCTGATGCACTTATGACCTCACTCAGGAGGGAAGGGAGTGACTGGAGAGTCCTTGGGCACCTGGGGAGCTGGCACAAACAGAGCCCAGCATGGGCCTGAGGAGGACTCTACCAACTCTTCAGTGGACCCAGCCCTGAAGCACCCCTCTGGGGCGATGCTAAAGTTGAAGTTGGGGGCGGGGAGGATGCACCTGCTGGGTTGAGCCCTTAATCTCCGCCTGTGCCTTCAGGCCTCGGTGTCTAAGGTCTTCAGACTTTGCCTTCCACTTGAGCTCAGAAGGTGGGGAATTTCCCTAACAGGAAGGGCCACAATATCAAAAACAAAAAACCCCAGAAATAAGTCTTCAGTTAGTAAACACAGAATCCTAGAAAGTGTTAGTTGCTGTTATTAATGGTCATTGGGTTTTTTTATTTAGTTTTGTTTTGTTTTTTGAGACGGTGTCTCCCTCTTGTTGCCAAGGCTGGAGTGCAATGGCACGATCTCTGCTCACTGCAACCTCTGCCTCCCAGGTTCAAGTGATTCTGCTGCCTCAGCCTTCCGAGTAGCAGGAATTACAGGTGCCCGCCACCATGCCCAGCTAATTTTTTGTACTTCTAATAGAGACAGGGTTTCGCCACGTTGGCCAAGCTGGTCTCAAACTCCTGACCACAGGTGATCCACCCACCTCAGCCTCCCAAAGTGCTGGGATTACAGGTGTGAGCCACTGCACCTGGCCCTAATGGTTGGTCATTGTTAAATTCTCACAGCAGTCCTTTGAATATTTATTTATTTTTTTATTTATATTCTTATTTTTTGAGACGGAATTTCACTGTTGTTGTCCAAGCTGGAATGCAATGGCACGATCTTGGCTCACTGCAACCTCCGCCTCCCGGGTTCAAGCGATTCTCCTTCCTCAGCCTCCTGAGTAGCAGGGATTATAGGCATGCGCCACTATGCCCAACTAATTTTGTATTTTTAGTAGAGACAGGGTTTCTCCACGTTGGCCAGCCTGTTCTCGAACTCCCAACCTCAGGTGATCCGCCTGCCTCGGCCTCCCAAAGTGCTGAGATTACAGGTATGAGCCACCGCACCCGACCTTATTTATTTATTTATTTTTGAGACAGAGTCTCGTTCTGTTGCCCAGGCTGGAGTGCAGTGGTGTGATCTTGGCTCACTGCAACCTCCGCCTCCTGGGTTCAAGCAATTCTCCTGCTTCAGCCTCCCAAGTAGCTGGGATTACAGGCACATGCCACCACACCCAGCTAATTTTTGTATTTTTAGTAAAGACAGGGTTTTACCATGTTGAAAACCGTTGGCCAGGCCAGGTGTGGTGGCTCACGCCTGTAATCCCAGCACTTTGGGAGGCCGAGGCGGGTGGATCACAAGGTCAGGAGATCGAGACCATCCTGGCTAACACGGTGAAACCCTATCTTTACTAAAAATACAAAAAATTAGCCAGGCGTGGTGGCGGGTGCCTGTAGTCCCAGCTACTCGGGAGGCTGAGCAGGAGAATGGCGTGAACCCGGGAGGCAGAGTTTGCAGTGAGCCGAGATAGCGCCACTGCACTCCAGCCTGGGCGACAGAGCGAGACTCCGTCTCAAAAAAAAAAAAAAAACCATTGACCAGGCTGGTCTCGAACTCCTGACGTCAGGTGATCCACCCACTTCAGCCTCCCAAAGTGCTGGGATTACAGGCGTGAGCCACCGCGCTCAGCCTAAATATTTATT